>NC_000020.11:45102597-45405628 GCF_000001405.40 Homo sapiens | reverse complement strand
TCATTCATTCGACAAACATCCGCGAGCAAGTCAGGAACTAGGAGTCATCCTTGCCACCTCCCTCTCCCTCGCTGCCTATATTAAAATACACCTCCATTTCCTGTCGATTCTCTTTCCTAAATATCTTTCCAGTCCACCATTCCTTCCGTTTGCCCCACCACCTCCCGCCTGGGCTCCTAATGCAGTAACCTTCTATCTGGTTTTCTTTTCTTTTTTTTTTTTTTTTTGAGACGGAGTCTCGCTCTGTTGCCCAGGCCGGACTGCGGACTGCAATGGCGCAATCTCGGCTCACTGCAAGCTCCGCTTCCTGGGTTCACGCCATTCTCCTGCCTCAGCCTCCCGAGTAGCTGGGACTACAGGCGCCCGCCACCGCACCCGGCTAATTTTTTGTATTTTTAGTAGAGACGGGGTTTCACCTTGTTAGCCAGGATGGTCTCGATCTCCTGACCTCGTGATCCACCCGCCTCGGCCTCCCAAAGTGCTGGGATTACAGGCGTGAGCCACCGCGCCCGGCCCTATCTGGTTTTCTTGTACTCATTCTGGCCCGGCTACACTCCATTCCCTGCATTACAAGTCAGCTGTCATTTCAGAACACAAGTCTGGTGTGCCCCCCTCGACCCCCCCGCCACGCGGCGTTGCCTAAATTCCTCCACTGTTAGAATAAAATCTGGACGCTGATATCTGAGCTAAGTCTTGAAGACATGAGTTCAACAAGCAGAAAAGAGGGAGAAGGGCATGTGCAGAGGGAGGGAAGTGTGAACAAATCATTGACACATTCAGGTTTCCCTGTCAGGGGACCAGCACTCTGTACACTAAAGCACTGCCTCTTAACATTATTGGGATCTCAAAACAACCCTGTGAGATAAATACAGCATGCAATTTTCCCACTAGTTTACAAGCATGGAAACTAGTTTGTGGGAGGCAACAAATGCAATGGTTAAGAGCACAGGCAATACAGTCAGACCCTCTTGGGTTGTAAACCTATTGATTCCTCTAGCCAGCTGGGTAAACACTTCTCTGATCCTTGATCTCTTACCTACTAAAGAGGAATAATTAATCCCTCCCTCTTATAAGATAATTTATATAAAATGGTTAGTTACAGGACTTGGGCACTTTGGAAATGCTCAGTAATCGTTAGCTGTTTTGATGGTAATGGGTTCTGAGAAAGGGAGGGAACTGCTGTCTTCCACAAATTTCTGAAATTATAGGAAGTAAGCCCTAATTGTTAACACTTCCACAGAGCTTATTATGTGCCAGTCACTATTATAAGTGCTTTACAAAAATTAACCCTTTTAATCCTCTTGCTGTTTCCACTTTACAGATACAGAAGTTGAGATACAGAGAGGTGAAGGAACTTGTCCCAGGCCCTACAGCTAGTAAGTGATGGACCTGGAATTTAAGCCCAGGTAGACTGCCTCTAGAGACTGTGCTTACAACCCTTTTATCCTGTGCCTGTTCCCCTTTTATCCTGTTGTAGTTTTCATCTTCTAAGAACTATTTCATTGGGTTGGTTTGATTCTTATTTCTCATTAATGGATAGAGTAGATACTTCATCTAATTTTCTAGCACAGAAAATGAGGGCCAAGTCAGGAGTACAGTGGATAAGAGCTTAGCTCACTCCCAGTCATGTCCCCATTTTCAGAGATGTATCCCTTTTTTTTTTTGACAGAGTCTTGCTCTGTTGCCCAGGCTGGAGTGCAGTGGCACCATCTCAGCTCACTGCAACCTCCACCTCCTGGATTCAAGCAATTCTCCCACCTCAGCCTCCTGAGTAGCTGGAATTACAGGTGCACTCCACTATGCCTGGCTAATTTTTCTATTTTTGGTAGAGGGGGGTTTTTGCCCTGTTGGCCAGGCTGGTCTTGAACTCCTGGCCTCAAGTGATCTGCCCACCTCAGCCTCCCAAAGTGCTGGGATTATAGGCGTGAGCCACTGCGCCTGGCCCAGATGTATCCTTCAGAACACGACTCCATGGATTATTTTGAGCCCAAGATGAAGAAAGATCAGGAACCTCTGTCCCTTCTCTTTGTCAGATATTTGCCATAAAGAAGGAATGGAGAGGGGGAAACATCTAACCTGAAAATATTTCAGGGGGCTAAACTGGAAGGGTGTCACCCAAAAGAAAGACCCAAGCAGCAGGCCAGGAGTAGGTGGCCAAAACGTTGAATAGCACCGTGAAAAGGTAGACGGCTTGAGACTCCGGCTTCCATCTAGGATGCAGAAACCTGGGAAGAGCATCATTATCAAACTAATAACAGTTTTTAAAAATTGTTGGGTAATTTACAAAATCACAACTTTTGTCAAACTTATCAGAGACCTAAGGTTGCAGAGCAACCAATTAACCAGCATTCCAAAGAAGGACAGGAGCCTCCAGGAAGTGACGGGATGCAGGCACTCACTCAGTTGTGTAGCAAGAGAAAGACAAGCTCTCCTTACAAGTAGGTTAGAAGAGTTCAGCTAATGTTTATGTTTTTATTTTTCAGAGACAAGGTCTCACACTGTCCAGAGGCTGAAGCACAGTAGTGCAGTCATGACTCACTAAGCTCAAGGTATCCTCCCACTTCAGTCTCCCAAGTATCTAGGACTACAAATGCACATCACCACACATGGCTAATTTTATTTTATTATTATTATTATTTTTTGTTAGAGATAGGGTCTTGCTATGTTGTCTAAGCTGGTCTCAAACTCCTGGCCTCAAGTGATCCTCCTGCTCCAGCCTCTCAAAGTGCTGGGATTATGGGTGTAAGCCAACATGCCAGGCCAAAATTTTTATGGAATTACTAAAGACCCAATATAGCTAGCATGACTACATAAAATTTGTAGGAGATATAGACACTGAAGTAATCATAGAAACAACAAAACTCAAACCTAATTCAACTCCTGAAAAAACTGACTGAATCCCCCACACTAATGGCCTAAGAGAAGAAGAGATACGACAATTTCCAGGCATAAATAATAATGAACTCAGTCCTTACTATTATAAGCACTGTGTCCAAAATTCAATAAAAAATTACAACACAGGCTGGGTGCAGTGGCTCACGCCTCTAATCTCAACACTTTGGGAGGCCAAGGTGGATGGATCACCTGATGTCAGGAGTTCAAGACCAGCCTGGCCAACACAGTGAAATCCCATCTTTACTGAAAATACAAAAATTAGCTGGGCATGGTGGTGGGTGCCTGCAATCCCAGCTATTTGGGAGGCTCAGGCAGGAGAATCGCTTGAACCTGGGAAGCAGAGGTTGCAGTGAGCCAAGATCGCACCATTGCACTCCAGTCTGGTTGGCAAAAGTGAAACTCTATCTCAAAAACAAACAAACAAAAATTACAACGCACACACACACACACAACTTTTAAAATACCAAAAAAACCTACTGTCAAGAGACAAAGCAGTCCAGGTGTGGTGGCTTATACCTATAATCCAGCACTTTGGAATGCCAAGGCAGATGGAATGCTTGAGGCCAGGAGTCTGAAGACCAGTCTGGGCAATATCGTAAGGCCCTGTTTCTATATTAAAGAGAGAAAGAGAGAAAGAGAAAGAGAGAGAGAGAGAAAGCAAGACCAGGTGCAAGATGCAGATGCTGTAATTATCTGACACAGAACTTAAGACAACTATAAGTAATACGTGAATATGAAAGGCTCTTGTGGAAAATGTAGACAATATGAAAGAACAAAAGGGGAATTTTTGCAGAAATATGAAGACTACAAAAAAAGAGACATAGAGAAATGCTAGAAATAAGAAAAAACACATACATATAACAGATTTGAAGAATGCTGTTGACAGGCTTATCAGTATACTAGTCCTTTCTCACGCTACTACAAAGACACACCTGAGACTGGGTAATTTATAAATGAGAGATGTTTAATTAACTCACAGTTCCACAGGGCTGGGGAGGCCTTAGGAAACTTACAATCATGGCAGAAGGGGAAGCAAACACGTCCTTCTTCGCATGGCAGCAGCAAGAAGTGCCCAGCGAAGGGGGAAGCCCCTTATAAAACCATCAGATCTCATGAGAAGTAACTCACTATCACAAGAAAAGGATGGGGGAAACCACCCCCATGATTCAACTGTCTTCACCTGGTCCTTTCCATGACATGTGGGGATTATGGGAACCACAATTCAAGATGAGATTTGGGTGGGGACACAGTCAAACCATATAATTTTGCCCCAGCCCCTCCCAAATCTCATGTCCTCACAATTCAAAACACAATTATGTGCTTCCAACAGTCCTCCAAAGTCTTAACTCATTCCAGTATTAACCCAAAAGTCCAAGTCCAAAGACTCTTCTGAGACAAGGCAAGTCCCTTCCACCTAAGAGCCTGTAAAATCAAAAGCAAGTTAATTACTTCCTAGATATAATGGGGTTATAGGCATTGGGTAAATACCCTCATTCTAAATAGGAGAAATTGAAGGGGTAAATTGGCCCAAACAAAGGGGCTACAGGCCCCATGCAAGTCTGAAATCCAATAGGACAGTCATTAAACCTGAAAGCTCCAAAATAATATCCTTTGATTCCAGGTCTCATATCCAGGTCACACTGATGCAAGAGGTGGGCTCCCACAGCCCTGGGCAGCTCCACCCCTGTGGCTTTGCAGGGTAGAGACCCCCTCCCTGCTGCTTTCATGGCTGCCATTGAGTGTCTGCAACTTTTCCAGACACTCAGTGCAAGTTGTTGGTGGATCTACCATTCGGGGGTCTGGAGGACAGTGGCCCTCTTCTCACAGCTCCATAAGCAATGCCCCAGTGGGGACTCTGTGTGTAGGATCTGACCCCACATTTCCCTTCCGCACTGCCCTAGCAGAGGTTCTCCATGAGGGCTCCGCCCCTGCAGCAGACTTCTGCCTGGACATCCACGCATTTCCATACAACCTCTGAAATCTAGGCGGAGGTTCCCAAACCTCAATTCTTGCATTCTGCACACCTGCTGGCCCAATACCTCATGGAAGCTGCCAAGGCTTGGGGCTTGCACCCTCTGAAGCAATAGCCCGAGCTGTCCTTGGCCCCTTTTTGCCATGGCTTGAGTGGCTGGGATGCAGGGCACCAAGTCCTGAGGCAGCATACAGCAAGGGAGCACTGGACCTGGCCCAGGAAATCATTTTTCCCTCCTAGGCCTCTGGGCCTATGATGGGAGGGGCTGCTGTGTAGGTCTCTGATATGCCCTGGAGACATTTTCCCCATTGTCTTGGTGATTAATATTTGTCTCCTTGTTACTTATGCAAATTTCTGTAAGGGGCTTGAATTTCTCCCAGAAAAAAATGGGTTTTTCTTTTCTATCACATCATCAGGCTGCAAATTTTCCAAAAGTTTATTCTCTGCTTCCTCTTGAATGCTATGCCACTTAGAAATTTCTCCTGCCAGATACCCTAAATCATCTCTCTCAAGTTCAAAGTTCTACAGATCTCTAGGGCAGGGGTAAAATGCCACCAGTCTCTTTGCATTGCAAAAGTGAAGTTTACTCCAGTTCCCAGCTAGTTCCTCATTTCCATCTGAGACCACCTCATCCTAGATTTCATTGTTCATATCACTATTAGCATTTTGGTCAAAGCCATTCAACAGTCTCTAGGAAGTTCCAAACCTTCTCACATTTTCCTGTCTTCTGAGCCCTCTAAGACTTTAGGAAGTTCCACATTTTCCCACATTTTCCTTCTTCTTCTGAGCCCTCCAAACTGTTCTAACCTCTATCTGCTACCCAGTTCCAAAGCTGCTTCCACATTATCAGGTATCTTTATAGCTGCACCTCATTCTACCAATACCAGTTTACTGTATTAGTCTGTTCTCACACTGCTATAAGCACATACCTGAGACTGGGTAGTTTACAAAGAAAAGAGGTTTAATTGACTCACTGTTCCAAAGGGCTGAGGAGGCCTCAGGAAACTTACAATCATGGTGGAAGGGGAAGCAAACACGTCCTTCTTCATGTGGCAGCAGCAAGGAGAAGTGCCTGGGGAAGGAGGAAGCCCCTTATAAAACCATCAGATCTTGTGAGAACTAACTCACTATCATGAGAACAGGATGGGGGAACCACCCTCATGATTCAATTATCTCCACCTGGTCTCTCCCATGACACGTGGGGATTATGGGAACCACAATTCAAGATGAGATTTGGGTGGTGACACAACCAAACTATATCAATCAGTAAACTCGACATAGCTGAGGAAATAACCAGTGAACTTGAAGATAGGTCAATAGAGAATACTCAAATTGAAACAGAAAAAGAAAAGAGTGAAACAAACAAACAAAAACCAGAACAAATATCCAAGCGCTAACATATAAGTGATTCATATCCCAGAAGGAGAAGAAACAGAGAAAAAAAAATATATATATGTAGATACAATATTTATTTGTAGATATAATAGCTAATAATTTTCCAAAAATAATGAAAGATATCAAACCACAGAGCCAAGAAACTCACAGAATCCAGAAAAGATTAAATGCCAATATACAAACACAACAAAGAAGCACATGCAAACACAACCTAATATATCATATTCAAATTGCTGAAAACCAAAGATAAAGAGAAAATATTGAAGGCATCTAGAGGAAAAAGGCACACTCCCTACAGAGGAACAAAGAATTACAGAAGACTTCTCATCAGAAATTATATAACCAGAAGATAATAGAGTCATATCTTTAAAATGCTGAAAGACAAAAAACTGCCAATCCAGAATTCTATACCTAGCAAATACATCTTTCAAACATGAAGGAAATACACTTTTTCAGATCAAAAAAAAAAAAAGAGAGAGAGAAAATTCATTACCAGTGGACGTTCTGTAAGCAGAAGAAATATGATACCTGAGAGAAACTTGGATCTACATAAAGAAATGATGATCTCTGGAAACAGATAGAATAAAGGTAAATATAAGAGACATTGTTTCTCATTTTTACTCACTTTAAAAGGTAACTGCTTTACTAAAGCAATGCATTGTGGCCTCATAGCATATATAAAAGTGAAATGTATGACAATAACAACAGTAAAAATGAGGAGATGGAGGAATGGGAAATATGCTGTTAAAGGGTCCTTATGATATATAAGAAGTGGTATAACATTATTTGAAGATAGACTGATTAAAGATATAGTAAATTCAATAGCAACCACTAAAAAAATTTTTTTAGAGAGGTGTAAGTAACAAGCCAATAATAGAAAATGGAATCATAAAAATGCTGGAATAGGTAACTATGTGAGATGATGGATATGTTCGTTTGCTTCACTATAGTAATCACTTTACTATATCTATGTATTCCATAACATCATGTTGTATACCTTAAACATATACAATAAAATTTATTTTTTAAAATGACTGTTGAACATGAAAACAAGTACATATAATAATTTTTTCTAATGTTGGGAGGCTTCCTCCCTAGGCCACTTGTGTCCAACGTGTCTTGCTGAGTATGTCAAGATCACAAGGCCCAGACCTCTCTTTCACCTGGGTCCTTGTTCAGGATTGTTAGTACAGCTAGAGTTTTGAGAGGTGAGATCATTTCTCAGACCAAGGCAGGCTTGCTTACTGCTTGCTATAAAAATGTCCTGGGACCAGGCGTGGTGGCTCATGCTTGTAATCCCAGCACTTTGAGAGGCTGAGGCAGGAGGATCACTTGAGTCCAGGAATTCGAGAGCAGCCTAAGCAACACAGTGAGACCCTGTCTCAAATAAATTAATTAATTAATAAAATAAAATAAAATAAAAAGTGCTGGGCCTAGGTCCCTCAGCTACAATGCAAACCCACTGTGTGAATACCATGCATCTGGGCTCACTGCATCATCTGTTGAATGTAGGACCAGGGGAACCAATACAACTATGCTGATGTTCACACTGTTTGTTGTGCTATGAATAATAAACTATTTCAATCAGATGCAATACATCTTGTCTACTTGCAGCACCCATGAGATTGGGAGTTTTCCTTTTCGAAACATAATCCAAATCAAGGAAGAAAAAAGAAAAAAAGCACAGATGAAAGATTAGAAAACAAATAACAAGGTGATAGATTTTAATCCAGTGTATCAGTAAAAAGACAATCAATTAAAAGACAAATTAGCAGATTGGGAGCAAAGTAAGAGGCAATAATATGTTGTCCACAAGACCCACTTTAAATATAAAGAAATATATGGGTTAAAAGTAAAAGGATGTGTAGAGGAATTGGATCCCTAAAAAAAAAATGAATGGAGTAAGACACACCATACAAACATGAAACCAAGCAAGTTGGAGTGACAGTATTAATATCAGACAAAGTAGATTTAAGAAGGACTATTACCAGGGAGGAAAAGTGGTATTATTTAATAATAAAAGGTTCAATTCACCAAGAAGACTTAACAGTCATAAGAGTGTATATACTAACAACAGAGCTTCAAAAATATATGAAGTAAAAACCAGTAGACCTGAAATAAGAAACAGAAAAAATCTATATTGCACCTAGATAATTCAACCCTTCTCTCTCAATAATCAATAAAATAAGTACACCAAAAAAGCAAGGATATAGAAAACCTTAACACTATCATTAATTTCTCCTAATTATATTCATGACACTTTACCCACCAACAGCAGAATAAACATTCTTTTCAACTGCACATACAACATTCAATGAGAGATTCATCATATTCTGGGCAACAAAAACAATCCTCAACAAATTTAGAAGAATTTAAATTATGTTGTATGACCATAACAGAATTAAATAGAAATAATAACAGAAAGATAACTGAAAAACAATCCCAATACTTCAAAATAAAACATGAGTCAAAGATGAAGTCCAAGGGATATTAGAAAATACATGGCTGGGTACACTGGCTCAGGCCTGTAATCCTAGCACTTTGGGAGGCTGAGGCAGGTGGATCGCTTGACCTTGAATTTGAGACCAGCCTGGGCAACATGACAAAACCTCGTCTCTACAAAAAATATAAAAATTAGCTGGGCATGGTGGCTCATGCCTGTATTCCCAGCTATTTGGAGGCCTGAGGTAGGAGGATAACTTGATCCTGGGAAGTGGAGGTTGCAGTGAGCTGAGATGCCACCACCGCACTCCAGCCTGGGCAACTGAGCAAGACCCTGTCTCAAAAAAAAAAAAAAAAAAAAAAAAAGTGTTGAACCAGGCACAGGAGCTTATGCCTGTAGTCTCAGCATTTTGGGAGACTAGCTGGGAGGATCGCTTGAGCCCACAAGTTTGAGACCAGCCTGGGCAACATTGGCAGAAACTTCATCTCTACAAAATATACAAAAATTAGCCAGGCATGGTGGTGCATGCCTGTAGTCCCAGCTACTCATGAGGCTGAGGCAAGAAAATCGCTTGAGCCTGGGAGGTCAAGGCTGCAGTGAACCGAGATCACACCACGGCACTGTAGCCCAGGTAACAGAGTGAAACCCCATCTCAAAAAAATAATAAAATAGGCCGGGTGTGGTGGCTCACGCCTGTAATCTCAGCACTTTGGGAGGCCGAGGCGGGCGGATCACTTGAGGTCAGGAGTTCAAGACCAGCCTGGCCAACATGGTGAAACCCCGTCTCTACTAAAAATACAAAAATTAGCTGGGCGTGGTGGTGGGTGCCTCTAATCCCAGCTACTTGGGAGGCTGAGGCACAAGAATCACTTGAATCCAGGAGGCGGAGGTTGCAGTGAGCCTAGATCATGCCACTGCATTCCAGCCTGGGTGATAGAGCGAGACTCAGTCGAAGAAGAAGAAGAAGAAAGAAGAAGAGGAGGAGGAAGACGAAGAAAAAAGAAGAGAGAAGAAGAAAAAAGAAAGAAGAAGAAACAGCCAGGTGCAGTGGCTCATGCCTGTAATTCCAACACTTTGGGAGGCTGAGATGGGTGGATCACTTGAGGTCAGAAGTTCGAGACCAGCCTGGCCAACATGGTGAAACCCCGTCTCTACTAAAAATACCAAAATCAGCCAGACATGGTAGCATGCATCTGTAATCCCAGCTACTTGGGAGGCTGATGCAGGAGAATCACTTGAACTTGGGAGGCGGAGTTTGCAGTGAGCCGAGATCACGCCATTGTACTCCAGCCTGGGCAACGGAGCGAGACTCTAAAACAAAAAAAAGGAAAAAGAAAAAAAGAAAAACATATTGGATGGAATAAAATGGAAATTTTTGTGGCCACAGTCAGCCACAAAACACCTCCCAATGTTCCTTACCACCTATCATGTACATCCGGGCAGTCCTCTCCTACACTGTACCAAGGTTATGTCACGGGATCCTTTGGGTGTCACTTGGTCAGTGCAAAACCTCTGTGGCTGGTGGTGCCTCTGCTGGAGTTTTGCTTGTGCCCACTCGTTCTGCCCACTCACCTGGCAGGCTGTGCTTGGCTAGTGCAGCCCGGATCCCATGCCTACCAAGGGTAAGCCAGGCATGGAGTGGTGGGGGGGTGTGTGAGCAAGCGTGAGGTCCAGTCACCACACAGAGCCAGGCACACAAGCTGCCGCAGCCACGTGAGCAGCTCCAGGCACTGGCACAGGCACCAGCTCCATGCAAGGCTCTGGCTGGACCAGACCTACCCCAAGCGACCTCTGCTATAGGCACCAGCGTCTGGACCAGGGGAACGCAGTGGCACCTGAAAGCTCTGAGACACCAGGAACTGCAGAGCCCCAAAGAGGGTGTTACAGCATGTCACAGCCCTGCCTCAGGGAGCCCCGAGATCTGGGCCCCCAGAAGGGCTGCAGCTCTTCTCTCTTTCTCATCACCGGCAGCCGCTCAGCGAGGTGGGGGTGCTGTATTTCAGGGGGTGGAGTTTCAGCCCATTTGTGTTACTGCTCTTTCAGTCCTGCCACCCTGCTCCGGCCTGTGGCTCCTGGGCTGGCCTGGCCCCGCCACTGCTTCCTGTTGCATGGGGTGGCAGCCTGGCGCTGGCAGAGGGCAGGAGAACTAGTGTGTTACCGCTCTGGCTCGGAGAATCCCGAGGTCTGGGCCTCCAGAAGGGTCTCCACTCTTCACTCCAGCAGTTCAGGAACGTGTCACCACCTGCACCTCAGCGAGCTAGCCAGGAACGTGTTACAGCCCCTTTAGCTCCCACCTGCACCTCAGCGAGCCGGCCAGGAAAGTGTTACAGCTCCTTTTACTCCCGCATTTGGCAGGTCCTGAGTTCTTGACCAGCATCCGTGAAGAATGAGGTTACACAGACAACTGGAAGGTGAGCAAGGCAGAGAACAGCTTTATCGGCTGACCAAACAGCTCTCAGAGGAGAGGAGACCCAAAGTGGGTAGCTCCTATCTGCAGGCAGGTAGTCCCAACGAGTCCATGAATCTGGCCGGGTCAGGAAAAAGCACCATCTGATTGGCCAAAAGGCATCAAGGAAGTTCTCACTTTAGGTAGTGGACTCCACACAGAACTGGAGGCCTGGCTGTCAGGCTTCAGGTCATCCCTGGCTTGAAGGTGGGGTTTCACCAAGGACCCACCCCTTCCCACCTAGGAACCTGTCTGCCTCCTGCCACCATTAGTTTACCTATGTGACCCGCAGGATATGCCAGAAATGATGGTATGTCACTTCTAAAATTCAAATTAAAAAAAAAAAGACTACAGCTTCTGTCTTTAGTGTGTACTCTATTTTTGGGGTCACTCACTCTGGGAGAAGCAAGCTGCCATTTTGTCAACAGCCACTATAGAGAGGCCCGCATGGCAAGGAAAGGAAGCTTCCGGCCAAGAGCCCATGAAGGCTGAGGCCTGCCAGCAACCACATGATTGAGTATGGAAATTGATAAAATTGCCCTAGTAAAATCTTGGGATAATTACAGCCCTGGCCAGCAGTTTGACTGAAACCTCATGGGAAACTTAGGCAGAACCACTCAGTTAAACCACTCCTGGATTCCTGATACTCAAGCACTTTGAGATAGTAAATACTTCTTGTTTTAAGATGCTAAATTCTGGGATAGTTTATTATGCAGCAATAGGTAACATATTAAAATTCTGTTCATTGGAACATATAAAGAAAAAAATTTTTAAAGGGGAAAAGAAAGATTTTGGTACTGGGTAAAGTACTGCTGTAACAGTACTCTAATATGCAGGAGTGGCATTAGAATTGGACTTTGAGAAGAGTATAGTAAAAACCTAAAGCACCTTGAAGAAGCTGTTAAAGAAGCCTCGGCCCTTAGATAAGGTGCAGTGAGGGTATGCAGGAAAGTGAAGTAAATACTGTTTTTCTGTTTTTTTGTTTTTTGGGGTTTTTTTTGTTGTTTTTTTGTTTTGTTTTTGACAGAGTGTTGCTCTTGTTGATCTCAGCTCACTGCAACTTCTGCCTCCCAGGTTCAGGTGATTCTCCTGCCTCAGCCTCCCAAGTAGCTGGGATTACAGGTGCATGCCATCACACCCGGCTTTTTTTTAGTAGAGGTGGGGTTTCACCATGTTGTTTAGACTGGTCCAGAACTCCTGACCTCAGGTGATCCACCTGCCTCGGCCTCCCAAAGTGCTGGGATTACAGGCATGAGCCACCATACCCAGACAAGTGAAGTAAATATTATTGGAAACTATACTGTGACACAAAAATTAGCAACCCTGTTGCCTTCAATAAAGTGGAAAACAGAAAATGTGCCTAATGAATTTGATGATCTAAGTAAAGCAATTTCCAAGCAAAATGTTAAAGGCGCCACCTGCTTTCTTCTTGCTGCCTATAGTGAAAGGGAGGAGCAAAGGGATAAACTAAAGCAAGAGCTCTCCAGTGAGAGTGACACTGCCTCCCAAGGGATATTTGGCAATGTCTGGAGGCATTTTTAGATGTCAAAGCTGGGGAGGTTGCTACTGCCATCTAGTTGGCAGAGGCCAAGGATGCTGTTAAACATCCTACAATGTATAAGGCAGCCCCCCTCAAACCACCCCAATCCCCCCACCAAACACACACACATCAAATAATTATCCTAGCTGAAATATCAATAGGGCTCGAGTTGAAAAACGCTGAACTTTTTAAAAGGAAAGAATGTTAAACATGAAAGAGCTAAGACTTCATGATTTAGAAAATGCTTATCCTCTCCAAATAGCAGATGATAGTAAAATTTAAAAATGGCTTCCTAGCAAAACTCAAATACAGGGCACTGCCAGGAAAGCCTGGTCCAAATATGAAACTGAGAATATTAATGTACAGCCTGGCCAACATGGTAAAAGCCCATCTCTACTAAAAATACAAAAAATTAGCTGGGCGTGGTGGCACATGCCTATAATTCCAGCTACTGCGGAGGCAGGATAATCACTTGAAACTGGGAGGCGGAGGTTGCAGTGAGCCGAGATCGCACCACTGCACTCCAGCCTGGGCGACAGAGCAAGACCCTGTCTCAAAAAAAAAAAAAAAAAAAAAAAAAAAAAAGAATATTAATGTAAAATATTTTGTTAACATCTCAGAAAGACTTAAGGCAGTGCCTCAGAATACTATTCAGTCATATTTAAAGAGTCTAAACAAATTATGGATATGTCTCACAGATCCTCCAAATCAAAACAATAGTGATTCTGGAAATCTTACGGCTGATTGTTGTCTCTTAGCCATCTCAGCCGAAGCCTAGAGTAGAGAAGGGCTTATTGCAAAGAAATCTGTGGGCATGTCTTTTGTCTAACAGAGTAATATTGAATAAGATTCAAAGTGACCCACAAGTTTTAAAAAGGATTATATATCCAAAAACATCACCTTAGATTTGCAGGGATAAAAAGAGTACAAATAAAAAGAGGATTTCAGCCAGGCAGGATGGCTCATGCCTATAATCCCAGCACTTTGGGAGGCCAACGTGGGCAGATCACCTGCTGGATCAGGTGATCTAGAGATGAGAGAGAGAGAGAGAGAACAAAGCTTCAGGAACATGGAAGATTATAACAAAAGATTTAACATTTGTGTCATGGGAGTCCTAGGTGAAGAGAAAAAAAAAAGGTGGAGCTAAAAATGTGTTCAAAGAAATAAAGCTGAAAGTGTCCCAAATTTGATGAAAGACATACACACACGGATTCAAGAAGCTGACTAAACCCCAAGCATGATAAACCAAAGAAATCCATACAAGACACACCATAAACAAATTTCTGAAAACTAAAGTCTTGAAAGCAGTTGCAGAGAAATTAACCTTACCAATAATACAGCAACAATTTAAATTGCAGCAGATTTCTCATCAGAAACTGTGAAAGCCAGAAAGAAGTGGCACAATATGTTTAAGTACTGAAAGAAAAAACCGTCAACCCAGAATGCTAAGCAAAGTGAAAAAATCCTTCAGGTATGAAAGTCAAGACATTCTCAAATGAAGGAAAAACTAACATAATTTGTTAACTGAAGAACTATAGTAAGTCCTTAATGTCATCAATAGTTTCTTGGAAACTGCAACTTTAACCAAAATGATGTATAATGAAAGCAAGTTTATCGTAGACTAATTGATATTAACAAGGTAAGTCCATACAGCATACTTCTGGTCACAAAAACAATACCACGCTTCTAAATAAATGCCCAGACACATCTAGTATTAAACATTAAAATAAATGTGAGCTATACATACATTTAAGAAAGATTAATAAAACAGGGAAGTTCATTATTTACTCACCTATTGGTGATGTAATTAAAGTGAGGTCATGCTGGATTAGTATAAGCAGTGAGTGACAGCAGTCATCATGGTGGTGAGTTAAACCAAGGAATAAATCTTTGCAGAGCAAAAATTGTAAGGAGTATCTCCTACCACCATGCAGTTCAAAAACAATAATAAATATGGCAGGCTGGCTGAGTGCTCTTATACCAAATTATTTACTGTTATGCATTTGTATGATTATTATATACTTTACAAATTTTTATTTTACAATAATTTGTATTCACTTATTCTTCATTTCCAACCTGCTTATTCCATTTCAGGGTCCTGGGTGGCTGAATCTTATTCTGGCAGCTCAGGGTGCAAGGCACCCTGGAAAGGATGCCATTCCATCACAGAATGCGTGCACGCACACACACACACACCCCTCACTCATACTTGGATAATTTAGATAATTTAGATACACCAATTAACCTAATGTGCACATCTCTGGGATGTGGGAGGAAATTGGAGTGCCCAGAGAAAACCCACACAGACATGACGAGAATGTGCAAACTCTACACAGACAGTGGCCATGGCTGGGAATCAGTTGTTGTTTTTTTTTCTCATCAACATTATAAAGAAATGACGTTAAACAAAATAACATTATTTGAGGACCTGCTGTACCGTGAAAGAATGGCTAAAGGAAGTTCTCCAAACATAAAGGAAATGATGAAAGAAGAAAACCCGAAACATCAGGAGTGAAGAAAGAACAATGGAAATAATAAAAATATGGGTAAATATGATGGGCTATCCTTCTTCACTTGCATTTTCTAAATTATGTTTGATGGCTAAAACAGAAATTATATAACATGGTCTGATGTGGATTCAATTTATGTAATGAAGATATTTAAGACAATTACATTATGAAAGGAGAAGGGTAAAGGGACCTAAATAGAGGTCAGGCTTCTATCCCTCACTCAAAGTGGCAAAAGTGTCGATACCAGTAGATGGTCATAGATTATGTTATGTATGATGTAATATAGAAAGCAGCCACTAAAAAACCTACACAAAGAGATACACTTAAAAAAAACACTTCACCATAGATAAAAAAAATGGAATTCTAAAAACTGTTTAACCCATAGGAAGAGTAGAGAAATAAAAGAGAAGAATGAAAAGCAGAGGGAATGAAAAGAAAACAATCAAATGGCAGGCTTAAACCCTAACAAATAATTGCATTAACTGCCGGTAGTCTATAAATATACTTTATAACTCTGAGACTGGCAAAACGGAGTGAAAAAAATGACCCAAAATAAGCTCTCTACAAGAAACTCACTTCAAATATGACATAGGTAGACTGAACATAAAAGGATGAAAAAAGATACACCATACAAAGATTAATTAAAAGAAAGCAGAGTTAGCAATTTCAATATCAGATGAAATAGACTGCTGAGCAAAGAAAATCACCAGGGCCAAAAAAAGATATTAAATGGGTCAAATCACAAAGAAGACATAGCAATCATACATGTGTACATACCAAACAACAGATCTTAAAAATCTATGAAACAAAAATTGGTAGAACTGAAAAAAAAAATAGACATCTACTATTAAAGTTGGAGACTTCAACACATCTCTCTCAACACTTGATAGAAATACTAGACAGAAGGGTGGGCATGGTGGCTCACACCTGTAATCCCAACATTTTGGGAGGCCAAGGCGGGTGGATCACCTAAGGTCAGGAGTTCAAGACCAGCCTGGCCAACATGGTGAAACCCTGTCTCTACTAAATATAAAAATTAGCCGGGTGTGGTGGCGGGCGCCTGTAATCCCAGCTACTCGGGAGGCTAAGGCAGGAGAATTGCTTGAACCCGGGAGGCGGAGGCTGCAGTGAGCCGAGATTGTGCCACTGCACTCCACCCTGGACGACAGAGCAAGACTCTGTCTCAAAAAAAAAAAAAAAGAAACACTAGACAGGAAAGCAGCAAGGATGTATAAGAACTTTAAAAAGCCATCAATCAAAAGAATCTAATTAATATTTAGACAATACTTCACATAACAATAACAAGATTCACATTCTTTTGAAATGCTTATGGAACACTCACCAAGACTATATCTTAAGTCACAGAATAAAAGTCAACTAAAAAAAATTTTTTTAAAGAGACAGCATCTTGCTCTATTGCCCAGGCCGGAGTGCAGTGGTGCCGATCATGGCTTACTGCAGCCTTCAACTCCTATCCTCAAGTGATCCTCCTACCGTGGCATCCAAGAGACTTGGGATTACAGGCATGAACCACTGCTCCCGGCCTCAAGGAATTTTTGAAAATCAAAATCGCACAGCATGTGTTCTGAGATCACAATGAAATCAAACTAGAAATCAATAACAAAAAGATAATAGGTAAATCTCCAAACATATGGAAATTAAACACCTCATTTCTGAATAATACATGAGTCAAGAGGCGCAGTTGTGCACTGGGTCACCAAGATGACTCTCCCAAACTATACTCCATCACACCTGGCCCCTCTGCCCATGACCCTCAATCCAGCTGAATATGACATACCTCCACAAACTGCAACCTGAGCATTTGGCCATAAATCTGGGTTTAAACAGGGGTACTTAATCAGCACAATGACCCTAACCAATGATGATTCATCGAGGGCTCATCAAACATCTTGGCTTAATTTGTTGGACTTGTGTAAGATCAGCACATGTCTATCCCAATTTCAGACCCATTATCAAATACTCATCCAGTAGCTCTATGTGGAATCGGATCCGGTAGGGATAGGAAAGAAAAGCTTATCCAGGAAGAAAAATTGGATCAAACATTTAACATCTCATATTAAGTCTAGCAATGACGATTTTATGTATTCCTGCTTAAATACACTTCTATTAATCCAAAAATCCCACCACATTTCTAAATAATACATGTGGGCTGGACGCAGTGGCTCACACCTGTAATCTCAATACTTTAGGAGGCCAAGGTGGGTGGATCACCTGAGGTCAGGTGTTCGAGACCAGCGTGGCCAAAATGGTGAAACCCCGCCTCTACTAAAAGTACAAAATTAGACGGGTGTGGTAGCATGTGCCTGTAATCCTAGCTACTCGGGAGGCTGAGGCAGGAGAATCACTTGAACTCAGGAGGCGGAGGTTGCAGTGATCCAAGATCACGCCACTGCACTCCAGCCTGGGCAACAGAATGAGACTCCATCTCAAAAACAAACAAACAAACAAACAAATTTCTAATATTGGTAATTTGTATCTTTCTTTTTCTAAAAAAAATTGGTTAACCTGGCTAGAGATCTGTTAATTTTATTGATAATTCAAAGAGACAGCTTTTGGTTTCACTGATTTTCTCTATCATCTTCTGGTTTTCAATTTCATTGATTTCTGCTTTGATTTTTATTATTTCCTTCTACTTACTTTAAGCTTAAATTGCTCTTATTTCTCTAGTTTCTTCTTTCTGAAGCTTAGATTGACTTTAGATCTTTCTTCTTCTCTAATATATGCATTTAATGCTATAAATTTTCCTCTAAGCATGGCTTTTGCTGCATCCCACAAATTTGGTAAACTATATTTTTCATTTTAATTTAGTTAAAAATATTTTTAAGTTTCTCTTGAGACTTTTTTTTGATCCATGTGCTACCTACTAGTCTAGTGTGTTGTTTATTCTAGAAATACCTTGGGGACTTTCCAGCTCTCTCTGTTATGGGTTTCTAGTTTAATTCCATTGTGGTTTGAGAACATACTTTTTATGAGTCTATCATTTTACATTTGTTCCAGTGTGTTTCGTGGCCCAGAATGTACTATCTCTTGAATACTCCATGTGAGCTAGATATGAATGTGTATTCTATTATTATTGTATTAGA
Organism: Homo sapiens; assembly: GCF_000001405.40. Lineage (NCBI taxonomy): Eukaryota > Metazoa > Chordata > Mammalia > Primates > Hominidae > Homo > Homo sapiens. The sequence goes on along the minus strand of NC_000020.11, from coordinate 45,387,323 downwards.
ATGTATATTCTATTATTGTTGGATGGAGTGCTCTATAAATGCCAGTAGATCAAGTTGATTGATGGTGGTATTCAGATAAAATATGTACTTACTGATTTTCTGCCTACTTGATTTATCAATTATTGAAAGAGGGTCGTTGAAGTCTTCAACTATAATGGGATTTGTCTATTTCTCCTTGGAGTTCTACCAGTTTTTGCCTCATATATTTTGGTATTCCATTGTTAGTGACATATACTATATGTGTCATATATCCACTCAAGATCAAAAATAAGGCAAGAATGTCTGTTCCCACCACTTTCATTCAATGTAGTGCTGGAAGTCTTAGCTAGTACAATAAGGGAAGAAAAGGAAATAAAAGACATACAAATTTAGAAAGAAAATACTTGCAAATCACACATCTTACACAGGACTCATATCTAGAATATATAAAGAACTTTCAAAACTCAAAAGTAAAAATACAGACAAACAGGTTGGGCACAGTGGCTCACACCTGTGCCCAGTGCTTTGGAAGCCGAGGTGGGAAGATGGCTTGAGGCCAGGAGAATTCAAAAGCAGCCTGGGCAACACAGCAAGACCCTGTCTTGAAAGAAAAAAAATTAGCTGGGCATGGTGGCAAGCGCCGGTAGTCCTAGCTACTTGGTAGGATCACTTGGGTCCAGGATTTCAAGGCTGCAGTGAGCTATGATCATGCCACTGCACTCTAACCTGGGTGACAGAGCAAGACTCTTTTTCTAGAACAAACATCCAAACAGTCTAATTAGAAAATGGGCAAAGGAAGTGAACAGATATTTCACCAAAGAGGATACAGAGATGGCAGATAAGCATATTAAAATGTTTGTTCATTTGTTTGTTTGTTTTTGAGACAGAGTCTTGCTCTGTTGCCCAGGCTAGAGTGCAGAGGCATGATCTTGGCTCCCTGCAACCTCCACCTCCTGGGTTCAAGCAATTCTCCTCCCTCAGCCTCCCAAGTAGCTGGGATTACAGGTGCATGCCACCACACCCGGCTAATTTTTGTATTTTTAGTAGAGAGGGGGTTTCACCATGTTGGCCAGGCTGGTCTCGAACTCCTGACTTCAAGTGATCCACCCGCCTCAGCCTCCCAAAGTGCTGGGATTATAGGCATGAACCACTGCACCCGGCCTAAAATGTATTAAACTTCAATAGCCATTAGGGAAATGTAAATTAAAACTATGGTAAGATATCATTACACACCTATTAAAACAGCTAAAATAAAATAGTGACCATTCTAAAAGCAAGTCAAAATGCAGAGAAGGTCTATCAATGTATGAACATTGCTGATGTTCTGGAAAATTGTTTGGCAGCATTCATACTCCTTGAAGGTTATTCCAGAGAAATGAAAATTATGTGTGGAGACAAAAACCTGCATAATAGCCCTAAATTGGAAACAAACATTCTTCAATGGGTGAATGGCCAAACTGTGTTATATGTAATAGCACTCAGCAAAAAAAGGGAAAAACTACTGATACAACTTAAGTGGATATAAAGGGCATTATATGGAAAAGCCAGTACAAAAGCCAATCTTGAAAGGTTACATACTATATCATTCCATGTATATAATATTTTCAAAATGACAAAATTATAGAGATGAAGTGGGACTTTTAGGGATTGGGGTGAGAGGAAGGAGGGGTGACTGTAGCTATGAATAGCATGAGGAAGCCTTGGGATAACAGAACAGTTCTATACTTGATTGTGATGGTGGTTACCTGAATTTATACATGGTTCTGATATTATACCAAAGGTATGTAAGATTTTCCCACCCATTGGAGGAAAATGAGCAAAGGGTACACAAAACCTCTATGTATATTTTTTGAAACTTTCTGTGATTTTTAAAGTACTATTGATACATGCAATAACTTGGATCTCAAGAGCATTATGCTGAGTGAAAAAAGCCAACTTCAAAAGGTCACACACTGTATGATTCCACTCATACAACATTTTTAATACCTTCACTTGCTTTTATTCATATACTATTCTTGAAATGACAACAATTATAGAGTAGATAATAAATTAGTGGTTTCAGGCTGGGCACGGTGGCTCACACCTGTAATCCCAGCACTTTGGGAGGCTGAGGCGGGTGGATCACCTGAGGTTGGGAGATCAAGACCATCCTGGCTAACATGGTGAAACCCCACCTCCACTAAAAATACAAAAGATTAGCCAGGCATGGTGGCACACGCCTGTAGTCCCCACTACTCAGGGGGCTGAGGCAGGAGAATCACTTGAACCTGGGAGGCGGAGGTTGCAGTGAACCGAGATTGTGCCACTGCACTCCAGCCTGGGCAACAGAGAGAGACTCCATCTCAAAAACAAAAACAAAAACAAAAAAACAAAAAACAAATTAGTGGTTTCCAGGGATTAGGTACTGAATGGAGGAGGGAGGTATAGATGGCACAAGAGAGATCCTTATGGTGATGAAACACACAAATGAGTGCATGTAAAACTGGTACAATCTGAACACGGTTTGTATATTGTACTACTGCCCATTTTATGCTTTTGATATTGTACTAGCTTTGTCCAGTGTTACCTCTGGAGGAAACTGGGAGAAAGGTACACAGGACCTTTCTATTTTTGCAACATCTTTGACTCTATAATCATTTCAAATTTTTAAAAAATCTTAAAAAGTAAAAAGAGGCCTTTGCATCCCAAAATTCTACAGGCAGGAAGCAGATTGAGAAAAAAACTCAACTGCAAATGCACAGAAAAAGGAAGGAATGACTCAGAACAATGAATCCAAAGGTGAATCAAAATCCTAGTAGGATTTTATGTAGAAATCAGTAAGTTGATTTTAAAATTCAAAGGAGAGAGGTAGTCTTTTCAAAAAAATCATGTTGGGGCTGGGCATGGTGGCTCACACGATGGGAGGCTGAGGCAGGCAGATCACTTGAGGTCAGGAGTTCGAGACCAGCCGGGTAACATGGTGAAGCTCTGTCTCTACTAAAAATATAAAAATTAGCCAGCTGTGTTGGCACACATCTGTAATCCCAGCTACTTGGGAGGCTGAGGCAGGAGAATTACTTGAACCCAGGAGGCGGAGGATGCAGTGAGCTAAGAGTGCAACACTGCACTCTACCCTGGGCAACAGAGAGAGACTCTGTCTCTGAACAAAACAAAACAAAATCCTGTTGGAATAATTGGATATCTATAAGCAAAAGAAGAACCTTAATCCACACCTTAGACTATATACAAGTTAACTAAAAAATAGATCAAATATCTAAATTTAAAAAACTAAAACTATAAAATGTTTAAAAGAAAATATAGGCATAAGCCTCTGTGACTTCAGGTTAGGCAAATATTTCTTAGATATGACACCAAAAGCATAGCCCATTTAAAAAAAGTGATAGTGGCCAGGTGTGGTGGCTCATGCCTGTAATCCCAGCACTTTGGGAGGCCAAGGCAGGTGGATCACGAGGTCAGGAAATCGAGACCATCCTGGCTAACATGGTGAAACCCCGTCTCTACTAAAAATACAAAAAATTAGCTGGGTGTGGTGGTGGGCGCCTGTAATCCCAGCTACTCAGGAGGCTGAGGCAGGAGAATGGCATGAACCCAGGAGATGGAGCTGGCAGTGAGCCAAGAGAGCGCCACTGCACTCCAGCCTGGGTGACAGAGCAAGACTCCATCTCAAAAAAAAAAAAAAAAAAGTGATTAAAGTGATTGGACTTCATCAAAATTAAGAATCTGTTCTTAAATAGATAGTTAAGAAAACGAAAAGATAAACCACAGGCTAGTGGAAAATACTGGCAAGTCATATATCTGATAAAGAGATCCTGAATTAGTGAAGAACACTCAACACAATTATATTTAAAAGAAACAACCTAAAAATGGGCAAAAGACTTGAACAAAAACTTCATCAAAAAAGACAGATGGCAAATAAATACATGAAAATATGTTCAACATTATTCGTCATTAGGGAAATGCAAACTAACACTACTATAAGATATGATGACATACCTACTAGAGTGGCTAAAAACAAAACAAACAAATAAAAATCTAACAGTACCAAATACTGCCAAGAATGTGAGTCAGCTAGACCTTGAATATATTGCTGGTGGAAATATAAAATGGTACAGCCACTTTGGAAAATTCTGGCAGTATCTTTTAAAGTTAAACATATAATTACCATATGATCCAGTAATCCCACTCCTAAGTATGTATCCAAGTGAAATAAAAACTTGTATTCCCACAAAAACCTGTACACAAATGTATTTAGTAACTTTATTCATAATCACTGAAAACCAGAAACTAGCCCAGATGTCCTTTAATGATTACACATACAAACTGTGGCATATTTATAGAATGAAATACTACCTAACAATGAAAAAAACCCAAATTATTGACATACCCAACATGTGCAAATCTTAAGTGAAAGAAATACAGATTCAAAGGGCTGCATACCGTATGATTCCACCTATATGGTGTTTTGGAAAAGGCAAAGCTATAAAGACTGAAAACACACATCAGTTTGTTGCCAGGGCTGGGAGTGGGAAGAGGAGTTAACTACAAAGAGGTGGCTTGAGGGAACTTAGGGGGGTTATGAAGCCATTCCATATATTGACTGTGGTATTCTACACTAGTATGCATTTGTCAAAACTTAAAGAACTGTATACTAAAAAAGGTAAATTTTACTGTATATAAAATATATCCCAGTAAACCTAACTAAAGAAATTAAAGAACAAAGTATGAGAGGAAATAAAACAAAAGAGTGGAACTCCCACCCATTAAGATGGCTACTATCAAAGAAACAGAAAATACCAAGTGTTGGCAAGGATATAGGGAAACTGGAATCCTTGTACATGGTTGGTGGGGATGTAAAATGGTATAGCCACTGCGAAAAACAATATGGTGGTTCCTCAAAACATTAAAAAGGGAATTACCATATGATTCGGCAGTTCCACAATTCCACTTCTAGGTATATACACAAAAGCTGAAAGCAAGGCCTTGAAGAGATGTTTGTATATCTTTGTTCACAGCAGCATTATTCACAATAGCTAACAGGCAGAAGAAACTCAAATGTCCATCGATGAATGAACAGAGAAATAAAATGTGGCCTATACATACAATGGAATATTATTCAGCCTTAAAAAGAAATTCTTTTTTTTTTTTTCTGAGACAGAGTGCTGTTCTTTTGCCCAGGCTGGGGTGAAGTAGCACAATCTTGGCTCACTGCAACCTCCACCCTCCAAGTTCAAGTGATTCTCCTGCCTCAGCCTCCCAAGTAGCTGGGATTATAGGTGCCCGTCACCATGCCTGGCTATTTTTGGTACTTTTAGTAGAGATGGGGCTTCACCGTGTTGGCCAGGCTGGTCTCGAACTCCTGACCTCAGGTGATCCACCTGCCTCGGTCTCCCAAAGTGCTAGGATTACAGGCATGAGCCACCGTGCCCGGACAAGAGAAGGAAATTCTGACACATGCTACAACATGGAAGACATGTTAAGTGAAATAAGGCAGTCACAAAAAAAAGACAAATATTGTATTAGTCCACTTATATGAGGTTCCTAGAGTAGTCAAATTTATAGGGACAGGAAGTAGAACAATGGCTGCCACGGGCTGGGGGAGGTAAAAATGGGCAGTTATTATTTAATGGAATACAGAGATCCAATTCCATAGGATAAAAAAAGTTTAAAGATGGATATCCATGATGGTTGTACAAAGAGAAGGTACTTAATGTCACCCAACTACTTTTTTAAATGGTTAGGGCTGAGTGCGATGGCTCATGCCCATAATCCCAGCACTTTGGGAGGCCGAGGTGGGCAGATCACTTGAGGTCAGGAGTTTGAAACCAGCCTGGCCAACGTGGTGAAACCCTGTCTCTACTAATAATACAAAAATTAGCTGGGCGTGGTGATGTGTGCCTGTAGTCCCAGCTACTGGTGAGGCTGAGGCACGAGAATCACTTGAATGCAGGAGGTGAAGGTTGTGGTGAGCCAAGATTGCGCCACTGCACTCCAGCCTGGGCGACAGAGTGAAACTATATCTCAAAAACAAAAACAAAAATGGTTAGAAGGTAAATTTTGTGTTATCCATATCTTATTATGCCATATTTTTTTTTTAAAAAAAGAGTGGAGGTTTTCATTCAAGAGTCTTGGATTTAGTCCACAAGGCTTACCAGCTGTGTGTCATTGGGTAGGTCTCTTTACCCACTTCTCCAGTTTTCACCCCTGCCACTCTTGGCTACTGCTTTCTAATCTAGCAACATCCAATGTACAACATAATTCCATTCCACACTCATATTCTTTAAGTTCCCTCTTTTGAGAATGCTCTGCCCACCTCCCTCGACCTGCCCCATACCGCTATGCTTGGCCAACATCTACTCATCCTTCATTCCTCCTCACCATCTCTAGGAAGATCCCCTGACATCCTCAGGCTGGGTTGGGAGGCTCCACCTCTGTGCTCCTACAACCCTCAGTATTACCCGTATCATGCTATTTATTTCATTTTTCAAAAAATACTTTTTGGGCACCCATTGTCCACCAGGCACTGTTCTAGGATCTGGTGGCTTATCAATGAATAAAACGGACACAAATCCCTGCCCTTGAGGAGTCTACCTTCTGGGGTACCTATCCCCTTGGCCTGTGAACTCAGAGGCATGCTCTGCCTATAATGTTGCTGTCCCTTAGTGCCTAGCACACAGTGATTCCCCAGCCCTGGAAGCTCAGGAGTTGAGTAGTGAGTATAGGTGATTCTGATACAGCCCACCAGGCACCAGGGCCTCAGAGCAGCATTGTTCAGTGAAGTCCAGTTGATCAGAGCTGAAATTGTGTGCAAGGAGGGGTATGTCTGAGCAGGCAGAGCAGCCAAGGAGTATGGGGGTAGACAGGAGAGAGAGAGGGTGCACCCTCTGTGTCTTCCTTGCCAAATTACCACATTGCTTTCTTTCCTAGGCCACAGCAGCAGTTTAACCCACTACCTAACCTTCACTTGAATAAGAAAGGATATTTATATGTGAGAAGCTGTCCCACAGCCTAGGTAGGGTTGGCCCCTCACCCCTCCGTTCAGAGCTAAGCACCCACCCCCCGTGCATGTACATCTCTCCCCACTAGAAGTGGAATGGTGTGGAGTGGGTCCCACATTTGATTGGTTATCTGACTGGCCTGCTGAATGGGGTGGTGCCCACAAAAATGTTTTTCACAAGCTCTTCATACTATTCTGATGCAGCCAGCTGGGCACCAGGGATTCAGGGCAGCCAGCGCCCTTTACAGCCTGTTGTGATCTGCCTAACCCACCACGACTCCCTCTCTGCCTCATCTTCTCCCACCACCATTCATTCTCCTCTTCCCTCTCTCTCTCAGGTGTCTGCTCAAATCTCATCTTATTGGTGAATCTTTCCTAGACCACCTTTTTAATATACCAAACCCTCTACCTCTGCCCTCCCTGTTCCCTTTACCCTGGTTGCTGTTCTCCAGGCACTTATTTCCATCTGATGTAGCATTGGCGTGCTGGGGCTAACTCATAAGGGCTCACAAGTCTACTGTTACACTTCTAGGAATTCTGCAGGCTGGTTGTTAGGCACGGCCATCATTAAAATGTAATTGATAGCAACTTCCAATTAAATAAGTGATATTAAAAACATAGGGTGAAAAATGCTTAAACTTGTCACTTTCTATTTTTTACTACCTTTTACTATTATCTATGTTCTTAGGATTCTTTATATCTGTATATCTGTAGAGTAGAAATATATCATATATGAATCATATGTAGATCTGAAAAAAGACCCCCCAAAAACAACAAAAAAAGAGAAAACATAAGCAAGTGTCCTGCCCATAGCTATTCGATTGTAAATAACAAAAAGAATCTGAGAAATATATCTCCAGTATTCAAAAACTATGGTCTAATTCAGCAAATAGGTCAATGAAATCATTGATAAATGAGTTAAATTTCAATATCTCTGTTGTTTCACTTTTTCACCTTCTTCTTACTGTTTAGTGTAAATGAAAATACAAACATTAATGTTGGTATTATACTTGTTTATCCATTACAACCATAGGTTGGCTATAAATGGAGGGGTTAGGCAAAATCCAAGAAAAGCATACTATAAGAAGCAACTCACTAATAGAAGTTACAATAAAGAGTATTATAGGATTCTATTATTTGTTGATTTCTATCAGTAAAATTTATAATACAAACACATATACATTTTGCTTCAGAGAGCCAATTATTAAACATTTACAAGTACACACACTGTTTCCCCTCCACTAGAATGTAAGCTTGAGGGCAAGAATTTTCTGTTATTCTAGCACTTAGAAAAAGCACCTGGCAAGGCCAGGCGCGCTGACTCATGCCTGTAATCCCAGCACTGTGGGAGGTGGAGGTGGGCGGATCACAAAGTCAAGAGATCGAGACCATCCTTGCTAACATGGTGAAACCCCATCTCTACTAAAAATACAAAAATTAGCCGGACGTGGTGGCGGGTGCCTGTAGTCTCAGCTACTTGGGAGGCTGAGGCAGGAAAATCGCTTGAACCCAGGAGGCGGAGGTTGCAGGGAGCCAAGATCTCACCACTGCACTCCAGCCTGGCGACAGAGTGAGACTCTGTCTCAAAAAACAAAAAACAAAAAAAGAGAAAGAAAAGAAAAAGCACCTGGCATGTAGCAGGCGCCCAGTCAAAACAGGCGACATGACTGAATGGATGAGCATGGTTTGGGAATCCCTGGTTTCATGGGTTGACTATCAGACCTTGGTTAGGTTTCCAGCCCACTATGATCTAGCTGGGCTAGATCTAGTGTGGCCTTGAGTAGATTATTCAACCTCTTTGAACCCTGGCTTCCTCATTTAAAAAGAGGGGATAATCCTCTTACCCCACAGGGAGGTTGTGACAATGCACACAGCTGTCTGTCGCCTATTGTCTATATTTCTTTCTCACCCTCTACCCCTCACCTCTGCCACATACACTCCTTGGAGACCCAGCCCTGCTACTGTCACATTTCAGTGATGTCACAGCTGCAGGTGGTACAGAGCCAGCACCACCATCTGATGCCCAGCCTGAGTGCTGGCTGAACTGAGAGGAACAGGGTTGGTGCCTGGCACTGGTGTTGCTCCATTCATCTCTGAGGTCTCACAGCCCCAGCATGAGTCCATCAGCAAAGAAGAGGCCCAAGAACAGCAGGGTTTCCAAGGTCAGACTTGGGACTAGACCCTGGGGGTGAGTCCCTAGAGGGGACCTTAACAAAGAATCCACCATGCCAAGGAAAGGGGCTTTCCAGCATGGGAGAAAAGGAAAAGGTGAAGGGTGAAGGGAGGTCAGGAGAGTTAAAATGGTCTCCCAGTTCTGTCCCCAGACCAAGATGACAAAACTCCCAGCCTAGGATTGGTCAAACCATGCTCAGCCAAATGAAGAGGCACATGGAGGAGTTCAGGAGGATTCCTCCAGTGCCTCACTCTGTCGCCCAGGCTGGAGTGCAGTGGCGAGATCTCAGCTGACTGCAGCCTTCACCTCCTGGGTTCAAGTGATTCTCCTGCCTCACCCTCTTGAGTAGCTGGGACTACAGGCGCATGCCACCACACCTCGCTAATTTTTGTATTTTTTTTTTTGGTAGAGTCAGGGTTTCACCATGTTGGCCAGGCATCTCAAACTCCTGACCTCAAATGAGCCACCCACCTCGGCCTCCCAAAGTGCTGGGATTACAGACATGAGGCACCACACCTGGCTGATTCCTCTGGGTTTATGTCTCTCTTATCCTCTGTCCCTCAGATGCAAGATGAGAAACTGCGGGACGAGACAGAGCAGCCTGTGAGCAAAGTAATTGAGCGGAACCGTCTGAGAACGGTGAGACGCCCTGTTTTGGCCCCAGCTTGGGGAAGCTCATATACTCATGCAGTACTGCCCCTGGTTGCCAGGCTGAGTGGCCCAGGGGAGCCAGCAGGCCGGCCCTTGGCTGAGCGGAGCCAGAGGCAGGCAGGGGAGAGGGAGGCTGTCCAGGAAAGCTGAAGCTTCTATTTACCTGGTTTCTTGACCCTGGCAGGTGTTAAAAAACTTGTCGCTCTTGAAGCTACTCAAGAGCTCAAACCGCCGGATCCAAGAACTGCATAAGCTGGCCAAAAGGTGTTGGCATTCACTGCTCAGTGTTCCAAAGATTCTCCGCATCTCCTCTGGGTAAGCTGGGGCCTGGCCCCCATAATGGACCCAAATGCCGTCTTTCTGGGAACAGGCATTGTGCTAAGGCATTTAGAGAACAAGTCTAATTTTCACAAAGCCTCTGTGAGAGAGGTATTTATTAACTCTATTTTACTGCTGGAGAGCTGAGGCTGAAGAGGTGAAGTGACTTGTCTCATTCAGTTAACTCAACTGATAAGTGGCAGAGCTAGGATGTGAAGCCATTCCTGTCTGATATTAGAGCTGTGGCCATAACAATGGTTGTAATCATCCAGTTGTGGTGCTCACTTCACCCTGGGGCACTGAGACAGACAGGTTACTCCTCCTCCTCCTCCCCTGCAAGTCAATATAACCCAGAGAGTCACCTGCAGACTGACCCCTGAAATCTGAAGATTAATCTTGCTGAGGCTTGGTTTCTTTATTAATTTATTTTTATTTTTATTTTTTTTTACCATGCCTCCGAGACAAGTTCAAACCGTTTCCTCATAAGTCACATGACAGTATTAAGAAAGCTAACATTGATTGGTGCCTGCTAAGTACCATCCTACAGTGTTAAGCACTTAAGAATTTTCCCATTTAGTTTATTCTTCACAACAATCCTGTTAGGTAGACAGAATTATCCTAGTTTTACAGATAAGGAAGCTAAGGCTCTGAGAGGTTAAATATCTTGCCCAAATCACACAGGTGGTAAGAGGCAGAAGCAGAATCTGAGCCCGTTTGTCTGAATCCAACACCTGTGCTCTGTAAGCCACTCTGTTTCACTGCCTTCTACTTCACAGAAATAGTAAGGATCCCAAGTTGTAAGGGTCCCGAGTCTGGCATAGAGCGAGGACTCAATCAGCGGGAGCCATTATTATCATCACAGTATTGCCATTATCTGCAGCCCAAGGCCTCATCTCTCTCCACGCCCTTGGCTAGGATGGTGTTGCCACTGGGGGTTTGCAGGGGGCCCAGTCTGTTACAGACACCCTTTGGGAAAGTCTCAGCATTTAATATTTCTGTCAAGGCCACCTTTCTGGGCTCCTCTTTCTGATTTGGCCTCTAGTCGCAGGCAATCAGGAAACATAGAGCTAGAAGGATCAGGATCATCTAGCCCCATCATTTTCCAACTTAAAAATTTTTTTTTTGTATGGAGACAGAGTCTCACCATGTTGCCCAGGCTGGTCTTGAACAGTTTTCCAACTTTATTAAAGCAGTGAAACCTCTGTTCAAATATCTATTTCCAAGCCCCAATTGTGTTGTTATGAGCTGGGGAGAGGTATCCTGCCCCAGTGGGTCAGGGGAGGTGACATTGAGACACCTCCTCAGAACCCTAAGGTTCTTGGAGCACAATTTAGAAAAACTACTGGACTGTTCACCCTCCCAGCTGAAGTCCAGAGAGACAGAACCCTAATCTAGTGGCAGATGATGTAGACAATATTCATTCTTAGGGGCCTTAACTACTAGTCATGGCTTTCACCTTCCCAATCTCTCACATCCCTCTGCTAGTGCTCATCACACCTCCTCACACCAGCACAAGGCCTCTGGGCAGTAGAGAAGTTTCTTTGCAGGCCCCTCTAGCCTTTCTTAACAGGCTCCCCTGAGCTGGCTACATAGCAACTGTCTCGGGAACCAGGGCCTCGGTCCTGCTGTGCTGACTGCCTTTCCTCTCCCTGCCAGGGAAAACAGTGCCTGCAATAAAACAAAACAAAATAATGAAGAGTTCCAGGAGATCGGGTGCTCCGAGAAGGAACTCAAGTCCAAGAAATTAGAGTCCACAGGGGACCCTAAGAAAAAAGAGTACAAGGAGTGGAAGTCCCAGGTGCAGTCAGGGATGAGGAACAAGGAGAAAACGTCATTGGCGGCAATGCCACGGAAAGAAAAGCATATAGAGCCTGAGGTTCCAAGGACATCGAGGGATGATAGCTTGAACCCTGGAGTCCAGGGGAGGCAACCACTCACCGAGGGCCCCCGAGTCATCTTCATTAAGCCCTACCGCAATAGAACTCCCATGGGGCACATGAAGCAGCTGGATGTAGCCGACCAGTGGATCTGGTTTGAGGGGCTGCCCACACGAATCCACCTCCCGGCGCCCAGGGTGATGTGCAGATCCTCCACCCTGCGTTGGGTCAAGCGCCGCTGCACCCGCTTCTGCTCCGCATCACTTGAAATGCCTATGTGGCATCCATACAAGGTGGGTGTGACAACAACACTGCCAGGCTAGGTGAGATGCAAGCCCCAAGCCAGGCCCAGAGCTGGGCCCCAGAGTCAGGGTTCAGGATCTGGAGTCTTGAGTGGTGTGTGGCTGGTAGTGCTGGGAGGCTCCGCCTTCATGTCCAGAGAGGGGGAAGCCTTAGACCAACATCATACAGAAGGGTAGTGACTAGGTTGAGGCGTCTCAGGATACAGCTAGGAGATGTGTGGAAGGAGGGGCACTGAAGTGAGCCATCTCACTGCCTGAAGGCCTTAGCAGAGGTGGAAACTGCTGTGGCTCTGAATCTCACAGTCAGAGGCCTACATAAGTGGGTTTAAGGATTTCCAAATGTGGGAGGGGGGAGATGGTCAAGTAGGGCTTTGCTGCATCCCATTCCCTCTAAGATCAATTCAACTCTCTATTTATGTTTGATTGATTCATGCCTCAAATAAGATTTACTCTGAACAGGCTAGGCATGGTGGCTCACGCCTGTAATCCCAGCACCTTGGGAGGTCGAGGCAGGAAGACTGCTTGAGGCCAGGAGTTCAAGACCATCCTGGGCAACATAATGAGACACTGTCTCTACAAAAAATTTAAAAATTAGCCAGATGTGGTGCCTTGCGCTTGTAGTATCAGCTACTCAGGAGGCTGAGGTCGGAGGATCGCTTAAGCCCAGGAGTCGAGGCTGCAGTGAGCTGTGACTTCGCCACTGCACTCCAGCCTGGGCAAGAGAGCAAGACCCTGTCTTAAAAAAAAAGAAAGGAAAAAAAGATTTACTCTGAGCAGAAAGTTCCTTAGCAAAAAAAGAAGAAAATACCGCAGCCCTTTCGTGGGAGAATGAAAGTCCCACGAAAGGAAGGGGGTGAGTGCCCACCGGGTCTAGCTTAAAGGGAGGCTTTTCCTTTTTAGCAAAGGCATTTCCAACCTACCAGACACCACAGCACCCTTGTCCCTGCGCCCGCTCCCCAAACGACCAGCGCCCCCTGGGGACAGTCTTAGCGCCTAACACCGAGGTTTCTGCTGGCAGGTTGATGTGACCTGGACGAGAGCCAGAGGTGCGAGCAGAGGGTGGAGATCGCGCCATCAGCTGAAGGGGAGGAATGGGTGGCGAAATTCACGAGTCTACAAATAAGATCTTCCATATGGCACCTAAGACGAATACTGCTTACTCTGCCTGTTTGTCTGGGGCTGGGAAGGATGAAGGAAAGAGGCCTTCGGTAGAGGGAGCCTGTGTCGCGACTTCAGGCTTCCCCCACCCCCACCCCGAGGCCCCTAAGGTCAGTCTAGAACCAAAGAAGCCAGCGAGCAGCACCCCTCCCCCACCTCCGCGAGCTAGTCTCCTGAGTGGCGCGCTCTGTGAAGTCAGGGCGCTCGTGTGCTTCCTGGGTGCAAAGTGCCTCACAATCGCCCCGCGAGCTCGCAAGAGGAAACCGCGGCGCGGAGGCAGCAAGTAACTTGCCCAGGCTCACTCAGCTAGAAAGTGGCAGGAGCAAGGGCTCCTGGTTGCTCCCCATTCCATTTTCCCAAGAAAGGGAAAAGGCGAAATGAGAGCCTGCTCAGAAGTCACGAGGCAGGCGGAATAGCCCCAGCACCCTGTAGGTCATGCGCGTGCATTGCGACCTGATTGTCAAAAATTGATTGTCAAAAACTGATTGCACTGTGGCTGGTGTCAAAAAGTGGATGTCAGCTGGGCCTCCAAATGTGTCCTGCCTTGGTCACAGATCACAGAAGGCACCGGATCAGGAGGGGGAGCTGGTACTGCATCTCTACTGCTCCAGGGTGACATGGCAGGTCCACCCTCAATCTGAAGACCTCAACCCCAAGCCCTGGTCGACCCCATCTGGCCGGGGTCACCCTCTGTCGGTAGGAGTCACAGGGTCCTAACCATGCCGTTGGGGAGAGGAAAGCCAAGGGAGCCCGAGTTTTCTCCGGACGAAGACCTCCATATTCCCCAGAGGCAGGCTGCATGGAGTGGGCGCCCTCGGGAGAGCAGTGGAGCCATCGAGGGGCACAGAGCTCTCCGGGATTGGGGGTCAGGGCAGCGATGCAGATAGATCTCCAGTTTGGGACAGAGGGAGAACGATTGGATGGACTCTCCCCCCCTCCCACCCCGCCCACTCACACACTCCTCCCCACCATTACTGGGCACCAAGACTGGGCATCAGCTGCCGCGCGGACCAGCCTGGGCGGAGCCACAGCGCGGGGACTGCTTAGCACCTCATAGTGGCTGCTGCGTGCTCCCGAGCTCCTGCTCCCAGCGCAATCTTCCTGGAGCTCCCCTACGGTCGGTGCCTACCTCCGCCCCCACCACCCCGCTAATTCCCGTGCAAATTCCACCCCAGTAACCACTTTCAGCGGTCTTCCCACCCAGCTTGCACTCCAGCCCATTTCCTGAACAGTCTCCCTTGCAGTTCCCTTGCTGGGTATTTTCAATCCCATCAACTTTCGAAAATAATCTCTACTCACTCTTCCATTCCATCAACCTTTGCGTGAACTTCTGTCCTGAGTGCGCTGTCAGCGGGCAGTCAAGACAGCGCCCTCCCAGCTAAAAAATCTGACCCTTTCTGGGGAGCTCCCTTGCACTAGCCTTCGTGGGGGCCTGCCCAGGGAGCCCCAAGTGGAGGCTGGATTGGGTTGGGCCTGAGTGAGACTGGCAACTTCCACTTTGCTCCAGAGAGCCGGAGTTGGGCCCCAGTTGCCCACTGGGAACGCCACTGAATATATGGGAGGGCTGTATACGAAGGCGGG
The DNA here is from genome assembly GCF_000001405.40 of Homo sapiens. NCBI lineage: Eukaryota > Metazoa > Chordata > Mammalia > Primates > Hominidae > Homo > Homo sapiens. The sequence goes on along the minus strand of NC_000020.11, from coordinate 45,372,290 downwards.
GACCCAGCATGGCCAGGGCAGCAAGGGGCAGGTCTGGGAGTGAGGGAATCCCAGCAGTACATCCTTCCACCTCATCCCACCTGCCCCGGCACTTAGGCCTCTGGCCACCTGCCTCCCACAATTCCACAACCAGGGTCTCCCCACTACCACCCTCTCTTTGTTTAACCATTTCAACCTAAAGCTCCTCCTCTGGGCCCAGTAACACAGATTTGGGGAGGAGGCCACCCTAGAAATGGCTGCTTAACAGTTAACTGGGAAAAAATTGAAGTGTTTGAATCTGATTTTATATTGAGTGACTTTTTAGAAGTCACATGACCTCTCTGAGCCTATTTCATGTTTATAAAATAGTGATACTAATGTCTGTTTCAGGGGGGTTTAAGCAAATCAAGCTTGATGTAGGAGAAGCCAGTTTGTGGGGCATTGAACAAATGTTTGGCCTTTTCCCACGCCACACCACGGCCATCATAATAAAGCCCTGTGGCCAGTCAGTCCCGGCTCCATTTCTCACTTATCAGCAGCTACCTAACTACTCACCTTTATGGAACTAGCTGCTTGTTAACAAGCCAAACGTACGTTTACATTCACAACCTTTTGCTAATATGGCATTTAGATCCCTAAGACTGTCCGTCTCACAATTGTCTGGATCACACATAAACATAACTGGAACGTGAAAAGCAGATGAGGCAGACAGGCCTAGCTTCTTACCAACTTTGTAATGGGGAAAAAGTTGTTTACTCCCAATCCTCTGTTTCTTTGTCTGCAAAATGGGGGAAATAGTAGTGCTTACCTTATTGGACTGAGTAAGAATACACATAAATCACTTTGCAGTACATGCCAGATAGGAGCTCAATACTTGGTAGTGGTACCTAGAGGACTGGCAAGCCTATCCCCCAACATTTGAAAACACAGGCTCAGAAGAAAAATGTCCCTGTTCTGTAAAATGGATAGGGGGGACGGTAGCCTAATAATTGTCTAGAATTATGGATCACTTCCTACGTGCCAGGGGCTGGGCTAGGCGCTTTACACGTGACATCTTATTGCATCTTCACAATAAAACCAGGGAGGGAACACTTTTTCCATTTTAAAGAAGTAAGTGTTGACCTACCAGAAAACAAAACAAAACAAGACAAAACAAAACCCAGGGAAATAAGTACCATTATTACCCTCATTTTACATATGAGGAAATCTAGGTAAGGGAGGTAACATAGCTTACCCAAGATCTCACAGCTAGTAATGGGACTCCAGGACTTTGCACTCCACTGCAGCTCTCTAAAGCCTTCCAGAATTGGACCTATGACTGTGACTTGCCCAGGTAGCGGCAGGGCAGGGATTAAAACCCTCAGCTCCCTCTACTCCCTCCTGCCTCAATGCTATTTCTACCACCCTTTATTACTTTACAACAGAAAACCTTAAGACAGTGGTTTTTAATCTCTCCACAGAGGAGTTCTCTTGTACCTTGATTCCATCCCTACTCCTCTGCCCTAGGTCCCCAGGGCCCTACCTCTGAGACTCCGTGGTCCCTGGGCTGCCGGTACAAGGAGGTGTTGCATACCTGTGCACTGACTGCCTTCTGGGGCTGGCAGAAGGAAGCTACTCTGACCTGGGAGTTGCTGAGGAAGGAGTCCAAGGGGATTCCTGTCCAGGGGAGACTGTTTGAGCTGTGTACCCTCCAGGATGCTGGGAGTCCTGGAGCTTCCCATTGTACCCCCTGATGTCTGCTGGCTGCCATCGTGGCTCTCATTTGGCACTGATATGGACAGGGCTGCCTAGAGCGAGGGGTTAGAAGTACCCTCTGAGCCAGACATCCCTTTTTCCTTTCCTGTCCTCCTTTAAGGGTTATAAACTATTCTGACCATCAGCTATGTAGGAGTCTCCACTTTTCTCTCTGAATGGCCAGAGTTCAGGTGGTGGGTGGGAAAAAGGGAGGTCAACTTCAGACACCTGGAGAGTTAAGAGATATGCCAACTCAGTAGTGGGCTAGTACTCTCTTATCTAGGTACCTTCCTTTATCCTTTGGAAATAGATTTCCCACATTCCTAAGATCATCTGAAAATCTCTGGCCAATGCTGGGCACAGTGGCTCATGCCTGTAATCCCAGCACTTTGGGAGGCTGAGGCGGGTGGATCACTTGAGAGGCCAAGAGTTCGAGACCAGCCTGGCCAACATGATGAAACCCCGTCTCTATGAAAAATACAAAAATTAGCCAAGCATGATGGTGCCAACCTGTAATTCCAGCTACTTGGGAGGCTGAAGTATGAGCATTGCTTGAACCCAGGAAGCAGAGGTTGCAGTAAGCTGAGATTGGGCCACTGCATTCCAGCCTGGGTAATGAAGTCGGAGTGAAACTCTGTTTCAAAAAAAAAAAAGGCCAGTTGGGCTTGGTGGCTCACACCTGTAAAATCCCAGCACTTTGGGAGGCCGAGGCAGGTGGATCTCTTGAGCCCAGGAGTTCGAGACCAGCCTGGGCAAAGTGGCAAAGCCCTGTCTCTAAAAAAATAAAAATAAAAATAAAAATACAAAAATTAGCTGGGCGTGGTGGCATGTGCCTATAGTCCCAGCTACTTGGGGGGCTGCGGCAGGAGGATCATTGAGCCTGGGAGGTTGAGGCTATGATGAGCCAAGATCACACCAGTGCACTCCAGCCTGGGTGACAGAGTAAGACCCTGCCTCAAAAAAAAAAAAAAAAAAAAAAAAGGAAATCTCTGGCTATATTTAATGTACTGCATATCAGCTTTTCTTAGAAAGCTAGTAATGTTTATAAAGTACTATTCATCCTCGGTATTTAAAAAAATTGACAGGACAAGAAGATATGATTATAAGGTGATAAACTATTTAACCAGACTGTTTAGCCAGTCAGAACTTATACATCCCTAACTACTGACCTCTTCAAAATGAGCTTATTAATATCACTATTAGAGCCCAAATCCTGGCTCTGCCAGCTCCTAAAAAGTCACCTTGGGTAAGTTCCTTACAGCTCCCTCATCTGTAAGATACAGATGACGTTACTTCTTACTTCAGAGGGTTCTTGTGAAGATTTTGAAAAGAGACATAAAGCACTCAGCCCACACTGCTGGACACCTCTTAAGCACTCAATAGATGTTATTTATTATTAAAATGACAAACATGTCACTGCCATTGCCCTGCCCTCTCTGGAACTCAACTCTAAAAACTGCTTTTATTGTTACTTTAGAAATCATAAAAATCTCATTAAGGTCACATATTTTTGATCCCCAACTACCATGCAGCTCAGTCTCCATATTACTGAAAAAAAGTTTGGATCACGTGACTTTTGGCCATTTCTAAAAATCAAATTAACACTCAGGGGACAGAGATTTGTCATCACAGAAGATATGCAGAAAAATAGGCACAAGACCTTGAAGTGAATCCCAAAGAGGCGCTCCAACCACAGATGGAGTAACCACCACCACGGCTGGTCAAGGGTGACAGCAGCCACATGATGGGTGTTCTTTCAAAGTTAGTCACATGCCTGCAGTTTGTGTTGTCTAGAGGGAAATTGATTAACCCAGGGAAGGTCATCCCAGCTGGTCTTACCTCCTAGACCCTGCAGCCAGGATTACTGTGCCTCATTAACAAACTGCTTCCTTCCAACTTGGCCAAGGTACCATGAGTTACTGAGGTGCCTCACCCTAGAACCTTCCCAGTCTCTTCCCAGGCATATTTATTCCTAAATCTTCATCCTGTCAGCATCAACTCCCTACTCTGTAGGGCTGAGAGTCAGGAGGTCAGATGAGCTTCTCAGAGAGATAGCAAAACTCATTTGTGTTACCATAAACTCATTTGTGTTACTGACAGCTGAAAACTGACAGCTCTCTTGGGAAAGCTCTGAAGAAACCAAAGAGGAACAGTGAAGGTTTCAATGCGGAAGTGGGTCTAGACTGTGTGCCGCTCCATTGAACATGTTCAGAAATCACTAGCAAGTAGGAACGGAAACCCAAGAATTATGTGGTTCACCTGAGGCATAGCAGGGGACGCTGCAAGTGAAGGAGACAGGATGTAAGAGTTCCCTGCACTGAGTATTTTAACCAAATGGAGGAATGACTCTGGGGTCCAGGAAAGGGAGAAGGTGGCCTAATAATTCTTTAAAGTTCCCTTGCCTGGCTGCGCTGATCTCTCTCAATCTCAACCGTGGCATTACAAAGTAAGTGCAGGCAGAACCATGGAAAATACTGTATTTGTATACACAGGAAGGATAGCTGCAAGCCCCTCACAGAGGAAACTCCACCCCAAAGAAAAATCTTAGCAGCAAATTCCTATCTCCCTCAGCACTATCAGCACAGCCCAGGCCAGAAGGTTGGGCTTCTTGTCTCTGGGAACCCATCATACCCTTCCCGCCAAAGAATTCTAAATAAGGCAGGAAAAAAAATTGGAGTCCAGTGGGAGCTGGGTGCCTGGTCATTCCTAGAAGACAGGCAGTGTCTTTATGATGGTTAGACTTTGAGCAACGCTGGGATTCTTCTCTGGGTCCTATGGCCTGCTATGTTGAGAGCTGGCAGCAGGATGGGGACCTGGTAGAAGGAACTGGAAGAAAGTCATAGGTTCTTGGGTGCACATGAACGTGTGTATAACAGGGCACAGGTTGTGCATTTTCCTTGTGCTTGATGCCTCCATCTGCCATCCTCTCCCTGACAGCAGCCTAATACTTCACACCTACATTTCTTTCTGTGGCTCTGGATCCGGAAACCAAGCGTTTCTCCAACAGAACTGCTGTGATTCGGCAACACTGCAAAGGTAACTGCTGTGATTCGGCAACACTGCAAAGGTAACAGCTGTCCCAGGGGGGTAAGACAGATGACTAAAGAAGTGGTTTGCTCCAATCAGATATCCTTGATTTTTTTTCTCTCTTAAAACAACAGGCTGGTGACAGGTATTGTGGCTCAAGAGTGGCATGGTTCCAATTCTGTTATTACCCTCAAAGAGGTCCCCTTCCTGACCTCTCAGATACCAAGGCTTCAACAGACAGAGGTCATTCTTGCAGCTGTCATGCTGACTGCTACCTGCCTTCTTTGACAGGCCCTCACTATCTCTCCCAAACCAACAGAGACTTCACATTTCCAGGGTTCCTCTCAGATCTGGGCTGGACCTCATCTGGAGGGTCTGAGCAGCCCAAGGTGTTAAGGGGCCCAAGTGTCAGCAGGATGTCCAAAGGGCCTGATTCTAGACATTGGATTTAGGGGCTGAGTTGAGGGGTATCTCCTTGAGCTCCGTCCGCATGCACAGGTACTCCCCGATGACAGCCATGAGTGCAATGCACACGGCTTGGACCAGCCACCAGGTCAGCGCCGAGGGGAAACGGGAGCTGTAGAACCAGCAGCCCAGGAGGTGAAAGAAATGGACAGTGACAGTGAAATCCAGACACTGCTTTCCTCGCCGGATGAAGTACAGCAAGCCCAGGGCACTGTGGGGAGAGGACAGCAGTGAGTTGTCACTGGGTTGTCCTGGCCTTAGGTTATTTGGGAGGGTAGGGACAATTAGGACGGCAGCATAGTGGTCAGAAGTGACGAGATAAGTGTGAAGCAAGGGTTATGATACCAGACGCCTAGAAGAACCTGGCGGGTAATGTCAAGAGTGAAGCTGACTGAGTATGAGCTTGATGATCGATGGCAATTGTCACTAGGGGATCCTAGGAATTGGTGGGGATCATGACACCCTGAAGCATACATGTTCTAGCTAAAGGGGGGCAGTAGCTACTTGCATCTAGGCAAATCTTATCATGCTAGAAGGTTGGCCTGGAATCAGTCAGTCATTCCATTATTCAAGAGAAGCCAGAAATCTGGATTTTTATATAAAATAGCCTGATTTTCAACTAAGTGAAAAAAATGTTTTAAACACCATGTGTGGGCTGACATCTATGTAAGCCAAATAGAACCTATCTGGAAGACAAATTTAGGTCAAAGTCAGCCCACCAGTTTTCAACCTCCGGTGTAAGGACAAGAATAATAATAACATGCAAGGCACTGTTCTAAGTCCTTCTTGTGAATTAACTTATTTAATCCTTACAACTATGAGGTAGGTAATATTACTAGCCCCATTTTACTGATGAGGCAACTGTGGTAGATTAACTTGTCCAAAGTCACTAGACTAGTAGTAAAGCTGAGGTTCAATGCCAAATGAGTCTGCCTCCAGAGCCTGACACCTTGACCACTATGCTAAACTGCCTCTTAAGAGACAGGCAATGATTACGTGTGACCTTAGACATCACTGAGTCCAAACCCTCATGGACAAAAGAGGAGCCTGAGGCCCATGGCAAGTAACTTGGCCAATGGCACACAAACCAAGAACAGAACCCAGTTCTCCTGCCTCTCGGTCGAATCCTTTCTCAGCTCACTCCACATCAGGGAAGTTATCTGAGATGGAAGTTGTCTTGCAGGCAGCACAAACATAGTGACATAAGAGCTTTCCAGGTAAGTCAAAACAGCAATGGAAGGAGGCCCATTATACAGCTGGTCCCAGAACTGGCCTCTGTCACCCACTTTACTCCACCACTCCCCAGAAACAAGTGCCAGCCTGTCTCATGTTCAAACTTAGGAAGTTAGTCCCAGCACTAAGAGCCCAAAAGCTGGATAGCAAAACTGGTGATACTCACCAGGTGAGGGCGTTGAGGATGAAGGACATCATGGAGAGCCGGCCTGGAGGGGTGGAAAAGCCCAGGATCTGAGGGGGAATCACAAATGGAAATATACTGGAGAAGTGACTTGGCAGAGCCCCAGGATCTCAGCAAGCCTCCTAAGGAACAAGCATTCTTCCCAGAGCACAGAAGATAATACCTCCCTACATCTGTACGGCAGCCTATTTCCAATAGGTGCTTTCATAGACATCCATTATGGGATTTCATTTGTTTCTCACAGCAGGTGGAAAGGGATTATTCTCATTTTACAAAGGAGGACGTAAAAACTCAGACAAGTTAAGTTGCCCAAAGTAATAAACAACAAGAGTAAAGTCTAGAACAGCGTTCAGCTGACTATGGCTCCATAGGCCTGGCATCTGCTCCTGTACATAAGGTTTTATTGAAACACAGCCACACCTATTCACTTATATATTTGTCTATAGCAGCCTTCTGTGCTACAATGGCAGAGCTGAATAATTGTGACCTAAAATCCTTACTACTTCACCCTTAAAGGAAAGGTTTGCTGATCCCTAGGCTAGAACTCAGGTTGTGTGCATCATATGGCTCTTCAACAAAGCCTGGCATTCCCACAGCTCTTCCCAGGAGCATAGAGTCTCCTACGAGACTACAACTAGGCATATGGTGGGTGTGCAACCTCCACTATCCAACACAATACTATCAAATGCCAAACATCTGCACCACACTTTCAGCTGACAAAGAAAGGTCTTTGACATACATAATCTCATATTATCCCTAAAAAAACCTCACAAAGCCATTCTTCTTCTTTTAATTCTTATCACTTTTTGGATAATAACTTGCCCAAGGGCTAACACAGAGAACAAGCAGCAGGAGCAAGGACTCCATCCCAGGTCTCCTGGCTTTAAGAACTGTGCTCGGCCGGGCGCGGTGGCTCACGCCTGTAATCCCAGCACTTTGGGAGGCCGAGGCAGGCGGATCACGAGGTCAGGAGATCGAGACCATCCCGGCTAAAACGGTGAAACCCCGTCTCTACTAAAAATACAAAAAATTAGCCGGGCGTAGTGGCGGGCGCCTGTAGTCCCAGCTACTTGGGAGGCTGAGGCAGGAGAATGGCGTGAACCCGGGAGGCGGAGCTTGCAGTGAGCCGAGATCCTGCCACTGCACTCCAGCCTGGGCGACAGAGGGAGACTCCGTCTCAAAAAAAAAAAAAAAAAAAAAAAAGAACTGTGCTCATCACCACGCCACAGCTGCCTCTTAGATGTAACAACTTATAGGCCTCCTTTACACTTTACAAAGTACCTTCTTATTCCTAAACCCCTCTGGGCCTTGTAACATTTTGTTGAGGGCAACATGGTAGGAGCATCCGGCCCACTTTTCAGAAAAGGCTCAGAAAGGGGAAGCAACTTGCCCAAGGTCCCACAGCTAGTTTTATATGTTTAGGCCTAGACTGAACCCTTGCTTTTCTGAACCCAAAGCACATGCTCTTTATATTGCAGTCCACGACCTCTCTGCAACTAGTCTCATGGTTTTGAAGACAGGAAAACAAGTTCACAGAGGTGACATTTGCCCCAGGTCACACAGCTAGTAAGTGGATCTTAAACGGACGCCTGTCTGACCCCAAAGTCCAGGCAGTTTCCACTGTACCCGCACGAATGCTCTTTTATCCACCCCTCTCTCCGATGTGGCACCTGAGAACCTAGCTCAGAGAAATCAAGTCACTTTCCCAGAGTATCAGAAAGGAAATGTATCAGAGTTGCCTGGAACACAGACGTGTTTATTGTATTAACATCCAGGCCCTTTTCTTTGTACTAATCAGCCTCTGCTGTCATTCCATTTTATGGATGAGGCAGCTGAGGCTCAGAAAGGTGAAATCCCTTTCCCAGGGCTACAAAGAAAGAAGGTGACCCAGCCACGTCTACAGCACAGTAGTGATGGACCACAAAGCCTACTCGGGGAGGCCGAGACCCCACCCGCCCCAGTCCGGGGACCCTACCTCGGCGTCGAACATCTGGTCCAGCGAGGGGCTGCTTCGCACTAGCCCGTCCACCAGCGCCAGCCACAGGCCCAGCGAGCCGTAATACACGGTCTGCATGAGGACGATCTGCGACAGGATCAGCAGCGGGTCCCACACGTAGCTGCGGAACTGACCCGCCATGCCCTGCAGGGACACGAGCCGGGCCTCAGCCAGCGGCCTGTCTCCATGGCAACGTCGCCCCGCCCGGGAGGAGGGACTGGAACCAAGGGGTGAGCCCATTCCAAGAGTCAGGGGGAAGGCGGGGCAGACAGACCCATTCTCAGAGTGAGGGGAAATCCAGCCCATTCCGCCTGCGCGGCCCCCGCCCGTACACGAGCTCCTCTGGGGTCTACTCACCAGTGACAGACTCGACGATCGAAGTGTCTGAGCGTGGCCCGGCCTCACCGGCGGGCTCCCAAAACAGCGCTGACAGACAGGACCATGGAGGAGAGGCGCTGCCGGCCTAGAGAGGCAAAGCTCCAGCGACCACGGCGGCAGGAGCGGCTGCGTAGGAAAGAAACGTTTCCGGGGAAAGCAGCGGAGGGGCGGGGCTGAGGTTGCGCAGGCGTAGTGGGTGCAACCTCTGCCTGAACCTCCTGAACCAGGTACAAGCAGCCGGATAGCGAACTGAGCACATGCGCAGAAGGAAGAGTGAAGGCAAACGGAAGAGAGGAACGAAGGCCGCAGAGCTTGCGCGCCCTCTAGAGGGGAATTCTTTTTTTAAAGGAAGGCGGCTAGGGGAGAGGCAAGTGGGGTGGCTTAGGACGCGGTAATGATGTTTGGGAATTAACGAGGTGATAAACTGTGTCGTTATTTTCAGCCTAAATTCTCAATGTTTTCTCCTAGTTAGAGTCTGATAACTTGAAGTGGACCTGCAAGCTCCTCCACGTAGGAGTTTGCCAATGTTCCCGCTGTACAGATAGTTAAGCTAAGGGCCAGAGAAGGAAAGCAACATACTGTTTCAACGACACAGTTAGTAGCAAAGTAAGTATTAAAATTCAAGTGTTGGTCGGGCGCGGTGGCTCACGCCTGTAATCCCAGCACTTTGGGAGGCTGAGGTGGGCGGATTACCTGAGGTCGGTGTTTCGAGACCAGCCTGACCAACATGGAGAAACCCCGTCTCTGCTAAAAATACAAAATTAGCGGGGCGTGGTGGCGCACGCCTGTAGTCCTAGCTACTCGGGAGGCTGAGCCAGGAGAATTGCTTGAACCCGGGAGGCAGAGGTTGCAGTGAGCCGAGATCACGCCATTGCACTCCAGCCTGGGCAACAAGAGCAAAACTCCGTCTCTAAATAAATAAATAAATAAATAAATAAATAAATAAAATTCAAGTGTTTCCTCAACACTACAACATTGATTTCGCACCTACTCGGTGGCAGGAAGGCTAGAACATGTATATATAAGACAGCCCCTGCCCTGAGACACAGATGAACTATATTAGAAGGCAGAGTAGTGGGTGTTTTAAAATGTGGGTGTCCAGTGGAAAAAGGCACAGGTTCTGAAGTCGCACATAGGAGTAAATCCTGACCCTCTCTGCTGCCATGACTGTTTTATCTATCTTCCAAATCCGAATAGTGGACAGTCAGTAAATATTTGCTGAATGAGTTAAGAACAGAAAAAGCAAGAGCAAATCGATAACTCACTTATTCCTACTCCAGCAGACGAAAACCCATCAACTTCATTGATCCTAGGTTCCCCCTCTCTGAAGTGGAAAGACGGGAAGTAAGTTGTTCCAGGAAAAGAATTTGGGTTTTAGGGCCAGCTATGCCACCCAGTGTGACCAGCAAGCCACTTCCTTCTTTAAACCTCAGCTTCCCTGTTTATGAAATGAGGAGTTGGACATGATTAACGTTTTCCACCATTTAATCTACCTTCCAGTAATTATTTTCTCATTAAAAAAAAAACTTAGGCTGGGCACAGTGGCTCATGCCTGTAATCCCAGCACTTTGGGAGGCTGAGGCGGGCAGATCACAAGGTCAGGAGTTCAAGACCATCCTGGCTAACATGGTGAAACCCCATCTCTATTAAAAATACAGAAAATTAGCCGGGCCTGGTGGCAGGCGCATGTAGTCCCAGCTACTCGGGAGGCTGAGACAGGAGAATGGCGTGAACCTGGGAGGCGAAGCTTGCAGTGAGCCGAGATTGCGCCACTGCAGTCCAGCCTGGGCGACAGAGCGAGACTCCGTCTCAAAAAAAAAAAAAAAAAAACGTATCAAAGAGCCATGTAACTGCCAATCAGAATTTCTGAACAGCTTGTGGTAGCCGTGTTATCACCTTGAGCTGATACAATTCCAGACAAAAGTAAAGAAACTTGAGACTTTATTGAGAGTGTGCGATTGTCCTTATCATTTGGAAATACCCTGAACAGTTCCCCTGGACTCCAGTTGGGGAGTTATTAAGGCCCAAAGATTTCTTAGGTGCTTTCCAGCTCAACCATTCTTTTAGGCACCTCAATTCAGTCCAACAAATATGTATTCAAATTCCTCTAGTTCACTGATTATGCACATGATCTAGTGTTTCTGAGAAAACATCTGTTTCTTAAGTGCCTACATGATCTTGTTTAATTCTCACAATCTGAAAATATAGCTATTGTCCCCTTTTTATAGGGGAGGAAACTAGGCTTGGGGGGAGGTGGTGTGACTCTCTAGGTCAGAGAGCTCACAGGGAGCAGAGCTGAGATTCAAATTCAGGACAACTGACTCCAAACATCAAGATGACTTTTAGTTTAGTTTTGGTTTGGTTTAGTTTGGTTCTTTGAAACAGGGTCTCAATCTGTCACCCATGCTGGTTTGCAGTGGCGCAATCATGGCTCACTGCACCCTCAAACTCCCAGGCCCAAGCCTCGGCCTCCCGAATAGCTGAGACCACAGGCATGTGCCACCACACCTGGCTTTTTTTGAAACGGAGTCTTGCTCTGTCGCTCAGGCTGGGGTGCAGTGGCATGATCTTGGCTCACTGCAACCTCCGCCTCCCGGGTTCGAGCGATTCTCATGCCTCAGCCTCCTGAGTAGCTGGGATTACAGGTGTGTGCCACCATGCCCAGCTAATTTTTGTATTTTTAGTAGAGATGGGATTTCACCATTGTGGCCAGGCTGGTCTGGACTCCTGACCTCAAGTGATCTGCCCGCCTCAGCCTCCCAAAGTGCTGGGATTATAGGCATGAGTCACCATGCCTGGCCCGCACTTGGCTTTTTTGATTTTTCATTTAATTTTATTTTTTTGTAGAGACAGGGTATCCCTATGTTGTCCAGGCTGGTCCTGAACCCTGGGCTCAAGCAATCCTCCCACCTTGGCCTCCCAAAGTGTTAGGATTACAGGCATAAGCCGCTGTGTCCAGCCAAGATGCCATTTTAGAATAAAAGAACAGGAAAGAAGGGAGGAAGGGAGGGAGGGAGAGGGAAATAAAGGAAGGGAGATAGTAAAATAGGTGGTGGAGTAGCAGGAAGTGGAAAAGGGGCAGTGAATCTCTCTGCTCAGTTAGCCCTGGGGTGAGGGATTAGGGAGAAATGGGAGGAAAGGCTTAGAAAAGGGCTGCAGAGGTTGACAATACCCAGGGCAGCTGTCTTCCTTGCAGATGCTGGAATGCGTGGCTCTTCCTGGGCTCTGCTCCCTTCACGTCACAGCTGGGCCCACTCCACCCCATCTCCTCCCAATAGGAAAGGCCCTGCCTACCCATTCTGCTGAACTAGAAAACACAGGTAGCTTTTGATATTAGGGCTGGCTGGAATGTCTGATGTCATCCCTGGAGTCCGGAGCTCACCTCTGGGAAAACCCCACTGGGCGTGCAAGCTAACCTCCTGCCCTTTCCTTTCCCCTTTGGGAGTTCAGTTCTTGGATTCCCGCCTTGCCAAGCTTCGGAAATGTACATCATCCTCCGTCTTAATTTGGATCCAAGAAGGAAACCAAGAGCTGGGGAAAATCATGGCAACCCCTTTGTTTAGCTTCATTGGCCCATTTTCAAATTTGACCACAAGCAGTCTGCTTCAGACCACAGAGTCTGAACTAGAGCCCCACTGGCTTGCTATGTGACCTTGGGCGAGTCCCCTGGTGGGTCCCAGTATCCCAAACTATCAAATGAAAGAGGGACATTGGACTCCGACTTGCAGATGCTGTCATGGCCCTGTGCCATCTGAATCACCTGAGGAACATACTGGATATTCAAATTTCCAGTCCTTGTTTGCAAACCTAAGTCCAGTTCAAGTCTCCCAAAGCAGAGTGTGGAAATCTGTGTATTTAGAGAGCTCCCCAAGTGATTCAGAGGTGCACCCACATTTGATAACTACAGCACAAGATGATCTGTAGTTGACCCTAAACCGGCTCCTTCATCCAACAGAAAACTGCTCTGTGACCTTGGCGAGTCACATTCCGGCTTCAGGGTTTTCTTCCATCTGTAATATGAGGGGATTGGATTTGAATAGCTAGCTGGTCTACGAGGGTTCTTCCTACGCTGCCAAGTCTGTGGTTCCAAACTTATGAATGAAATGTTAAACTTCAGGTCAGAGGCAGAGTGACGAAAAGCCACAAGCTGGGACAAACTGTCCTTTGGGTGGAGGGGAGGGGAGTGCCTCTGGTCACTTGGTCTCTTTCGTCACTTTCACACTGGGGCCCCACTGCATGCATGTAAGGACAATCGCTAAGGTCACCTTCTGGATCCACCCCCATAAATCCCTTGGGAAATGTTCTCCCATAGGCCCATAGGCTTGAGAGCCCTGCTTAGATTCGAATCCTGGCTCTCTGGCTGTCTTGCTGTCCTGCTGGGTGACCTTGGGAAAGTTACTTCATGTCTCTGAGTCTCAGTTGGTTTCCTCTTCTATAAAGTGGAGTTCAGAATAGTACCCATGTTATGGGCTGTCCTGAGGGTCAAATGTGTGCTTAGTCCACTGCCTGATATGCAGTGGGCACTATGTTAACCTCAGCAATGTTAATATGATTGTTATTATTTCTTCCTCTGGAATGTGGGAACGGAAATGCCTGATCTCAGATTTATGGCAAGGATCTAACAATGTATCAGACAAGTCAAGCCCGGTGGCTGGCCCATAGTAAGAGCACATTAAATGTGATACCTTCTCTTCCTCCTCTCACCCCTACTGTCGTGTTCTCTAGATCCCTCCCTCTCTCCCTTCCTCCCCCTCTCCCTTCCTCCCCCGCTAGGCTGCCCTACTGCCCTGCTCACATGTTTCCTTTCAGGGAATATTTGATGAAGACACTTCAGTAGAAACACGTGTCTCAGGGACACGTTATGCAACTCTGTGCTCACAGGTTTTTGGAAACCCCACGTGGGAGGCTTGGAGTTGGCTGCCTGTCCTCTACATCGGTGACCATCCTGGGCTCTGGCCAGTGAGTTCCTCTCTTAGAAGGAAAACTGGAGAGAGAGCTCATTAGCTGCCTGGTTTCTCCTCCAGACCGAAAACCCCTTTGTTACCCAGGTTGCTTTAAGTGCTGTTTGTGTCTGTGTTTGGGGAGGAATATTTGCTGAGCATCTACTGTATGACAGGCACTTATATAATTTAATCCTTATTTAATTTCTAAAACAAGCCTGTGAGTTGAGAACTATTAATAGCCCCACTGAACACATGCAGATCCTGAGGCTCAGAGAAGGGACATTTACCCAGAGCCATGCTGCCAGTGAGTGGTAGAGCTGAACTCCAACCCAGGCCAGTTTGACTCCACACACTATTCCTTCTCAGTGTGTAACAAAAAGCGCACTGAAGGCCAGGCAAGGTGGTTCATGCCTGTAATTCCAACACTTTGGGAGGCTGAGGTGGGTGGATCCACCTGCAATCAGGAGTTGGCGGCCAGCCTGGCCAACATGGAGAAACCCTGTCTGTACAAAAAATACAAAAATTAGCCAGGAGTGGTGGTGCATGCCTGTAATCCCAGCTACTTGGGAGGCTGAGGCAGGAGAATTGCTTGAACCTGCGAGGCAGAGGTTGCAGTGAGCTGAGATTGTACCACTGCACTCCAGCCTGGGTGACAGAGTGAGACTCTGTCTCAAAAAAAAAAAAAGGCACTGGACATTACAGTGACATACAGCTTTCATCTACCTGACCTCATCTTATTGTTGCAACAGCCCCAGGGATGTAGGTATAAACATTGTCCACATGTTACAGGTAAGGAAATTGAGGCTTAGAGAAGGAAGTGACTCACACTCAGTACACATTGAGGTGTGGCATGTCTTGTCAGCTGGAATAATCAAAAGTTAAGAAACATCTGGGGTGTCTGTCTTTCCACTCTAACTTTCCACCCCAACCTCCCTGTTCTTTCCTTCACACCAGAGGGAGTCAGGAAACTGGTTTTCTGTGTTCTGTGTCTAATGATCAGGGGTTTTCTGCAAACCCTCTATCTATGCAGGGTGGATGATGCCAGGCATGACAGTGGGTGGAAGGACCTCTGAGTACAGCCATCCCTCAGCATCCATGGGTGGTTGGTTCCAGGACTCCTGGCAGATATGAAAACCCAGAGAAGCTCAAATCCTTTATATAAAATGGTATAGTATTTGCATATAGTCTATGCAATCTTCCCACATTCTTTAAGTCATCTCTAAACATCTAATACAATGTAAATAGTTGTGAAACTATATTTTAATTTTTATTTGTATTATTTTCATTGTTGTACTGTTGTTTTATTTTATTTTATTTTTAAGACGGAGTTTCACTCTTGTTGCTCAGTCTAGAGTGTAACGGTGTGATCTTGGCTCACTGCAACCTCCGCCTCCTGGGTTCAAGTGATTCTCCTACCTCAGCCTCCTGACTAGCTAGGATTTACAGGCATGTGCCACCATGCCCGGCTAATTTTGTATTTTTAGTAGAGACGGGGTTTCACCATGTTGGTCAGGCTGGTTTCGAACTCCTGACCTCAGGTGATCTGCCCACCTCAGCCTCCTAAAGTGTTGGGATTACAGGTGTAAGCCACTGTGCCCGGCCTTTGTTGTTATTTTAGAGACAGGTCCTTGCTCTGTCACCCAGGCTGGAGTGCAGTGGCGCTATCATATCTCACTGCAGGCTCACACTCCGGGGCTGAAGCAATCTTCCCACCTCAACCTCCTGAGTAGCTGGGACTACAGGTGCATACCATCAGGCCTGGCTATTTTTATTTTATTTTATGTAGAAAAGGAATCTCACTATGTTGCCCAGGCTGGTCTCAAACTTCTGGGCTCACGTGATCCTCATGCCATGGCCTCCCAGAGGGCTGGGGTTACAGGCATGAGACACTGTGCCCAGCCTCACACCTTCAAGTTTTCTTACCTTGATTCTTGACCCCATCCATCATGTACTAAACTTTCTGTCCCTACCTAGAAATTATTCTTTATTCTGACCTTAAAGGACTCAGGGCCTTGTTTTAAGATGAAAAGTTGTTTTTTTACACTTCCTTTTTATCATTATTTATTCATTCAATCATCTACTTGATAAATATTCATTGAGCATTTATTATGTGCCAGAAACTGATCCAGGTGGTATGGATATAAATGAATAAAGTGAATAAAGAGAAAATACTCTAATCTCATAGAGGAGAGAGATGATAAACAAGTCAATCAACAATATAAAATCTAGCGTCAAGGAATGTCAGTATACTCAGAACACCAACAGTGTGGGATTCTGTTATAACATCAGAAAATGGATGAATACAATATTTATCTCTGCTCCTTTTAGGACAGGACACTTGGGAATCAGGAACAGGAATCAGGGCTGTAAGTTCAGTGAGACAGCATGGTGATGCAGACAGAATCAAAGAAACTTGAGTTTGAATCTTGTATCAGTCAGCTTTTGCTACTTAACAAACACCCCACAAATCTCAGGGGCAACAGAAATGGATTTCTCAATTGTAGATTTGCAGGTGGGTTAGGGCAGCTTTGTTACAGTTACGGTTTTGTTGTCATTTCTCCTTGCTCCGCCTGTTTTCTCATCTGTAAAATAGAGATAAAACTACTTACTTCACAGCATCCAAGTGAAGATGATGCTCAACACTCCCTTCTGATTAAACATACACTCTGCTCAGGGTATGTGAGAAGCTAAATGTTCAACCTCTAGGCCAAATAGTAATCCAAAAAGTGGTCTGGGCTGCAGGCGCTTACTTAAGGAATAAGGAAGGCCATTGGCCAAGCCAATGAGTCTTGTGGTCCCCTCCCAAAATTTAGACTAGAAGAGAGAACCAGTAAGTCAGTAAAAGAGAGAGAGGCACACATCCAGGAAAAAGAAGAGACACTCTTAAAGAAAGAATAAGCAGGCTTAAAGAGCAAGAGATGAGTCAGCCAGTCTGTGGCATCATCTCAGTCCTTGATGTTTCCCTTTCAGTTTTAACCTTTAGCCCTCCCGGTCCTCCTAATAACTCCTAAGCCTTTTCTTAAGGAGTCCTGAGTGAGGCATGTTTCCTCGCAATTGCAAGAACTGAGCTAAGACAGAGAAGATGCATATAAAGTTGCCAGCCCACAGCTTGGCATATAGTAGATCCTCAGTCTACTGTATAGCTGGCAGCTATTGTCCGCTAATCAGGGAGCTGCTTAAGAACACGGACAGGTCTTGTTCACCAGGATTTATCAAAAAGCTTCTCACATACAAGATATTCATCAGATGTTTTTTGGATAAATGACCAAGTGAGTGAATTGCTACATCTGAGCCTCTAAGGGAAAATGTCCAAATGGCATTCATCCAGTTATCCATGCGACAAGTATTTACTGAATGTAAACCTCTGCCAGACCTTGGACAAGGTGCAAGGGATGCAGTTGTGAACACAACAATGTTCTTGCCCTCATGAAACTTACATGTGGCAGAGAAAACAGAAAATAAACAAGTAAAAGAATAAGTGCGTGATGGCAGGTAAGGGAAATGTTACGACAAAAAAATAAAGCAAAGCAAGTGGAAAGAGTAATTGGAGGTGTTATTTTTAGAATTCTTCAAAATGCCTGTGGTGGATGCTGATTCACCGTGTGGGCCTCGGTTTGCCTATCTTATAATGCGGGTACTGTTGGACTGAATGATTTGAGAGGACCCTTCTGGGCCTAGTGTTCTTAGTTTCTGTGGTTATGCAAGGCAGTGGCTGGACATTCCACAGCCCCTGGAAACTCTAAGCTGTCATTATCTGTAGCTGGAGAGAGATTTACATAAACTGAGGAAGACCAGAAAGGGTTGGCACCATCCTGGGCGAGAGCCCTATGGCCCAATCCTTTTTCTGTTCTGAAAATAGTAATGTGTTACCTGTTATTAACCATGTGTGAGGAGCTGCTGGGGAGGGGAGTAAGTCAAGACTCTTATGGGGAGGCCCCCTTGATTATAAAAATAGATAACACTTTGATGCTCCGTATTGTGCTAAGCACTGTAGTCTTAACATTTTTATGATGTTAAGAACTATAATGACCCTCAAATTACATGGGGGGACACATGAGAAAACTGAGGCACAGAGAGAAAAAGTGTCTTGCTCCATACCACCAAGATTGCAATCTAGGTCTCTTTAACTTTGAAGACTGTGCTCTTCACCTAAAACTAACATGAGTGAGAAAGGGATGCCTGCCCAAAGAGTGGGACAGATAGAGTCCTAGAAACCTCAAGGCAGGAAGAAATGAGAATTAAAAGAAGAGGATGGAGGATTCCAGGAGAAGGTAGCATTTAAGGTGTCTCTGGATGTACCAGGTGTGCACCTAGCCTTGGTTAACTCCGGCCTAGGAAGTCTGAGAAAAGGGGGAGGGACACCACCTCTGCTATAGGCTGGGTCTGAGCTCATTTTTTAGCTCCATGGGAGGGGGCTGCCTGTTGATGTCCTAGATCATTTCCTTTTGCTTGAAAGGAAGCTAGGGGGAGGATGTAAAGTGTTTGACCAATGCCATCTCTCAGACTCACTCAATCTCAGGTTAGAATATACAGAAAGAGTGCTGGACCCAACATAGGTGAGTATATGTTATGTGTTCACCACTTCACCTTATTCCATTCTCCTAATTAGTTCAAGAGGGAATTATCTCCATTGTAGGGAGGAGCAAAGGGACTCACAAACTTTCCTCCAGTTGGCAAGTCCTGGAAACAGGATTTTAATGAAGAACTTCTGGCTGTAAACACTGTGGGTTTTGTTTGGTTGTTTGGGTTTTTGTACCTCAGCCCCATGCAGGAAATTAGGAACTCCTATTCAGTATTACAAACCTTTGACTACTGCATTTTGTTTTTTGGAGGCCAAAGAAGAACCCAATAAAACTTCTCAAAGAATCTCAGGTTTTGGACAAATTATTTTTAACTCTTTGGGGGTCAGGATCACCCAAAAGGAGGATCCCCCAAACATCCTCTTTTTGTGGATATAAAGAAAGAATCTGAAGTTTCTTGCCCCAAAATAATGTATGCAGAGACACATAACCTAGAGGAGTACTGACCATGCATGTGTCCTCTGCCCCCAGTCATGGAGCCCAGGTTAAAGACCCATACATCCACAAATAATTATATTCAAACATGTTGCATCCCTTTAGAGATTCTCAGAACTTGGGGAAGGGGAAATTATTTCCTTAATTCCAGGAGGTTAAGATAGTTTTATAGAAGAACTTCCATTAACTCTCTAAACGAGCTGTTTTCAGTTTTTGTTTTTGTTTTTTTGCTAGTGTACTCTGTAAATGATTATTTTAAGACTAGGTACTCCTTGACATAATTTTTAGTTGATAGCTTAACATTTTTCATCAAAAGTTTAAATAGTTGCAAAGGTTGTAATTTCTGGCATATTGTAAATTTATACACGTAAAAGTAAAACAATTACATCACTCTTTTAAATGTATCCAGTTAAATTAAATGCCCTAGCAATTCGATACCTACAATCATCCATTTAAAAAATACATGAACAAGCTCTTTTCTAAGAGTCAGACATTTTGCATCATTTCTTTTTCTATTTGAAGTCAAATTTCTACTCCATGTTCCACCACAAAATTTTATCATAATGTGTTTTTTTTTAATGCGTCAGAGGCTTACTGATGACTCTTTTAAAAAGTCCTGCAATAATTTAAACAGCTTCATTAAGGTACAACTGGCATAAAATAAGCTATACATATTTAAAGTATACAATTGACATAAATATATGCTTGCTGTGTTAGGCTGTTTGCGTTACTATAAATATATGAGATTGGGTAATTTATAAAGAAAAGAGGTTTAATTGGCTTACAGTTCTGCAGGCTATACAAGCATGGCTCCAGCATTTGCTTCTGGCGAGGGGCTCAGGAAACTTCCAATCATGGCGGAAGGTAATGGGGTAGCAGACATCTCACATGGCATCATCAGGACCAAGAGACAGGGAAGGTGGAGTTCCCAGACTCTTAAACAACCAGATCCAGCGTGAACTGAGAGTGAGAATTCATTTATCACCAAGTGGATAATGCTAAACTATTCATGAGGGATCTGCCCCAGGATCCAGTCACCTCCAGGCCCCACCTCCAACATTAGGAATCACATTTCAACATGAGATTTGGAGGGGACAAACATCCAAATCACATCACTCTCTAAACCAGTCCTACAAACTTTGATAAATAATTATTAAGTAGAAAAAGTAAAGTTGTTTTAGAAATACCTGTCTTAATTAGGTGGCTGTGGCAATTTTTCTCTCCAATTAGCTCACTAAAACCTCCATGAGATTGGGTATAGTCGCTCATGCCTGTAATACCAGCACTTTGGAAGGCCGAGGCACGCGGGTCACTTGAAGTCAGGAGTTTGAGACAAGCCTGGCCAATGTGGCGAAACCCCATCTCTACTAAAAATACTAAAATTAGCTAGGCATGGTGATGTGCACCTGTAATTCCAGCTACTTGGGAGGCTGAGGCACAAGAATCACTTGAACTCAGGAGGCTAAGGTTGCAGTGAGCAGAGGTTGTGCCACTGCACTCCAGCCTGGGTGATGGAGTGAGACTTTGTCAAAAACAAACAAACAAACAAACACCTCAACGAATATTGCTAGAATGAAACAGGTTTTAGCAATAATTTTATTCCTATTTTTCATTTTTTATAGCTGTCAAACCATGGTGTGGTAAAGCCATCTTGTAGTGGTTCATGAAAGTCAATTTTTAGAAATTTTGTGGCTGGGTGCCATGTAATCCCAGCACTTTGGGAAGCTAAGTTGAGAGGACTGCTTGAGCCCAGGCCTTCAAACCCAGCCTGGGCAACATAGTAAGACTGTGTCTCTACCAAAATAATAATAATAATAATAATAATAACAATAACAATAATAATAATAATTAGCTGTGCGTGGTGGCGTATGTCTAGTCCCAACTACTCAGGAGGCTGAGGTGGGAGGATCTCGTGAGCCTGGGAGGTTGAGGCTGCAATCAGCCATAATTTTGCCACTGCACTCCAGCCTGGGCTACAGAGAGAGATCCTGTTTTTTTTTTGTTGCTTTTTTTTTTATGTCATTAGCCAGTTGTTAAACATAACTATTACTAAAAATTAATTTATATGAACATACAATTATATTAAAAAAAAAGGAGGCCGGGTACAGTTGCTCACACCTGTAATCCCAGCACTTTGAGAGGCTGAGGCGGGTAGATCACGAGGTCAGGATATCGAGACCATCCTGGCCAACATGGTGAAACCCTGTCTCTACTGAAAATACAAAAATTAGCCGGGCATGGTGGTGTGTGCCTGTAGTCCCAGCTACTCTGGAGGCTGAGGAGAATCGCTTGAACTTGGGAGGCGGAGGTTGCAGTGAGCCGAGATTGCGTCACCGCACTCCAGCCTGGGTGACAAATTGAGACTCCGTCTCAAAAAAACAAAAACAAAAACAAAACCATAAAGGAAATAAATACTCAAAACTCATCACTTACTAATTATCTCACTACACTTTACTGTTATCCATGCTTTTGAGATTATTTGCACCTATTGTATCTGTGTGGTAGAAATATATCTTCCCAGCTCCATGTTCAGTGACATCTCATTGGTAGCTTGAAATCAGCCATGCTGGTAGTATTTACACTACAGAAATTGGCAAATTAGCACTCGCCACTTCCCCTAGCCAATTGTCAAACATTTACTGGCACACCACTGGCTGTAAGTGCTGAGAAACTTATAAAAGTTGGTAGGAACAGAAGAACTCTTGTTACAACAGTGTGACAATAGATAACTAAAATCACAGTTACCTATTCTATATTTAATGATCTATCTACTGACAACTAGATTAGGCCCCCCTGCAATTTTGTGGAAAGCAAAGATTGCAAACCATTTAACTTGCAAAAGGATTTCTTATTCTGGCATGAGATTTCTTCATTTTCTCAGTTTTGTTCCAAATCCTAGGGAAGCATGTTAAAAACCACTGAAAGTCATTGCTTACCTTTAAATCTGTGGAAACCCCGTGGTCAGCATTTGAAGTTTGCTTTACTGCCAAGGTTCTCTGCCACAAGAGACTTTTATTCTTTGATAATAATTAAGAGGTGGAAAAAGGGAAGTCACTACCAATTCTCCACTCCACAAAGTATATGAATTCATAATATGCCAACAGTGGCCAAAATGTCCTACTTCTAAGGCTATGTTACACCCTTAGAAAGATTTATACATAAGTCAGGGAGAGACAGGGTTAGGCTTCTTTTGTACTTCGATCATCGTAGAATGCCCACCTTCACACCCTGCAATAATTCCAACAGTACGTGTGCTTGGGGACCCAGAGAATTTTACAGTCTCCATATAGCACCCCCCTCCACTTCTTCCCTCAACCTGCTCCCACCAATGCACTGTTAGGAGGATGAAGGGTAAGGAGGACACACAACTTTCTCTTATAAAGGGTGGAAGCTTACCCTAAGAATGGAAATAAACTTGCAGACCAGTTCTCAGAGAGATCAAACTTTTGAAAAAGTTCAAAATCTGGTAGATGAAGCCCTTAGAACAGACGTCAGCCACTCTGAGACCAGCGTCAGAGTGGTCTCAGAGTGGCTGAGGCCCACCGCCTATTTTTGTTCAGCCCACTGCTAAGAATGGTTTTTGCATTTTTATTTTTTATTTTTTTGAGACGGAGTTTTGCTCTGTTGCCCAGGCTGGAGTGCAGTGGGGAGATCTCAGTTCACTGCAACCTCCGCCCCTCGGGTTCAAACGATTCTCCTGCCTCAGCCTCCAGAGCAGTTGGGATTACAGGCGCAGGCAACCATGCCTGGATAATTTTTGTATTTTGTAGAGACGGGGTTTCAGCATGTTGGCCAGGCTGGTCTCAAACTCCTGAGCTCAAGTGATCCGCCGCCTCAGCCTCCCAAAGTGCTGGGATTACAGGCATGACTCACTGCATCCGGCCTGCATTTTTATTATAAAATGTCATTTATTTATTTATTTATTTATTTATTTATTTATTTATTTATTTTTGAGACAGGGTCTCACTCGGTCACCCAGGCTGGAGTGCAGTGAGCGATCATGGCTCACTGCAACTTTCACCTCTCTGGCTCAAGCAGTCCTCCCACCTCAGCCTCCAGAGTAGCTGGGCCACAGGGGTGCACCACAATGCCTGGTTAATTTCTTTAAAAACTTTTTGTAGAGATGGGGGTCTCATTATGGTTGCCCAGGCTGGTCTCCAATTCCTGGGCTCAAGGGATCCTCCTATTCCTCGGCCTCCCAAAGTGCTGGGATTACAGGCGTGAGCCATAGAGCCCAGCCGATTTTTGCATGTTTAAATGGTTGGGAATAAAGTCAAAAGAATAATAATATTTCGTGACACATGAAAATTATATTAAATTCAAATGTCGGTGTCTATAAATAATGTTTTATTAGGACCTAGCTGCCCTCATTCCTTTAGTATTTATGGCTGCTTTTGAGCTACGACGCTCGAGTTTGAATAGTTGCCACAGGGATCGTATGGCCCGCAAAACCTAAAATATTTAGCCCTTTACAGAATAGTTTGCTGTCCCCTGTCTTAACACGGTTCACATCCCATTTGGGAAGTTCTGTGTCTTCAGAGGGGAGCACACCCGGTATGAAGGCTGGTCTAAACTCAACACCCTAGGGAAGTCCTTCCCGTCCCTGGGCCTTAGTTTCCCCAACTATAAAATGGGGTTAGCCGCAGTGATCTCTGGGGACCTGCCTGGCAGTGGGTCAAATAAATAAAGGGAGTTGGAGCTCCCGGAGGGTAGGACTAGGGGTTGAGTAGGAGCCGGCGGGCTCGGGCAGGGCGGGTCCCTTGGGGTTTCCAACTCCGCGGGCGGGCGCAGTGCCCCGCAGGCCTCGCTTCCACTGGGGAATTCCGGGCGGGGTGCGGGCGGCGGGGCGGGGGCGGGCCGGGGCGGGGCCGGTAGGCCGCCTATAAGATGGGTGGCGCGCCCGCCCGGGGCCACTCGCCGCAGCCTGCGCGCCTTCTCCAGTCCGCGGTGCCATGGCCCCCGCCCGTCTGTTCGCGCTGCTGCTGTTCTTCGTAGGCGGAGTCGCCGAGTCGGTGGGTGCTTGGAGGTTCCCGGGCTGGGGGCGAAGCGGGGGCGCAGGCCGGTGCCTCCTTTGTTCGTCGGAGCGTGGGATGGGGGGGGGCAGATCGGGGGTACGCTACCCCCAACCGGACACCGAGGCCCGGGAAACTTTGTTGGAAACTTTGCTCCGGGGTCACGGGCCAGCCTCCGGGATGGCTTCACGCGCCGTGCGCCCCTCGCCTGTTGCTCTTCCCGCCTCCCCGGGCCTCAGCCCCGCCGCGGGCTACGGGCTCGTTAGTGACTAAGCCGGTGTCAACTCTTCAACTCCCACACCCTCGTCCCTTCCCTGGTGACCCTGGGGCAGGCTTGGAGCGCTGAATCCCCTCCTCGCTCTCGGGGCGCCCAGAGCAGACAGCTTTAGGATCCGAGATGGCCCTGGGGGTCGGGGGGCTGCGTGTACTCGGAAGGGGGAGGGTTTTAGGGTTGTGCGAGGCCCTCTTTCACACACCAAGGAGAACTGAGCCCTAACCTCAGTTCTGGCCCCAGCTCTGTCATTGACTTGTGACTTAGGGCAAAGTCCTGCCCTTCTGAATCTCTTCCCAATACTGCACCAAGGGTCTGAGGGAATGGGGCAAGAGGGGACACTGCGTTAGGGTTTCTAGAAAGTTGGGGACTCTGCTCTTTTCGAGGACAGAGGAGAGGAATGGTTTAGACTCAACACTTAGCCAGGAGCTGAGCCTCTGCTTTCTGCAAGAAGTGTGTTCATTTTTTCTCAATTGCAGATAAGAAAATTGAAGCATCCACCTTGAGTGAGGTGAAGGGGGTAGGGGGGAGAGAAGGCCTCAATCAGCCCAGGGAAACCTTTCCTTCTCACTGTCCACTGGCCTCCGTCATAGCTGTCCCTGGGCCAGCAGAAGCTCTATCCATGCCCGCAGCCGGCTTAGGAGGAGGGGGGCAATCTCATCTGGGAAGTTGGGGGGCATGGGAATTACTGGTGAAGGCAATCTGTCCCCCACAGCCTGAGCTTTGTGCCCCCTTTGTGCCCTTTAGCCCCAGTTTTCAGAGCGAGTGAGTCCTTGCAGTTTAACCATTAATGTTAATTTCTTTGAAAGCCTTGGGGCTCCTGTTCCTCTGAATTTACTTAGCGGAAGGTTGATTCTGCCTGCAGGCTCTTCTTGAGGAATGAATGAGACCCTAGGCAATACTTCCAGCACAATTCCAGGCATGCCATGATGATTGCAAACGTGGAGCGCCTTTGTCGGGGGGCCAGACATTGCTCTAATAACTTTCTAATGGGTATATCCAGGAGCTTAATTCCAACAACAATCTTACTGTGTACTGTTCTTAAACTGGTCCTGAGGCTAGAGAGGTTAAGTAACTTGCCCAGGGTCACACAGTTAATACACAATAAATGGGTGAGTCAGATTGAAATTTAGGCAGCCAGGCTTTCAAGTTTCTGCTTTAGCTTAACTTCTACTCTTTGTGCTACTCCAGGTGTCCCATCGTTGGTAACTAAAGACGGGTTTAGAATAGGTTGAGATTTTAGGCTGGAAGGCAAAGGAATTCTGAGGTGGAAGGAAACAAGGCCAGAGTGAGGTGATGACTTAACCTAAACCAAAGGCTACCTTGCCTAAAATGTTAGTGGCTGAGGACCCAAGCCTTCTGCCTCTAGCACAGTGCTCTAAACTAGGCCCTGAAGGATGTGTCGGGTCAAGCAACTGGGGAAGCATCCGAAGGGATACCACCTAGGCAGTACAGGGAAAAAGAGGAAAGGACCCAGGAGGTTGCTGAGGTCACCGTGTGCCCAGTCACATGCCAGTTTCCTCCCAGGGGCTGCTGAGCCTTCAGGTGCTTCAGGGTGCTGAGCAGTCAGCTGTGTCCTGGGGGCATTCTGAAGGATGTAGTTTGGGGGAAGGGGACTGTGTCAGTCCTGCCTGGGTGACCCATCAGCTGCAGGAGACATCAGCCCTGGGCAGCTGCTTCCTGAGATAGGTGTCAAGTCTCATCCTGACCTCAGCTCTCCCCTTCCTGGCTAATGTCACAGACCTCCTGCCTGTAACTGGGGCACAGGGCTTCCCCTTTGGCCTGTCCCCTCCCTCTTTTCTAGATTGTGGTTGGAAAAATCAGACATAGTCACGGTTGGCTCGGACTGAAGAGATGATCCAGCGTGTCCTTTTCTTTTTGCAGGTAGAGAAAAGTGAGGCCCAGGGAGAAGGACTTTGCTAATAGCAGTTAGGAGTGATAGAGTACTTTTTATATGACAGATCTGGTGCATTTTGTCCTCACAAAAAGACCTGTCACATGGGGATTCTATTATGCCCACTTCCCAAATGTGAGAGGTAAAATGGTACTACTTTGGGTTAGTAGAGGGCATCCAGGACCCCAGGATCTCTGACTAGTAGCCCTCCCATTGTGGGTGGTGTTCCCCCGACTGTTCCATCATTCCCCTTACCACCCCCATATTTTGGAAGGGAACCCAGGCTCAGTACCCAGCTGTCCTCTCCTCTGTTTGGCTGGGCTTGCTATACTAAACCAGTTCTTCCTGTCCAGCTGGGAGCATTCCCTGATCTGCCTTCCTGCCACTCCCTCTCAGGCCAATTAAAGGCAGCCTTGTTTTGGGAGTCCCCTCCACCCAAAGGTGTTCCTACCCAGGGGCACAGCCTACTGACTTGGCCCCGGGCCCAGGCGGTTGTGGGGAAGTGTCCCCCACCTATCACCTATCAAGTGTACTTTAGCTTAAGGACATTTCTGGTCTTCTACAGCGTCCTCTTCTTGATTACATGGGAGTAGGGGTGGGGGCGGAAGCCTAGGGGCTTCTAGGACCCTTGAGTGAACAGTGAGAGCTCTTGGGACTTCTTGAGCCCAGGGAGTTATCAAACACCCACGAAAATATTTGGGCCATGATTTGGAGGGTTCCATGAGGTTGGGGGGAGGCCTCTTTCCCCGCTGGGCTGACATCCCCCACCTTAAAATGAAAGGTTTGAACAGGGTAGCCTCCAGAGTCCTTTCCATCTCTCAATTTGATTAATAACTTAAGTACCTACTATTCAAAAGAGGTCTCTCTCTTGAAGGAATTAACTTGAGGGAATTAACATACTCCACCAAATGCTGAATCCCTCCCTCTCTCCCCCCGCACACTGAGGGCAGGAACTCTGCTCTATTTGTTTTTGTGAAATACCTGTCCCCTAGTTTGTACTCAGGAAATGCTTGTATGAATGAATAAATTCGTGCATGTAACTTTATTCTAAATGGTTCATTACTGTTATTTATTGCTAGTATGAGTATCTCCCAGTACTGCGAGGTACCATTTTCTCTATTTTTACAGGAAATTGATGCTCGGAACAATGCAGTGGCTTCCTAAGGTCAGAACCAGGTCCTTCTGATAGGGCAAGGTGTCTGGTTTGAGTGTCCTCAGAATATTCCAGATGAGGAAATTTGCTGGGTTTGAAGGTAGATACCTTAGGTCCTACTTCTGCGTTGCTGGGTGACCTTGAGCAAACATGCCCTGTCTCTGGGTCTCAGTGTCCCCAACTCTAAAATAAGGAGGCTGGACCATTGCCTTCCAAGGGTCCTTCCTGCCCAGAGAGCCCATTGATGAGGGGAGGGGCCCTTTGCTGGCCTCCTTGGTGAAGAGTCTAAACAAATCCCAGTCTCAGAAGAGAAGTTGGGGTGGCGGGGGGACATTCAGCTCCTGCCATCCCCAGCTCCTAGAAACAGAGGGCTTTTCCAAGGACTTGGAGTGCTGAGCCTGCCTGAATGAGGAGCTGGGGAAGCCAGGCTGGGCTCCCAGCCCCATCTCCCTGTTGGGAGAAGTTGGCTCCTAGCTGTCCTTCAACCTCCCGGACTGGACAGGCGAGTGTGATTTCCAAATGAATGCTTAAAATTGGGGTAAGGGGCTGGACCGAGCGCTGTGAGTCACTGCATGCTAGCGTAGCCTGCCTGAGTCACCCATTTCCTTTCAAACTCTTGGCTAATAGGACAGCTCTGTGGTGGGGGTGTTGGAATGAGCTCAGAGTTTTACCTTGTCCTTTGGGAGTCACTGTTTCAGTGTCCGGGGCTCGAGGGGACATACAGGACATGTTTGTACTAGGTCCCGCACTTTCACAGCCCCTTGCCTGCATGTAGACTTTGACATTGTACATTGTGCAGCCAGTCCTCAAAATTGGGCTTTAGACCTCTGCAGAGCAGGTAGTACTTTTTTCCTCTTTAAGGCAAAACTGAGGCTGCAACTGGCCTGCATTTTTTCAGAGAGCAAAAGCTGGTACTGTTCAGGTTTGGTGTGACCCCAGGATTTTCTGATGTTTGTGAGGACTCCTCTTTGCTTCCTGGGGCTGGCCAGAGGGCATTGAAACATTGGCTTGGTGTTACACAGACTTAACTCCAGACGTGCGAAGTCCACCTCTTACTGGCTACATGAATTCAGTCATGCTACTCCACCTCTGAGCCCCAGCCTCCTGGTCTGTTAAGAAGATCATGATACCGGTGTGGCGAAGCTTAAAGGAGACGACAGGGCTGTAAATAAAGGCACCTAGTACCATGCCTGGTAGGGAGGAGGTGTTACTTAGTGACAGTTCCCTTCCTTGCCCAGGCCACCTTCATGCCAGGGGGTCCTATCTCTGAAGATTCTGAGCCCAGGTCTCCTGGAAAGCTTTCTCCATCCCCCTTATCCCCCTTATCTACCCCCACAGCTGGGAGGTGGGAAGGGAGAAATCTAGGGTGGGGCTTTTGGAGTCCAAATCTCCTATTTGTTTATCTTAGAAGTGGGCTGTTTGCTAATTATCGAATGGGTTTATGTTTAAACAAGAACCAGTTCTGGGCAGCCCCACCTCTCCTGCTGGGATTTGCTGGAGCCTCATGCTGAACAGTTTGCAGCCTGGAGGGAGAGGGGGCAGGGGGTTTGCCAAGGGTATCAGACCACTCTGGACACTGTCCAGGACCTGGGGTCACCCTCCTGTGCTGGAGGGGCAGAGTTTCTACCCTTAAGGAGGCTGAGTGATTGCAAATAGCACTTTGAGGGGTGGGGTGTTGGTGGACAGAAAAGGTACAGTGTTCTGAAAAGCCAGTTTCTCGTATGTTTTCACTGCATGGTGCCCTAGAGAGGGAGGAGAGAGAACACATATGTCAACAGTTGGGGTCTCATTTAACCTTAGAAGAATAAGCCTGACTTCTTGGGCTTGTTTGTCATTAACTAACACAGTGGTGACCTTGGGCACATTCTTGCATCTCACTGGGGCCTCTCTGGTCCCATCTGCTGAAGGCTGGGTGACTGAAAAAGAGGGTACAGAAAACTCCAGCCCCCGTCCTAGCTCTGCTGCTCACCCAGGGACACACACAGTTAATACGTCACTTTGTTGATGTGAACTCCAGTGTCCTCTATAAAACACCTGTGGCACTCAAAGGTCATCATCGCTGTTTGGCAAACTTGTAAAGTTCTGGCTTTATTAGCACCTAGACGAGGGTTCTTAACCCGGCCAGAGTTTGGCTTTGGGGAGGTGGTGTCTGTGCATATGTTGAAAATGTAAACTAAGAGTTACAGTTATTGGGGTTTAGACCTTTTTATCCTTTTCAGGGGGCTGCAGTACTCCCCAAAAGGTCACTCTGATCTCAGCAGTTCTTTCTGGCTTTGACCTTTCTACAGCCATCCTTCCTCCCTCCCCCACTTCCCAGCCTTGTTCTTGCCTCCTGCTTCCCCCAACCCCCACCTTCAGCCCAGACCTTCCTATTCAGCGGCCCCCACCCCTTCAGGCTGCATCTCACCCCTCCCCCTGTCCTCCAGGCCCGGGAGCTCGGCTGCTCCAGTTTTCTCTGGCACAGTAGAAGAGGCTGCTGGTCAGGTGACACCTGGGGTAATGGAAAGGGGAGGCAGGGAGAGGCTGGTATGTGTGGAAACAGTGACTTGGTGAAGCCCAGCAGTCAGTGGCCAGGCCTGCGGGGACTGGCGGTGTCACTCTAGCCTCTGGGCGTGGGGGCAGATGTGGCACATGGCTGGCCCGGCTACCCAGAGTGGGGATACTCCTTGCCTTGGAGAAGCCCTGCCGGAGCCGTCTGTGGGACAGACTGACCTGGTCTGGAGGATGGCTTCCTTGGGGGTCGGTGAGGGAGGCTGGGAAGAGGCAGGAAGCCAGCACCCAGGGCTGATCTAATCAGCTGAGATAAGGCTGCAGCGTGGGCTCTCTACTCTGCTCTGAGAACACAGGAGGTTTGTTTACATCCCGAGAGCCTCCCTAGCCCTCGGATCCAGCAGGGATTTCGGATCTGCTGCCTAGATTACAAGCTCCAACTTCAATGCACCTCTGTCTCTGAGGCCCTGAGGGAGCCAGCCCCCTCCTGGCTGTCTCCACCGGTAATCGGAGCAATGCCCAGCTTGGTTACTGGGCTGGGACAGAGGGAGGCTTGTCTCTTTGAGACCTGTCTTTTACAGATTGGAAAACTGAGGCTCAGAGAAGGGAATTGTCCACGATCATCCAGGGAGTTAGTAACAAGGGTGCTGGGTCAGCTCCTGGCAGGGAGACATCCAGAGGCTCCTGAACCCTTCCCCCATTTCTAGCTGGCACCCTAGGATCCTGGAGTTCTTGCTGTGGGAATGGGCTGCCCTGAGGCTTGGTGAAAAGCTGGTTGCAGGCAGTGCCAGGCCTGGCTCTCTCCTGAGTGATTGTGTTCAGAGTAACCCGACCTTGAAGGCGACATTTGAACCCTCACTCCACCCCCACCCCCAGACCTGGTTTAACCATTCAGGCACCAGAGCACCAGACCATGGATTGGTGTGTAGTTTCTTTTTACCTTCTAGATTTTTATTTATTTATTTTGTCCCTGGGGACCCAGGTCCCCAAGTAGAATTTCAGGTGTTTCTGGTCACTGTCATTTGCACCTTCGGGGAAAATAAAAATGGTCTTTACCTCTGTCTGCTTAGGACAGGTGGTCAAAGCTGTGTGACCTTGGGCAGGTCTCTGACTATCTCTGTATCTTTTTTTCACAGTCTGAAGGGACCTGATTGGTTGTTGAAAAGTCTCTGGGCTCAGAAGCAAAATGATAACCTATTATAGATTATATTCCTTTACAGTTTGCAAAGCACCATCTCCCTGTCCCCAGGCTAGCTTCCTTCCAGCAACAGAACTGCCTCTGCAAGTTTTCCCAGGCCTCTGATCCTTTGAGCACTGATCCCACTGGCCAGGAGGAAGGCAGGTAGGGGTTAATCACAGCCACTATTCATTGATCACGTGCTGGGTCCCTTGCACACACAAATGCATTCCTCTTAATCCTCATCACCCTGCAAGGTGCTACCAGCCCTAGTCACAAAAGAGGAAACTGAGGATTTCAGAGATGAAATAAACTCCCAAGCTCATATAGTTAGGAAGTGGCAGAACTCACACTTGTGAATCTGCCTTGATGCACAACCACTCTGGGTGGTAGAGTCACAGTTGTGGGCCCCAGGTTTTAGCCATTCTGGGGAATGTCTGGCCCTTAAGAAGTGGGTGGGGTGGGGAAGAACAGTTACGAGTAGTGTACGCTGCTGGGGGTCTCCTGCTAGAAATCATTCTGGTGGGTCCAGGTGTTGGAGCCCCAGGTACTCACCATCCCCTCTCCCCACTAAATTTGGCTTGCCCAGTTATTACCCTTCTGGTCTTGCCTCCTGAAAGAAGGGTCAAGTGTGTCCCCGACCCTACCTCCCCTGGGGAGGAGCCAGGTCGGGAGAGGCTCTCATTAGTTCACAGTTATCCAAGCCCTGACCCTGAACTCCTCTCTGGTGCCCCAGCCAAGTTTCTGTTCCTTTGTTTAAGTGATATCACTTTCACCTTTGTTTACTCCTAGGCAGGGACAGGGTTGCCCTGGAGCCCTGGCCCAGCCAGTGTGTTGTGGACTGGCGGGTTAGGCTGGAGAGAAGTGAAGAGTGGGTGGCAGTGAGAAGCCTAGTTGTGGTTGGGACGTGTTCTTGAGGAAGATCTGGATTTGAATCCCAGCTCTAGCTTTCTAGTTGCATGACGTTGGATAAGTGACTCAGCTGAACCTCAGTCTTCTCATCTGCAAAATGGGTAGAGCACCTTGCAAGGCTGTTTTGCCATTTAAATGAACTTGTATAAACAAAGTACCCAGCATGGTGCTTGGCATGTAGTGGATACTCCTTTTAGTCACTCATGCTTTTCCTGGGGTGATAGAAGCCATAGGATTTGGGGATAGGGTTGGGATAGGACCTTTTCGTAGCTTCATGCCTATAGCCAAAAGACTAGATGGGGAGTATAACTGTAATGACAGCTGCTGCCTGTGGATTTGCTGAGACCCTTAGGGGCAGCCAACACCCTGGAAGGGGAGAGAAGATAATTCCAGTCTGGGAGCCAGGATACCTAGGTTCTAAGTCCATCTCCGCTGCCAGCTGCTTGGATGACCTTGGCAAAATCCCTTGTCTTGTCTGTTTGCTAGGTTATAAAATCAGATACCTTCTGTTGGCAGGTGTTAGTTTCTGTAGAACAAAAGAGCACTTCCCCTCCCTTCTTTCTCCCCAACAGTCTGGGGAAGAATGTAGTATCTCTAAACCCCCAGGCACTAATCCCAGATCCCCACCAGCCACAGGGCCAGCAGAGTCTGTGGGACCTAGGCCCATTGCCCTATTTTTTATTTTTTGGAGACAGGGTCTTCCTCTGTCACCCAGGCTGGAGTGCAGTGGCACGATCGTAGCTCACTGCAACCTCGACCTCCTGGGCTCAAGTGATCCTCCCACTTCAGCCTCCCGAGTAGCTGGGACCACAGGCGTGCACAACCACATTTGGCTAATTTTTGTAGAGATGGGGTTTCACCATGTTGCCCAGGCTGATCTCAAACTCTTGGGCTCAAGTGAGCCTCCCACCTTGGCCTCCCAAAATGTTGGGATTAAGCCACTGTGCCTAGCCACCACTGTCTTACTTAGTTGGTAATTTCTGTTGTGTGTTCATGAAAGGGACAAAGATACAAGGAGACTTGAGAGCCCAGAGAGGGTGCCTGTGCATGTATACACACGAACACACATGCCTGGGCAAAGGTGGGGTGAGCTGAGGAGAACAGACCACATTCTTAGCCAGGAGCAGGGCGGGGTCCATCTCTGGTCAGGGCTGGGCCTGGCTGCTGGGTGGCCTGGTTCTTCAAAGTCACCCCAGACTCAATGGGCTTTATCTGAAAAGAGGGCGGAGGAGAGGAGGACCGTTGGTGCCTTCCCAACCTTTACACAAAAAAGAGTGATTGCCCACAATCCCACGGGGCTTGGTCCCGTCTTGCTGGCCTAGTCCTAAATGGCTCTTATCCACTTTGGAGTTGCCTTCCCTCTTGTCAGAGGTCATGGGTGGAGAAGGGACCAAAACAGGGCAGAGAGGGGGCTTCCAGAGCTCAAGGAGAGATTTAATTCCCTGTGTCCTCCTATCACCACTGGGAGCTGGAAGAAGTTTCTTCCCAGCCCCTTGACTTGCTGTAGGAGGGAAATCCTGGGCTCATCTAAATGCAGCCTTTGAAGACTCCATCTTTTCAGAGCTTTGAAATAGGATCGAATCCAGGCCGTGCCGCGGAGCCCCGGGGTGACTTCAGACTAGACTAGTTTCTTTTTTGGAAACTGAGTATAAAAATGAAGGGTTAAGGATGAACAGGTGCCCACAAAGAGGGCTGAACTGGGAATAAATCTTGGTTTCAGCCTTGGTTTTGCTGCTGACTTGGCTGCAAGATCTTCACGCCCCACTTTCGCTCATAGCCTTCATTTCTCTAATGTAAAACGGAGGTAATTCCTAACAGCCAGTGGGCATGCTAATCCCATGGGTTGTTTTGAAATACCTCTTAGCACTTTCACATACTGAAAGAGAGGCTGGATGCATAAACAACCTTCCATGGCTCCTGGGGGCAGTGAGGGGTGGGAAAAGGTCTCTCAGCCTGAGACAAGTCTCCTGATGGAACTACAGCCCCTGTTGAGGACTTTGACCTGGTCAACAGCTGGCCAAAGTGTACCATTCTTTCTTTCTCCCGGCTAGATTGACCCCCCTACTTAACAGGGCTCCCTTGGAGCCTGGGGCAGGCTGGTGACCCCGTGTACATATGTGTTCATGCGTGTGTTTATGTGTTTGTGGTTAAATGTCCAGGTCAGTGAAGCCTGGGTTCTGGCCCAGTGTGGCTACTTCCTGCTTGTGTGGCCTTGGACAAGTGACTTTACTTTTCTGAGCCCTTGTTTCCATCTCTGCAAAAAGGGACTATTAAAAGGACCTAGACAGGCTGTGTGCTTGGTTAAGGCCTGTCACTTGGGTTCTTGGGGGATTTGCCACAGGAGATGGAGGTAGGAGCACAGGGACCCTGCCCTTAGGTATAGGCACTTGGGCAGCCATGAGGAGCCTTCCTCCTGCTCTGCCAAACCAAAGCCACAGGCACGGGCTATGTGCGGGGGCTTGAATTCCAGCACCAGCAGCCCGGCAGCTCCTGATTCCCGAGTCATGAAGTCATCTCTGAGCAGCACTTAACCTCTCTGGCTTTCCACCCCCACGGGTGCCAAGCGTTCAGCATTCTCCCCACTCCCCGGGAGAGAGTGATTCCTGGCCACTGCCTTCCTTGTGGCCTGACCCCGCTCCCTTCCGGGAATCCAGCATTCTCCCTCTGTGGGGGTGGAAGAGGGTGCATGAGGGTCAGGTTCCACCTGCCTCTCCCCAGAAGCCCAGTGGGGAGAGTACAGGAGTGGCTCTGAAGCAGCTTTCCTGGGCCTCTCCTGCAATGATAATAACCTTATCTTAGGGACAGATGTTCCTTCTCAGACACCCTCCTTTGTCAATGGCAGTCTCAGCTGAGTGAAGGACTGCCTGGGGTGTCCGAAACAGAGACCTGACCTCTTTCTATCCTGAGTTATGTAGCGAACGCTCTGTGTGACCTTGGGCAAGTCCCTGCCCTGTTCCGGGCTCAGATTCAAGTTGTGTGAAACGGGAGGACAGGAGCTCCTTGGGTCCTGGCATTCTGTGATTCTAAGCAGACCCCCAGCTCCTGCAGTTATGGCGTCTGGAGAAGATGGGAATGTCTTTCAGCGGGAGGGGCATGGTGTATTGAACTTAATGAAAAACCCCAACTCTCCTGGCAAATACTAGGCACTTTAGTGTTTGAATTAATTAGTAGAATAATGAACTTTGCTCAGAGCTGCTGTTCTCTGGGCAAACAGAAGCCTGAGCCCAGAAGCTGGAGGAAGGGTGATGGGCATCCAAATGTTTCCTGTGCTCTTGAGGGTACATTGTTCCCACTCGGTGGAGCTACAGGATGGGAGCAGGGTAACTGATGTACTGTAGGGCTGCCCGGGACCTTTGACACTTTCTTTTGGCAAGCGGTTTGGTGGGAGTGGACCTGAGACTCTGTCCTGATCAGCTGTGTCTCCACAGGGTAGTGGCTGAGTGATGATTATGGGTACTGGAGTGGATGGTCTGTGAGGGTAGGGATTGTGCCTCTCGGTGTCTGCATGGTGCTGGCAGCAGAGTAGATCTGTGGGAGATGTTTGGAAGGCAAGACTGAATCCAGGAGTACACTCCTGAGTCATCAGGTCTGGGCAGCGCCCTGACCTGAGGCTGTCTTAGGGTGTGCGTGAGGCAGCCCTGTCTGTCCCGGCCCAGACTGACTCAGCTGGGAAAAGTATCCTGGACTGGGCAAGACCAGAACCAGGAGCCCACTCCCTGTCCTGTGTGAATCAGCTGCCACTGCATCACAGAGCCCTGGAGTGTAGCATCCCAGGGCCCTGTGCATGGAGACTCCTGGCTCTGAAGTCAGGCAGCCCTGCGTATGCAATCCTCGCTCTTCCATCTGCCAGCTGTGTCACCAAAAGAAAATGACTCCCTCGGCTGTAAAAAGAAGTGAATAACATGCCTCCAGAGTTATTAAAACAGGGCCCAGCACATAGCAAGTGCTCGGTAAAGGATATCTAGCCATATTAATAATTTGATTATTACCTCATTTACTGTTTTTATTTTTTTTGAGACGGGGGTCCCACTCTGTAGCTCAGGCTAGAGTGCAACGGCGTGATCCTGGCTTATTGCAACCTCCGCCTCCCGGGTTCAAGCAATTCTCCTGTCTCAGCCTCCCGAGTAGCTGGGACTACAGGCGTAAGCCACCACGCCCAGCTGATTTTTGTATTTTTAGTAGAGACGGGGTTTCACCATGTTGGCCAGGCTGGTCTTGAACTCCTGACCTCAAGTGATCTGCCTGCCTCCGCCTCCCAAAGTGTTGGGATTACAGGTGTGAGCCACTGTGCCCAGCCTCATGTACTATTTTTATTTGCCCAGAATGGAAAGAGACTTGCCTAAGGACACGCGGTGAGTTAGAGGTAGAGTGGGATCCAGGACGCAGGTCTCCAGGCCCTGGCCTGGTCTCTTTCTAGTTTCTGAATGCCCACTTCACTAGCTTTTGGGCATCAGCTGTCATGGAGCACTGGGGATGTTGGCTGATGTGTCTCCTTTCTTTATCTTAGATCCGAGAGACTGAGGTCATCGACCCCCAGGACCTCCTAGAAGGCCGATACTTCTCCGGAGCCCTACCAGACGATGAGGATGTAGTGGGGCCCGGGCAGGAATCTGATGACTTTGAGCTGTCTGGCTCTGGAGATCTGGGTACGGAAGGTGTGCTGGGCAGGCGTAGGCACAAAGCTGGAGGGAGTGGTGGCTTCACCAGCCAGGAGGGTGACCATGCCTTGAGACTTGGATTTTTGTGGGACTTTTCCTAGAGTGCCCTTCTTCCTTCTCAAAAAAAGGGGAAACAAAAGTAATGGATTAACCTATTCCATCCCTGAGAGCCCCTGGGGACAAGCTGTTTGCTGCTTTGAAGTCATTGGTAGCTCTGGGTTTTCTGAGCTCCAGCCTGAACGTGTCCTCATAAGCTCTTCTCTTTTCTGCAGGGCATGGTGGGGGTGGGGTGAGGGTAGGATGGGTGGCAGGACAGGGTGGGAGTGGGGAAGGAGGACCCATAGAGTGTTTTCCTTTTTTTGAAAGGAAAAGTTCCAGCCTGGGCCACATGGTGAGAACTTGTCTCTACAAAAACACAAAAATTAGCTGGATGTGGTGGCATGCACCTGTAGGAGTCCCAGCTACTTGGGAGGCTGAGGTGGGACGATCCCTTGAGCCTAGGAGGTTGGGGCTGCAGTGAGCCAAGATCATGCTACTGCACTCCAGCCTGGGTGACAGAGTGAGACCCTGTCTCAAAACAAAAAAGGAAAAGTAGCAGCTTAGAAGTGGGGATGGGGTGGGAGGGGGCATGAGTGGGCAGAGATGTAGTTGGGAAACCAAGAACAAGTCCCTGCTTCAGTGGGGGTGGGGGCGGGTGAAGGGCCCAAGGCCTCTAGGCCAGACAGCTAATAAGTGTCCCTCCTATGTGCAGAGAGGTGTTAATGATTGCAAGTTTTAGCTTTGCAAGTTTTAGCTTTGGAGTCACATGGTCCTGAGTTCAAGCCTCCATCCTGTGTGAACTGAGCTTCAGTTTTCTAATCTGTAAAATGGGAATAATAAAGATAGTACATCAGTGTTGTGGGGACTGAACTGACTTAAAGCTTTTGGCACCTACCAAGCACTCAGTACGTGTGTGTTTGGTTTAAAAAAAAAATAAATTTTATGGCCGGGCACGGTGGCTCATGCCTGTAATCCCAGCACTTTGGGAGGCCAAGGCAGGCAGATCACGAGGTCAGGAGTTTGAGACCAGCCTGGCCAACATGGTGAAACCCCGTCTCTACTAAAAATACAAAAATTAGCCAGGTGTGGTGTCGAGTGCCTGTAATCCCAGCTACTTGGGAGGCTGAGGCAGGAGAATTGCTTGAACCCGGGAGGCAGAGGTTGCAGTGAGCTGAGATCACGCCATTGCACTCCAGCCTGGTGACAGAGCAAGACTCTGTCTTGAAAAAAAATAAAAATAAAAAAATAAATTTCATTATGTGCATACAACATGATATTATGGGATACATATAGATAGTAAAAATGTTACTACAGTGGAGTTAAGTAATATATCCATCATCTCACATAGTCGCCCAGGAAATGTTTTAATATTGCAGTTAGAGTTTTCTTTCTCAAAAGTTAATTCCCTGGGGATCTTGTTAAAATGTAGATTTTGGCCGGGCGCGGTGGCTTACACCTGTAATTGAAGCACTGTGGGAGGCCAAGGCAGGCGGATCACAAGGTCAAGAGATCGAGACCATCCTGGCCAACCAACATGGTGAAACCCCGTCTCTACTAAAAATACAAAAATCAGCTGGGTGTCATGGTGCACCCCTGTAGTCCCAGCTACTCGGGGGGCTGAGGCAGGAGAATCGCTTGAACCCAGGAGGCAGAGGTTGCAGTGAGCCGAGATGGCACCACGGTACTCCAGCCCAGGCGACAGAGAGAGACTCTGTCTCAAAAAAAAAAAAGTAGATTTTGATTCAGTCAGCCCTGAAATTCTACATTTCTTCTTCTTTTTTTTTTAACCAATGAATTATTTTTACTCTTTTTAAATAAGTGAAATATTAGCTTTAATGTTTTCTGATCATGACAATATTTTTAGATAAGAACATTTTAAACATTCAACAGTAAGAGACTATTGAAAATAAATGAAATTCATTGAATAGAAGTAATTAAAATAATAATGTAACTCTTTAAGCATTGTAATGGAAAGATGTTAATGATATATTGTTACGAGCCCATTATTGGGAAAAATGTATTTAGGAATACGTATGGAGGGAATTTATTTATTTATTTTTTTGAGACGGAGTCTTGTTCTGTCGCCCAGGCTGGAGTGCGGTGGTACCATCTTGGCCCACTGCAACCTCTGCCAACCGGGTTCAAGTGATTCTCCTGCCTCAGCCTCCCAAGTAGCTGGGATTACAGGCGCGTGCCATCACCCGTGGATAATTTTTGTATTTTCAGCAGAGACGGGGTTTCACTATGTTGGCCAGGCTGGTCTCGATCTCCTGACCTCAAGTGATCTGCCCGCCTTGGCCTCCCAAAATGCTGGGATTACAGGCGTGAGCCACCGCGCCTGGCCTTGAAATTCTACATTTCTAACCAGCTCTCAGGTGTTGCTATTGGTTTTTGGATCCACACTTTGCAGAGCAAGGGTTTAGAGCTGATGAAGCCTCTGCCCAGCTGCCAGCTCACACATTCCTGTGAAAGAGCCAGGGGGTGGGTCTGAGGAGCCCCATTTTACAGATGAGATGACTGAAGTAGGGGTGGGGAAGCTCGCTTGCTGGACATTGAGCATTTGGAAGCTGGTTGTAAGGTGGAGCTCCCACCAGTCCTGGCTGAAGGGGTCATTTTCCTGGGGTAATGGACCTCACTCACACAGCTATTCTGACCTTACAGATGACTTGGAAGACTCCATGATCGGCCCTGAAGTTGTCCATCCCTTGGTAAGTAGCTACATGCTTCTGCCTCTTCCACTTTGCTCCTCTATAGCAGACCTATTGGGAGAGGCAGAAAATACAGCCCCCATAGGCAGAATAAGTGAGGGGTCTTACCCCACTATGCGGGAAGGCTTTTTAAAAATCTGGCCCTGGGGTGGGCATGGTGGCTCAGGCCTGTAATCCCAGCACTTTGGGAGGCTTGAGGTCAGGAGTTCAAGACCAGCCTGGGCAACACGATGAAACCTGTCTCTACATAAAATACAAAAATTAGCCAGGTGTGGTGGCATGTGCCTGTAGTCCCAGCTACTTGAGAGGCTGAGGTGGGAGAATGGCTTAAGTCCAGGAGGCAGAGGTTGCAGTGAGCCAAGATTGTGCCAGTGCACTCCAGCCTGGGTGACAGAGCCAGACTGTGTTAAAACAAACAAACAAACAAACAAATCTGGCCCCAGGCTCATTTTGTAGGTTGCTGGTAGGCCATCCTCCCTGCAGGGATAGTCACCGTCAACACCAACTCCTTTTCTCTACATTTATAGCTATTTCCTAGCATTGATAGAAAAGTATATATATAGGCCGGGCACAGTGGCTAATGCCTGTAATCCCAGCACTTTGGGAGGCTAAGACGGGCAGATCACCTGAGGTCAGGAGTTCGAGACCAGCCTGGCCAACATGGTGAAACCCTATCTCTACTAAAAATACAAAAAATTAGCCTGGCACAGTGGCGTGCGCCTGTAGTCCCAGCTACTTGATTGGGAGGCTGAGGTAGGAGGATCGCTTGAACCTGAGAGGCAGAGATTGCAGTGGGCAGAGATTGCACCATTGCACCCCAGCCTGGGCGACAGAGACTCCCTCTCAAAAAAAAAAAAAAAAAGTATATATATATAATTCTATGAACTGCGTTTTTCACTTAGACTGGTCATGAGTATTTCCCTGCATAATTTAATGCTCTTGTCATTTTTATAGGCTGCGTAATAGTTTACCTGATTCCCTTTATTGACGGAAAAATGGCTTATAATTTGTTAACATTTTAAAATTATAACACTGCAGCAAACATCTTTTTTATTTTTGCAAAGCAATAACAAGTTTATTAAGAAAGTAAAGGAATAAAAGAATGGCTACTCCATAGGTAGAGCAGTGGCATTGGCTGCTGGTTGCCCATTTTTATGGTTATTTCTTGATTATATGTTAAGCAAGGGGTAGATTATTCATGAGTTTTCCAACAAAGGGGTGGGCAATTCCCAGAACTAGGGGCTCCTCCCCTTTTTAGACCATATAGAGTAACTTCCTGACTTTGCCAGGGCATTTGTAAATTGCCATGGCACTGATGGGAGTGTCTCTTAGCATGCTAATGTAGTATAATTAGCATATAATGAGCAGTGAGACCAACAGTTTCATTGCCATCCTGTTTTTGGTGGTTTTTGGCAAGCTTCTTTATTGCAACCTGTTTTATCAGCAAGGTCTTTATGACCTGTATCTTGTGCAGACCTCCTATCTCATTCTGTTACGTAGGATGCTTAACTTACTGGGAATGCGGCCCAGCAGGTCTCAGCCTTATTTTACCCAGCCCCTATTCAAGATGTAGGCACTCTGGTTCAAACACCTGACATTTTCCCCCTCCCTTTTGTAAGAAAACCCTTAATCCTAAGGGTTGCAGAGGGACAAAGATCCATCTTCTATAACTTCTTCATGCTGAATAGGGTGATGATATTCCTGCTTAACTATTAGGGCCTCTTGT
Source organism: Homo sapiens (assembly GCF_000001405.40). NCBI lineage: Eukaryota > Metazoa > Chordata > Mammalia > Primates > Hominidae > Homo > Homo sapiens. The sequence goes on along the minus strand of NC_000020.11, from coordinate 45,331,296 downwards.
ATCCATGGTAGAGAGGGGTTCAGTCAGAAAGGGCCAGTATGGTGAGGGCCATTCATAACTCTTAGTTCTGACAAAAGGTGATATCCAAAGTCCTCCAATCAGTGCTGCAGTCCATTTCCTTTGATTCGGGAGTCTCCTCCGTCTCATCCCTTCTGTGGTTCTCCAGAAAGATGTTACCAGAAAGGGGTCCCGATCCAGACCCCAAGGGAGAGGGTTCTTGGATCTTGCACAAGGTAGAATTCAGGGTGAGTCCATAGAGTAAAGTGAAAGCAAGTTTATTAAGACAGTAAAGGAATAAAAGAATGGCTACTTCATAGGCAGAGGAGCTGCAGCAAGCATCTTTTACACGTAGTCTCTGAAGAGCTCCTTACAATAGAGTTTCCAGGGCAAAACTGCCACCTTAAAGGGCAAGCGATGTCTAAGGTTTTGCCAAATTGCTTCCAGAGTGGTTGCTCTAGAATAACCAGTGGCCAGCAGTGCAGGAGAGCACCTGCTTCCCTGTTCCCTTGGGTGCATTCATTTTTCATTTGGGACAGATATACTAAAAAAGTTGGGGATAAGGATTTTGGCAGCATAATTGTGGAGACAGTGTTGCCAATTCCTGCTCCAGGACCATATGGTTCAGCTGAATATGGCAGAACCAGATTCTCTGCCTGGCTGAATGTCCCTGTCCCCTGCCCTGAGTCTCTTCCAAAATACGCTGAGTGTCTCTTCTCCTTTCCGCCCATCCAGGTGCCTCTAGATAACCATATCCCTGAGAGGGCAGGGTCTGGGAGCCAAGTCCCCACCGAACCCAAGAAACTAGAGGAGAATGAGGTTATCCCCAAGAGAATCTCACCCGTTGAAGAGAGTGAGGATGTGTCCAACAAGGTGTCAATGTCCAGCACTGTGCAGGGCAGCAACATCTTTGAGAGAACGGAGGTCCTGGCAGGTAAGTCCCCATGCTGCTTATAAGATGCCTTGAAGGTGGAATGGGGCTCAGCGGGGGAGAGCACCTGCAGGCAGGGATGCCTCCAGCCATGAGGCTCCTTGGTGCCCCTTCCTTTTGCCTATTCAGGTTGCCCTAGAACATTGAAAGACTACACCTTCCTTATGGGGTGGCTCTGACTGTGCAGCCTGGTGGAGGGAGAGGAAAAAGCACCTATCAAAGTCTTCTGGAAAATAGGCATTGAGTCATTCTTCTGCCTTAAGTCTTTCTCATTTATTTTGCAAAGGACTTTCACTGTATAAGTTTGGCATCTGGGAGTTAATCATTAAAAGTTAATTTCCCTTGTAAGTCTGGAGGCTCCTTCGAATTGGGTTAGCTTCCCCTCCCCCTACTCTATCACTTGGCAGCCTTGTGACCTTGGCTGAGAAGCTTTCGAACTTGATGAGCCTCAGTTTCCTTATCTGTAAAATGGGTACAGTGATACCTTCTGGGGTTGATATAATGAGTCCATGAAAAATAAAATATGAAATAACTTTGCACACTATAAAGGGCTATTCCGATTTGGCCTCAGTTGAGAGTTCTTTACTGGAATGTGCGGTGAGGAATGCTTTGTCCCAGGTGTTGACAAAAGGGATGGAGGGAACTCCCCAAGGTCATGGCCGAGGGCCAGCCTGGATGAACCGGCCTGGCAAGTGGGCACCCTGGGCCCATGCTGGGTAACTCCTGTCTCCTGGGAATCAACAGAGCCAGCAGCTCCAAGGAGGCTTGAGCTATAGGGACAGAGCCTGGCTTCATCCAGGACAGATGGAAGGTCTCACCTGCCTCTTGTAAAGAGGGTTCCTGGGAGCACAGCCCCTGATGACTGGGCCCACCTCAGCCCTGACCCTGGCTTCCTGGTATCTGAGCCAAAGTTCTTTTTACTTTTCTTTCAGAAGTAAAAAGATTTGCATAAGACTTTGGATTTGCATAAGGTTTTGCTCTAATTAACTAAAGGTGCTATTGCTTCTAAAGAAAAATTTGAAAACCACTGATTAATCTAAGCACCTGCTTCTTATACATGGGGAGACTGAGGCCCAGGCTTTAGGCCACATAGTAAGAAAAGAACTGAAGCCAGGTTATCTCTTTAATCTTCCATTTGAGAATTATACAAGCCTAAGAGCCTCATGTGAAAAGTTATATTGTTAGCTGGTGTGGTGGAATCCCCCATTCCAGAAGCTTTAATCAGCACCCAGGAGCCTTATTAAATGCTTGCTGTATGCTGTATGATTCCTGTGCCCCTGATTGAGTCCGTACAACACAAAACTCAGTCTAAAGAACTTATCCGAAGTCACAAAGCTGGAAGTGGCAGACCTGGCATTTGGACTGAGGACCACAGTCAGCTTCTGAGCCTGTGCTTGAAACTTGACCCTGTGGGGCATCCCAGCGCAGACCCAGGGCCTCGTGGAGGAACTGGGGTCATCAGAGGGAAAGGTGATAGAGACAAGAATGGGGTTGATGCCTGATATTCCATGTGCTTGCTCTGGCACCTCCTGGGGGTACTTTTTTGTTGCTTTTTCATAGGATTTTACCCAAGAAAGAACCTTGCTTGACTCCTCTGTGCCACTCTGTCCCCATTGTGTACATAGATTTGTAGTGTGTGCAGGGATGGAAAATTAATCTTCTTAGCCCGAGTAAGACCGAATTAGGGAACTCAATCTGCCACAGAAGGGATTCTATGAAGCATCCCTGCCCCTAGCAAACAGGAATGAGTCATTCAGGCCACCTGGCAGAGTGGACAGGCCAGACCCACTCACTGTTAGAAGCCCATCTCTGCCCAACACTAGGCAGGTTCTCCTCTCGGAGCCTGAAAGTATCATTTATTAAGCACCTCCTGTTGTGCACACCTGATTCAGGGGGTTCGGGACACAGATATAAACCTTAAACCCTTACAGTTAATGAATCTTGAGAATATGCTATGCACTAGGCATTGTTCTAAGCACTTTGAGTGGATTAATTTATTTAATCCTTAGGACAAATGTATGAGAAAGGTATGGCTCTTCCCATTTTGCGGTAGGGAGATGAAGGAAACTTGCCCCAAATCACACAGCCAGGAAGTAGGAGAGGTAGGAGTGGAAACCAGGCCTTAGCTACTGAGTTCTGTATGTAATTGTAACATAAGAGTTTGGAATTAGTATGTTCTGCATGTGTGCACTTTGAATGTACATACCTGTCTATGAAGTGTAGGCTATATAGGTAAATATGCACACAGGGAGAGCTAGAGAGTGCCCTGTGCTAAGGACTGCAGGATAAATATGTCTACAGGGATTTCCATAGCCTACGGTTTTCTCCTGTTCCTGGTTCAGTTAGTGCTAGACTGTTGCAGGGGAGTCCGCGTGGTGTTTGGAAAGAGCCTAGGCTTTAGATTCAGGCAGATGTGGGTTAAAATAGTGGCCTTGGCCGAGTGCGGTGGCTCACGCCTGTAATCCCAGCACTTTGGGAGGCCGAGATGGGCAAGGTCAGGAGTTCAAGACCAGCCTGGCCAACATAGTGAAACCCTATCTCTACTAAAAATACAAAAATTAGCCGGGCATGGTGGCACGTGCCTATAATCCCAGCTACTCAGGAGGCTGAGGCAGGAGAATTGCTTGAACCTGGGAGGTGGAGGTTGCAGTAAGCCGAGATCACGCCACTGCACTCAGCTCGGGCAACAGAGTGAGACTTCGTCTCAAAAAGAAAAAGGAGTGGCCTTACCACTAGCCCTGTGGTCTTCAGTGACTTAAAATGCCAACGACCCACTTCTTATAACTGGGGTCATGAGGTCAACTTAAATAAGGCATCAGCTTGCCTGGCACAGGCAGTGGTGATGGTGAGGATGTCTGGTTGTAAGAGAACTGACAGTGGGGGAAAGAGGGGTTCATCCTTAGGTCCTGATGAGGAGCTCTCACCCCCGCCTCTTCTCTCTCCTCCTCTCCAGCTCTGATTGTGGGTGGCATCGTGGGCATCCTCTTTGCCGTCTTCCTGATCCTACTGCTCATGTACCGTATGAAGAAGAAGGATGAAGGCAGCTATGACCTGGGCAAGAAACCCATCTACAAGAAAGCCCCCACCAATGAGTTCTACGCGTGAAGCTTGCTTGTGGGCACTGGCTTGGACTTTAGCGGGGAGGGAAGCCAGGGGATTTTGAAGGGTGGACATTAGGGTAGGGTGAGGTCAACCTAATACTGACTTGTCAGTATCTCCAGCTCTGATTACCTTTGAAGTGTTCAGAAGAGACATTGTCTTCTACTGTTCTGCCAGGTTCTTCTTGAGCTTTGGGCCTCAGTTGCCCTGGCAGAAAAATGGATTCAACTTGGCCTTTCTGAAGGCAAGACTGGGATTGGATCACTTCTTAAACTTCCAGTTAAGAATCTAGGTCCGCCCTCAAGCCCATACTGACCATGCCTCATCCAGAGCTCCTCTGAAGCCAGGGGGCTAACGGATGTTGTGTGGAGTCCTGGCTGGAGGTCCTCCCCCAGTGGCCTTCCTCCCTTCCTTTCACAGCCGGTCTCTCTGCCAGGAAATGGGGGAAGGAACTAGAACCACCTGCACCTTGAGATGTTTCTGTAAATGGGTACTTGTGATCACACTACGGGAATCTCTGTGGTATATACCTGGGGCCATTCTAGGCTCTTTCAAGTGACTTTTGGAAATCAACCTTTTTTATTTGGGGGGGAGGATGGGGAAAAGAGCTGAGAGTTTATGCTGAAATGGATTTATAGAATATTTGTAAATCTATTTTTAGTGTTTGTTCGTTTTTTTAACTGTTCATTCCTTTGTGCAGAGTGTATATCTCTGCCTGGGCAAGAGTGTGGAGGTGCCGAGGTGTCTTCATTCTCTCGCACATTTCCACAGCACCTGCTAAGTTTGTATTTAATGGTTTTTGTTTTTGTTTTTGTTTGTTTCTTGAAAATGAGAGAAGAGCCGGAGAGATGATTTTTATTAATTTTTTTTTTTTTTTTTTTTTTTTACTATTTATAGCTTTAGATAGGGCCTCCCTTCCCCTCTTCTTTCTTTGTTCTCTTTCATTAAACCCCTTCCCCAGTTTTTTTTTTATACTTTAAACCCCGCTCCTCATGGCCTTGGCCCTTTCTGAAGCTGCTTCCTCTTATAAAATAGCTTTTGCCGAAACATAGTTTTTTTTTAGCAGATCCCAAAATATAATGAAGGGGATGGTGGGATATTTGTGTCTGTGTTCTTATAATATATTATTATTCTTCCTTGGTTCTAGAAAAATAGATAAATATATTTTTTTCAGGAAATAGTGTGGTGTTTCCAGTTTGATGTTGCTGGGTGGTTGAGTGAGTGAATTTTCATGTGGCTGGGTGGGTTTTTGCCTTTTTCTCTTGCCCTGTTCCTGGTGCCTTCTGATGGGGCTGGAATAGTTGAGGTGGATGGTTCTACCCTTTCTGCCTTCTGTTTGGGACCCAGCTGGTGTTCTTTGGTTTGCTTTCTTCAGGCTCTAGGGCTGTGCTATCCAATACAGTAACCACATGCGGCTGTTTAAAGTTAAGCCAATTAAAATCACATAAGATTAAAAATTCCTTCCTCAGTTGCACTAACCACGTTTCTAGAGGCGTCACTGTATGTAGTTCATGGCTACTGTACTGACAGCGAGAGCATGTCCATCTGTTGGACAGCACTATTCTAGAGAACTAAACTGGCTTAACGAGTCACAGCCTCAGCTGTGCTGGGACGACCCTTGTCTCCCTGGGTAGGGGGGGGGGAATGGGGGAGGGCTGATGAGGCCCCAGCTGGGGCCTGTTGTCTGGGACCCTCCCTCTCCTGAGAGGGGAGGCCTGGTGGCTTAGCCTGGGCAGGTCGTGTCTCCTCCTGACCCCAGTGGCTGCGGTGAGGGGAACCACCCTCCCTTGCTGCACCAGTGGCCATTAGCTCCCGTCACCACTGCAACCCAGGGTCCCAGCTGGCTGGGTCCTCTTCTGCCCCCAGTGCCCTTCCCCTTGGGCTGTGTTGGAGTGAGCACCTCCTCTGTAGGCACCTCTCACACTGTTGTCTGTTACTGATTTTTTTTGATAAAAAGATAATAAAACCTGGTACTTTCTAAACTGCTTGCCTCTGTCATTTTCGTTCATAACAAGTCATCCTTTTTGGGCTCTGTATCCCCTTGATCTCAGTGGAGCATGAAGAAACTCCCCGGACCAAATCCCCTACGGGGTGCCAGACATGCCGGGGGTGGGCAGAGGGTGGGGGCAGAGAGGTAAGAAGGCAGGAAGGGGCCTAGAGAAGAGGGAAGACTTCAGAACATGCACCCTGATGGCCTATGCAGCATATCACCCCTACTTCAAGGTTTTGTTTAGGTGGCACTGTGTTTAAATAGCAAACACAAAAATCTTTGCGTCAGTTGCCATCCATAGAAATCAGGAGGTTTCTCATAAAAATCCAGATTTCTCACTTTTCTTGGGAAAAAGAAATAAAAAAAATTGGCAACTGTCAGCCTGCATGGCAACAAGAGAGCTGCTGAGCGGCAGGCACCCATCTAGATGTGGGCTCTCCGCACCACTGTCTCCGCCTGCTTCACTCAGGCCACTGCTGCAGCCAGGCTGGCTGGCAGTCTCCGGAAATAGCATGGGCCATCTTTCTTGACCACTATAACAACCCTGTGAGGTGGGTAAGATCCTTGTTACCAAGAGGGCAACCTGCCCCTAGTGTGTCTGGAGAGTCGAACCTTAATTTCAGGTCCTTGGACATTGGTGATCTTCCTTTGGCACCATGTTGCCCAGTACTTTGCTGGGGTTGGGGAAAGGACGCAAACAGGAATTGGTGGTAGTTGGAGCAAACCCTCCCATACACACCATGTGGCCAGGAACCCATTCTTAGGGCTTTATACCAGATCCCATTTAATTGTCAGATCTCCACAGAGTAGGTGCTATTAGTAACCCCATTTGACAGATAGGGAAACTGCATCTAAGAGGTTAAATACCTTGCTCAAAGCTACACAGCTTACCAGTTGTAGAGGTGAGATTTGAACCCCGGCAGTCGGGCTCTAGAGTGCTAACAACTGCACTGCCTATCAAGGGGTTTATATCACCCAAGGCTCCCTCACTGGGGGCTGTTCATGCCCCTGCAAACCCCCTCTGAACCAGTGATTCTGGTCTTAAATCTCGTGGCAGCTTAAATCTCTCCTGAGACTTTGCCACACTGTTTTTCTGAGTCCCATGAGGTTGAGTGGGTCTCTGTTCTCCTAACTTGTGTCTTGTAGAAGGCCCTCACATCTGTTAGATCTGTGCTGACCACTATGGTAGCCACTGGGAACTGTGGCTATATTATAAATTTAAATTAATTATAATTGTAAAAATAAAAATTCTGCTTCTTAGTTGCACTAGCCTTGTTTTAAGTGCTCAACAGCCACATGTGGCTAGTGGCTACTGTATCAGGTGGTGCAGACACAGAACATTTCCAGTTGTAGAAATTCCTGTTAGGGCTGCTTTGGATGGTGTGAGACTGAGTCAGGACCTCTGGGTTTGGGTTTCAGCTTTTACCAGCTGTTACCTTGTGATCCAACAGCCTATAGGGAGGCAAGTCAGAGCTTAGCACACAATAAGTGCTCAATATATGGTGTTCTCATCATCAGTGCCATCTTTTTGGGTAAAGTATTAGTTTAAGAAGACCCCCCCAGGAGATTGAGACGATCCTGGCTAACACGGTGAAACTCCATCTCTACTAAAAGTACAAAAAAAATTAGCCGGGCGTGGCGGCGGGTGTCTGTAGTCCCAGCTACTCGGGAGGCTGAGGCAGGAGAATGGCGTGAAGCGGGGAGGCGGAGCTTGCAGTGAGCCGAGATCGTGCCACTGCACTCCAACCTGGGCGACAGAGCGAGACTCCATCTCAAAAAGAAAAAAAAAAAAAGAAGACCCCCATATTATCTATTGATATTTAAAATTACCCCCAAACTTAGGGGCTTATAACAACATAAATATTATCTCACATTGTTTCTGTGAGTCAGAAGTCAGGAGCATTAGCTGGGCGATTCTGGCTCCATCTTGTGAGGTTGCAGTCGACGTTGGCCAGGTCTTGCTGTCATCTGAAAGCTTGACTGGGCTGGAGGATCCACTTCCAAGATGGCTCAGTTACATTTCTGACAACTTGGTGCTGGCTATTTTGGCAGGAGGCCTCAGTTCCTCATTGCGTGGACCCACATAGAGCTGATTGACAGTCCTCGTGATGCGGCAGCTGGTTTCTCTCAGAACAAGCGATCCAAGAGAGCCACCAAGTGGAAGCTACAGTGACTTTTATGACTTAGCTTGGAAGTCACCCACTATCTCTTCCATAATATTGCATGGGTCACATGGGTCAGCCCTATTCATTGTGACAGGAGACCACCCAGGGGCAGGAGCACCTGGATACAAGACTCATTGGAAGCCATCCTAAATGCTGGCAGACATAGCCCCATCAGTGGTCAACCTCGACTAGGGCTTTATCTGTCTGGAGAGCCAACTCTGGTTATTTCTGATAATATATAATATTTCTGAGAATTGGGCAGTGGATGCAAAATGGATTTTGGACACTATTGGTCCACTTTTTGTTTTTTAATTTTTTGAGGTGGAGTCTCACTCTGTCGCCCAGGCTGGAGTGCCATGGTATGATCTCAGCTCACTGCTATCTCTGCCTCCCAGGTTCAAGTGATTCTCCTGCCTCAGCCTCCCAAGTAGCTGAGATTACAGGCATGTGCCACAATGCCTGGCTAATTTTTGTATTTTTAGTAGAGACAGGGTTTCACCATGTTGTCCAGGCTGGTCTCAAACTCCTGATCTCATGCGATCCGCCCACCTCGGCCTCCCAAAGTGTTGGGATTACAGGCATGAGCCACCACACCCGGCCAAAATGTAGGCACAGGTTTAACTAGTTTTCTGTTTGTTTCCAACCTCGATTAAACTCACTAAATTTAGGGGGAAAATCTCGTGTTTTGGCCCGGTCTCAAACTGGTGACCTTTCATGTGTGAGGCGAATGTGATAACCACTACATTACAGAAGCCAGGCATGGGCCCACTTTTTGTTCATGATCTTGCCAATCTTCAGAGGTAGCAAAACCATGGGACAATGCCTGCATGGGGTGTGGGAAGGCCTACAAGTGAAACACATCTCCCCTACTTATGATTTGCTATGTTGTTTGGGGAGTAGACAGAATTCTAAGATGGCCTGCAAGATTTCTGCCCTATATATACAACCTGTATAATTCTCTCTCCTTGAGGACCTGTAAATATGATGGGATGCCACAAGGTTTATGATTAGTTTACATTAGATAGCAAAGGTGAAAGTGCCCATCTGGTGGCAAGCAGCCAGCTGTAGTGGGGGTTTATCACTTTGCCCTCTAAATGCATTATTGTGCCACTGCTACCCTGCCTGCCTTTGTCCCTTAGGGTCTGGAACAGGGCCAAGCCTGTCTAGGAGGCTGTTCTGAGCTGGTCTGTGGCAAAACCTTATAGATGGTTTTGTTTGTTTGTTTTTCTTTTTTTAGACAGTCTCGCTCTGTTGCCCAGGCTGGAGTGCAGTGGCACAATCTCGGCTCACTGCAACCTCTGCCTCCTAGGTGCAAGCGATTCTTGTGCCTCAGCCACCCAAGTAGCTGGGACTACAGGTGCACGCCACCACGTCTGGCTACATTTTGTATTTTTTATTTTTTGAGACAGAGTCTTGTTGTCACCCAAGCTGGAGTGCAGTGGCGTGATCTCAGCTCACTGCAACTTTCGCCTCCTGGGTTCAAGCGATTCTTCTGTCCCAGTCTCCCAAGTAGCTGGGATTACAGGTGTGAGCCACCGTGCCCAGCCTATTTTTGTATTTTTAGTAGAGACGGGGTTTTACCATGTTGGCCAGGCTGGTCTGGAACTCCTGACCTCAAGTGATCTGAAGTGATCTGCCTGGCTCGGCCTCCCAAAGTGCTAGGATTACAAGTGTGAGCCACCATGCCTGGCCACAACCTTATAGATGTATTATGGGTTTCACTTCCCTTAAAACCACTTCCTCTTTCCCTTGCCATCTTCACAGGTCTGTGCCCTACCCAGGGGGAAGCTGTCAGAGAATTTTACCTATGCTGTGGTTATAACTTAATAGAAGTTAAAAAAAAAAAAGAAAGAAAGAAAGAGAGAGAAACCCCAAGGTCGGTACTTACTGGGGAACTAGCTTGTTAATAATGGTGGAACACCAGGCAGCATGAGAGCTGGTAAATTGGAGATTTGGGCCTTATCCTCACTACATGCCCCATCCCCACCCTCTGCAACACACATGTCACCTACACACAGCAGCGTGGTAGAATGAGAATGAAGAGAAACTCAGAGCCCCAGATTTAGTGGTAGGAGTGCAGGATTTGAATCAATTGTAGGCTTTGCCATCTGCTGTGACCTTAGCCTCCTCTCTTGGAGCCTCAGTTTCCCCATCTATAAAATGAGGAGGAAATACTGACTAGGGCCATGATTCTTAACCCTGGCTGCTCACTAGATTCACATGGGAGGGTTTCAAACAATACAGATGCCTGAGCTCCACACTCAGAGATGTTAATAGAATTGTTCCATGGCGTGGCCGGTATATTATTAGTATTATTTTTTTTTTTGAGACGGAGTTTCACTCTGCTGGAGAGACCCTAGGCTGGAGTGCAGTGGCGTGATCTCAGTTCGCTGCAGCCTCTGCCTCCTGGGTTCAAGCAATTCTCCTGCCTCAGCCTCCTGAGTAGCTGGGATTACAGGCACACGCCACCACGCCTGGCTAATGTTTTGAATTTTTAGTAGAGACAGGGTTTCACCATGTTGGCCAGGCTGGTCTCAAACTCCTGACCTCAGGTGATCCACCCACCTCGACCTCCCAAAGTGCTGGGATTACAGGCGTGAGCCACTGCGCCCGGCCCGGTATATTAATTTTTATAGCGTGGCAAATGATTCTAATATAAAGAGGACTAAATTAATCCATAAATGGGTTTTAGTGTTAGGAAATTCCCTGGAAGTATGTAGAATTCTGTGCATAAACCCCCAAAGGGTCTCCCTCTGTCACCCAGGCTGGAGTGTAGTGGCACAATCACAGCTCACTGCAGCTTCCACTACCTGTGCTCCAGTGATCCTCCCTCCTCAGCATCCCCCCGCCCCCACCCCATAGCTGGGACTACAGGCGTGCACCACCACACCGGCTAATTATTATTATTATTTTTTTATTTTTTTGAGACGGAGTCTCACTCTGTCCCCCAGGCTGGAGTGCAGTGGCACGATCTCGGCTCACTGCAAGCTCCGCCTCCCGGGTTCACGCCATTCTCCTGCCTCAGCCTCCCAAGTAGCTGGGACTACAGTCGCCCGCCACCACGCCTGGCTAATTTTTTGTATTTTTTGGTAGAGACGGGGTTTCACCGGGTTAGCCAGGTTGGTCTCTTATCTCCTGACCTCGTGATCCGCCCGCCTCGGCCTCCCAAAGTGCTGGGATTACAGGCGTGAGCCACTGCGCCCGGCCCTATTTTTACATTTTTTTGTAGAGATGGGGGAGGGGGTCTTGTTATGTTGCCCAGGGTGGTCTCGAACTCCTGGGCTTAAGTGATCCTTGCGCCTCGGCCTACCAAAGGGCTGGGATTAAGGCCCGGTTTTTAAATATAAATAAAATGAGAACTTAATGCTCGGGTGGAGAACAGTGCCACCTGCCGGTTTCACTTTGCATTAGCAATATCTAAATATCTGCCAATGCCATATAATGCAATTCACTGTTTATTGAGCACCAACTCAACATGCGAGGCATTGTGATGCACCCTTTAGGACATGCAGAGATAAGAGCTCCTTTCCCCATGAAGATGGCAGCCTAGAGGAGACAATGGGCATGTAGGTAAAACCTTTGATCCAAAGCAGGCAGTCGATATGGTCCCATTGAGGGTCTGTGGGAATACAAGAAAAAAGCCTGGGGCCAGGGCTGGCTTCGTGGTTGTGCAGCCTGTGCTTGGAAGGCCCCTGCACTTGGTTTCATCATTTCCTGTGGCTGTCTTGAAGTTCTTTTTTTTTTTTTAATCCCGTGTTCAGTCGAATTGAAATTCTTGAATAATTTTTGAACAACGGGCCATTTTGCACTGGGGCCCACAAATTATATAGCTAGTTCTACCTAGAGTAGTTTGGGAAATTTTGGAAGAGGCGACACAGGACCTGGCAGGGCAGTAGTGGAGGGAGAGGAAAACAGGAGGCATATGGTAGTGTGGAAGTGGGGGTGGGATCCTTAGGCCTGGGTGACTGGGTGGTGTGGGGGAAGGAGCTAGAGGTGGTGCTGCAAGGCAGGTGGAGAGGGAAAGGAGTTTGATGTTAGATGGCTTCAGACTCAGTGCAAGGAAGACCTCCAAGGACAGTTTCAGCAGCTGGAACTCAGAAGCTAGGCCAGGGCTGGAGCTTTGGTCACAGACTTCCAGATGGATACCTTGGGGACACCAAAGGTTATAGGATCCCCTGAGATGGGTGAGGACTAAGACAGAGCTGTATGGCTGGGTCTGGGCTTTTGGTCCAACCTAGATTATTGGCTTCTGGGACTCCTGCCTTGAGGAGTGGTGGAGGAAGACTTTGGGGGCAGGGCTGGACGATGAGCGCTTGAGCCCCAATTCCCCATGTGGTGCGCTATGACACTCTTCTCAGCCTCCTCCCTCCTGGCTGCCTGCTTCAACACCACCATGGACGGTGAGTCAGGCGCTCATTTCAGGGACATTTCCCATTCAACTCATTTGCTGCCTTCCTCAGCCAAGATTCACCTTCAGGGGCCACAGGCTTCTTCCTCACCCCTCACAGTGGGTTGCAGCCTGCTGATGGCAGATGGCAGAACTTAGTCAAGACTTTGGGAAGGCTAAAGAACATACCCCATTTCCTCTCCTCTGCGTATTGTTCGTTTCTTTTTTCTCATGGGACTTTCCATACCCTGGGGGAGGAGTTTTACAAGAAATGAGCTCTTCCTTAGGAGGGCAAGCTCTTCTCCAGAGGGTTAGAACCTAGAACCCACATTTCAGACCAGTTTTCCCATCAGGCACCACCAGAGGCTGGTGCAGGTAGCTGGCACCCATGATACTTATCTGTGTCCTTGATTCCAATAGCCCAAGCCAGTGTTCTGCCTGGTTTTTTTTTCCTTCCCTATAAAGCACAGACTGGGTAGAGTGGTACCTAGGGTGGGTAGGCTGGTGGGGAATAGATTGTGATTCTGTCCATCAGCCCCATGCAGAGAGGCCCCCCTCTCAACTACATTACTGCCCAGTCAATCCCAGGAGTTCTGCCCAGGGCTATCCTGGGAAAGCTTTGTTTTGAAAGGGTCCCGTGGTCACCTCTGGGCCTGGGGTGCACCCTTGCTTGGGATGGAGAGATAGCTAGTAGGGTAACAACCCCAGGGCAGGGACAGGGACTCAGGATGCCAGCTGCCTCTGCACCCTGTTCCTCCTCTAGAAAACGTCCAAAAGGTAGGCTCTCTGCTCCATCAGACTTGTGGTTCTTTTCTTTCTGTGCAGGTCCCCTCTTTTGTGTGTTGGTGCGAGGGTTGGGGGAGGCACACTTGGGGAGGTGGCTCATACAGACCAAACTCTGCCTTGGATAGGATTGATTTTAATGCAGCTGTAGAATCCCTGATCCTCAGGACTGCGTCCTGCTGGGCCTGTGGGAGAAGTGACTGGGGGGGACAGTTAAGGCGGCAAGACCTCATCACTGTCCAGGCACCTGCCCAGCCACCAAATCTGTGGACCAGGGAGCAAACACAGGCAAAGGTACTATGCCTGGCTGCAGTCAGAGAGAGTCTCGGGAGGAGCAGGTCTTTGTGCTCTAGGGCAGGACACAGTGCTCTAGGTGGGAACTGGTGCCCCAGGTGGGACCGAATTCCCCAGGTGAGACTTAGAGAGACCCGGTGCTCCAGGTGGATCTAATATTCCAGGAAGGACCTGGTGCTCCAGGGTCCTGATGCCCCAAGAGCTTGCCCCCTATGCCTGGATGTGTGAAGCTGTGTGTTTTCTCTTCAAGAGGGGACACAGATGCCTGGAGGGTAAATGTCCCAAACTTGGCTCCTCGGGGCATGTAAAATTGTGTGTGAGAGGCAGGGAGAGCTGAAGAGAGAAAAGGACAGAAGGATAGGGACACGCACATAGGTCTGTAGACTAAGTACTGAGGGGGAAGGGAGAGAGAGAGAGGTTTAGAGACAGAGTGAGAAGAAATGAAGACAGGGAGAGCCATACACGACGGACACAAAGACAGCACCACTCAGGTCTTGTCTTCCTGTATGTGTAAGGACAAGGGAGGGAGTGAGCCGGGTAAGACCCACCAGGCCCGGTTTCTAGGGTGAGCCTTCAGCTGCCCTTCTGCAGCAAAGGGGCAAGGAAGCAGGGCCTAGAACCCAGAAACACGTCCCCGCGCCTGGCGCGGGCGCAGCCCTCCAGGGTGGGCAGCCGGGGCTACCGGGCGCGCCTAAGTCTGGATGAAGAGGTGGAAGTTGGTGCGCGTGAACTCCTGATGGATGCTCTCCAGGAGCGCGTCGGCGTCGGTGGCGGGCTCGGGGACGCCGGGGTGACCCGGCCGCACGCTGTATTCCGGGGTGTAGGTGAAGGAGAAGGCACTAGGGTAGAAGAGCCCGTCGGCGCGCACCAGGCTCATGGGGATTGTGATGGGAGCGCGCAGCCAGCGCCAGTCGCTGCAGAAGGCCGCCACGTCCGGCACCACGCACACCAGGGACCGCGGGCTCCTGGGGGTGGAGCACCAGGGTGAGGGCTGCGGCGACTCCGACGACGCGTGCACCCCCTTCCCCTGCTCCCCGGGGCCCAAGAGAGGCTGCCTCACCACCCCGTACCTGTACATGGTTTCTGCCTCCACGTCCCCAAACCACACCTTGAGCCCCGCGTGGAAGTTCTCTCCGTGGAGCTCCAGCGTGGCCACGTCGCCCCCGCCGCTCAGCTGGGGGAGGGTGGGACCAGGTGAGGTGAGAGAACCAAGTAGGGCGGGAACCCGCTGCCCCCCACTCACTAGCACCACCACTGCCCAGTGCAGGCAGGGTCCCCCTGCCCAACGCCCCTAGCGCCCGGCTTCACCTCTAGGGTGCTGATGAGAGGCACCGGAGTGACCGGCTCCAGGGTACACGCCAGGCTGGTGCTGAAGGAAAATTCCACCGACTCGGTGCCGATGATGGTCCAGCAAGAGCTGTCGTTAAGCAGAGCCCTGTTCGCCTCCTTGGGGCAGGGAGAGGCCTGGGAGGAGACCCAAGGGGACGAGGCCGAAGCTTCTCATGGTGGCCACCAGTGTAGGGAGCCAGCATGGCGCGTGGGCTTCTGCGTTAGACCGAACTGGATACTAATCCTAGGCTCTGGGGTTCACTTGTCCCCTCAGCTTGGACAGTGCCCTTAAGTTCTCTCACTTAGCGTTAAGAAAGCTTGTTGAGCTAGCTGATTTCTTCTTTCTTCTTTCTTCTTTCTTTTTTCTTTATTTTCCTTCCTTCCTTCCTTTTCTTTTTCTTTCCCTTTCTCTCTCTTTTTTCCTTTCTTTCTTTTTCTTTCTTTCCTTCCTTCCTTTTCTTTCTTTCCCTTTCTCTTTTTCTTTTCTTTCTCTTTCTTTTCTTTCTTTCTTTCTTTTTCTTTCTCTCTCTCTCTTTCTCTCTTCTTCCTTCCTTCCTTCCTTTCTTCCTTTTTTTTTTTTTGAGACTGAATCTCGCTCTGTCGCCCAGGCTGGAGTGCAATGGCCTGATCTTGGCTCATTGCAACCTCCGCCTCCCGGGTTCAAATGATTCTCCTGCCTCAGGCGCCCGGGTAGCTGGGATTACAGGTGCCAGCCACCACGCCCAAATAATTTTTTTGTATTTTTAGTAGAGACAGGGTTTCACCATGTTGGCCAGGCTGGTCTCAAACTCCTGGCCTCGTGATCCTCCTGCCTCAGCCTCCCAAAGTATTGTGACTACAGGCATGAGCCATTGGCCCGGCCTGGGATAGCTGATTTCTAAGGGTCTTTTTTCTTGGGATTCCAGAATTTTTTTTTTTTTAACATTGTGCAATTCTATGCTCTAATAATCTACAATTTTAATATTCTTTGGGAAGGAATATTCTTGGGGAAGGAATAATACTTGCTATTTTCCACATATTATAATTCTATCTCGTAACATTCTATGATAATATTCTTTTGGGAGTACTACTGCTTAACGATAATTATTATTTTCCACATTCTATAATTTTCCACATTCTGTGTCTTTATCTGTGCTTCGAATAGTCTTTGCTCATTAATTCTCTGCTCTCTATTACCTATCATGATTTTTATTTACATCCTACAATTTTATATCCCAATTTATTTACTTACTTTTTTTGAGATGGAGTCTTGCTCTTGTCACCCAGGCTGGAGTGCAATGGTGTGATCCTGGCTCACTGCAACCTCCACCTCTCAGGTTCAAGCAATTCTCCTGCCTCAGCCTCCTGAGTAGCTGAGATTACAGGCGCCCACTGCCATGCCCAGCTAATTTTTGTATTTTTAGTAGAGATGGGATTTCACCATGTTGGCCAGTCTAGTCTCGAACTCCTGACCTCAGGTGTTCTGCCCACCTCAGCCTCGCAAAGTGCTGGGATTACAGGCATGAGCCACCGCACCTGGCTATATCCCAATATTTTATGACTCTAAAATTCTTTGGGAAGGAATATTGCTTCATACTATTACTTATTACTATTTTTCTACATCCTATGATTCTGTCCTGGGAGTCTATGATTTTAATGTTCCATGGGAGGCTGCTCAGGAAGTAGCAACCATGGTGAGGGTGATGATCTTACATTCTGTGGTTCTCTGCATTCTCCCTTTCCAGGACACTTGGTGCTGGTATTCTCTGCTTCTTACCTGAAATTGCACCACCTTCTCTGTGGCAAGGCATAAGTAGGTGCCACCCCCTCCTGGGGGACTGCCTGGAAACTGGAATGCACACTTGTGCAGCTGGGAGATGGGCTCATCCACATCAAGGAGCGCACACTGTTTTGCTACTTTACGGATGATCTGCAATGGAAGGATGGTAAGAACAGTGGTGGCAAGGAGCCCGGGCGTCCAGAGGCTGCCCTCCTAGCCGGCTGTCTGCTACTCCAATAGCCACACAGGCACTAGCAGATTCCCCCTGCCCTTTGACTTCTGTCTGGTCCTACGCGACACTGGGTGAGAACAGGTGTCTCCATGCCTTGGGGCCTCACTCTCCAGCCCTGCCCGTGTGTGCCACATTCTCTGCATGGATCTGAGGGGACCCCTCCAGGCATGCCCTCCCTTCCTATACCATGGGAGGTAGTGTGATGCCGGTGACCGTGCAGACGAGCTGCACCAGGGAGCCATAGCGAACGTAGCCCTCTCGCGGTGGGAAGTCTCCTTGGGCAGAGTGCCCATCAGCTGGGGGACAAAAAAAGCAAGGGACAAGGTTTTCAGCGGCCCCCAAGCTTCTGCCTTAAACCCTGCCTTGTTGCCTCTGGCTCTTCCTCACATCACACATGGGCCCTGCGGGAAAGCTTGGTACTCAGGGGAGCCAACTGAAGGTTCTAATTCTGGAGAGGCCATTTGAGGCCATCCTCACAAATGTCTGCCCTGGGGGCAGGGGTTGGGGGCAGGCAGCTTAGTTGATATATGGGGAAAGGGCATGGATAAGGGAGTCAGAATAGCTTGGAACAGTCACCAGCTCACTGGGACTGTAGTCAAGTCTTTTTGTGTTTCTGAGCCTTAATCACATGGGGCAGAGTTTACCTTCCTTAAGGAGTTGTGGTGGAGGTTAAATAAGCTAATGCATGTGAAGTGCCCAGCTCCAGGGCCTGCAGATGTCATTACCCAGGTGGAGCGTGAAGGCAGCCCACTGTCGTGCACTGGCCACAAAGGCCCCATCCTCCACAGAGAGGTAGCGTGTGGAGACCGTCTGAGAGCGCAGGCGGTTGAAGAGGGAGACCTTTGAGCCGGAGGATATGCACACTGTGAGGGTGAGGGTCAGGGTTAGGGTGAGGGTGAGGGTCAGGGTTAGGGTGAGGGGATAGGGTTAGGGTTAGGATTGGGGTTAGGGTTAGGGTGAGGGTTAGGGTGAGGGTGAGGGTTAGGATTAGGGTGAGGGTTAGAGTGAGGGTGAGGGTAAGGATTAGGATTAGGGTGAGGGTTAGGGTGAGGGAGGGGGTCAGGGTGAGGGTTAAGGTTAGTTGGTGCTATCAGTGCCCTGTCCTGGCTTGGTTCCTTGGACTTTCCAGACAGTTTCCAATCTTCTGTCCCTGTGCCGGCCTGGCTAATGTGCCCACAGGCCTAGATACACTGGGCATTCCCAGTTCACAGCTGTTTTTCCAGGACCTGCTGCAGTCCTGCTTTGGAACCTTTGCCTGTTCCTTTGCTGTCTGGACATCTTTCAGTTCAACAAACAAAAGTAAAACTTTTTTTTTTTTTTTTTGAGATAGCATCTCACCCTGTCACCCAGGCTGGACTGCCGTGGTGCTATCACAGCTCACTGCAGCCTCGACCTCTTGGGTTCAAGTGATCTTCTGATCTCAGCCTCCCACGTAGCTGGGACAACAAGTGCAGGCCACCATGCCAGGCTAATTTTTCTTTTTCTTTTTTTTTTTTTTTTTTTGGTACAGACAAGATTTCGCCATGTTGCCCTAGCTAGTCTTGAACTTCTGGGATCAACTGATCCGCCCACCTTGGCCTCCCAAATTGTTGGGATTACAGGCATGAGCCACCGTGCCCCACCTATGTCACTTTTAGTCTGTCCCTAGTTCAACTCCTGCCTAGTTCAACTTTTGTCTGCTCTGGGACCCCAACTCCCAACCTGGAATTTGGTATCTGTCCCTTTCCTCTCTGCTTTTCATCCTCCAACTCTTCTCATCCCCAGGCCTGGGCCGCACCCACTCATCCAGACTCCTTCCCCTCTCGGCTCCGACTCCACCTTTTCCACTCTGACCCCTAAGCCCAGCCTACCCCCACCTCCGCGCCCCAGTTTAGCCGTTCTGGGCTTGGTTGCACCTCCCCGCCCGGGCCGGGGGTCAGGCCCCGCCCTGCTCACGATCGGTGTTTTTCAGCGACTGCTTCTTCTGCGAGGGCTTCGAGATGACCTTGATAAGGCGGCTGTGGAAGGTACCCAGCTCCCGGCCCCCGCGCAGCACCAGCCGCAGCACCAGCCGAAAGTGCTTCCTCTTGTCTGCATCTGAGATGTACAGGGTCTTGGCGCAGCCGAATTCCTAGGGGGCTCACAGGTACAGGGCCATCTCATCCCAGCCCTCCCCCGTCGGATGAACCAACCTCTCCCAGATATCGGACGTCCGCCCCGTCGGAGGTGACCAGAAGCTCCACCATCCAGGCTCTCAGGCTCGGCCTTAAGGCAGGACCCCGGCCTCCCGGTCTCCCCACCTATCTCTTGGCTTTCGGAGGGGAGTAAAGGAGCCCTCCTTTCCCAGGAGAGGCAGGGATGGGAGCAGGAATCGGACCCCTTCCCGTGCGCTCTCACCCTGGAGTCCGGCTGCTGCTCGAAATTCAGCTTCTGCGTCTCAGTGGCGCTGCCGGACGCGCTGTCCAGTCCCATGTAACCGCAGACCGTGGGCCCCGTTTCCCCCGCCTGGTGAGCTGGAAAGGGACGCGAACTGGCTCTGCAAGGACTCGGGAGGACGCAGGTGCCAGGCAAGCTTAGCGCTCGCCGCCAGAGGGCGCGGGGAGACTGCGCCTGCGAACCGCCCCGTCTCGGGCCCAATCTCGTGGTCCTCCCTACAGAGCAGGCGGCCGGCAGCCCTTGATTCCGCCCTCACCTTGATCCTGCCCTGGCTTCACCCTCCAGCCAGGCCCCGAGAGGTAGACACAGGGCGGGGGGCAGAAGAACCTGCGGAGATAAGTGAGTGTTGGAGTCGTGCATCCATCTCCACTTGGCTCTCCTGTAAGCACGGCAAGGTAGTAGCATAAACCCAGCAGAACCTTCGTTTCCTCCTCCCGCTCCCCGCAACGCTTTTTCACGACTGTAAACCCCATTCATAGCCAAACCTTATTGTTTTTACACCCCTCATTCAACTCATCAGAAGGTCCTGTCCACTCCACCTTCAAAATATAATATATCCAGAATCCACTGGCTTTTTACCACCTCGCCCTTCATCCCAGCCGCCATTACTTTTTGCCTGGACCACAGCATCAGCCTTCAAACTGGTCTATTTCCAGAAAGTTCTGTTTCTATCTCCTTCCCATTTCGCACAGCAGCCAGAGTGCTCCTTCCTTCCTTCCTTCCTCTCTCTTTCTTTCTTTTTTTCTTTCATTCCTTCCTTCCTGTTTCTTTCTTTTTCTTTTTCTTTTTTTTTTTTTTTGAGGCAGGGTCTTGCTCTGTTGCCCAGGCTGGAATGCAGTAACTTGATCTCGGCTGTCTGGGCTCACTGCAACTTCTGCCTCCCCAACTGATCCTCCCACCTCGGCCTCCTGAGTAGGTGAGACTACAGACACAAGCCACCACACCCATCTAATTTTTGTGTTTTTTGTACAGACATGGTTTTGTCATGTTGCCCATGCAGGTCTGGAACTTCTGGGCTCAAGCAATCTGCCCACCTGGGTCTGCCGAAGTGCTGGGATTACAGGGATGAGCCACCAGGCTGGCCAGAGTGTTTTGTTAAAAACATGAGTCAAATCATGTTAACTCCTTAAAATCCTCCACTGGTTTAAAATTCAAAGTCCTCCTGAGATCTGACCCCTGCTTACCTCTCTGACTTGTTTCCTACAACTCCTCCCTCTGATTTCAGCCACTGTCATTTCTTTTGTACCTCAAACAGGCCTAATTGGTACAGCCTCAAGGTCTTCCCATTTTCTGTTGCCCTTTTTTTTTTTGAGACTGAGTCTTGCTCTGTCGCCAGGCTGGAGTGCAGTGGCATGATCTCGGCTCACTGCAACCTCCGCCTCCCGGGTTCAACCAATTATCCTGCCTCAGCCTCCTGAGCAGCTGGGATTACAGGTGCCCGCCACCATGCCCAGCTAATTTTGTATTTTTTGGTAGAGAGGGGGTTTCACTGTATTGGCCAGGCTGGTCTCGAACTCCTGACCTCAGGTGATCCGCCCGCCTCGGCCTCCCAAAGTGCTGGGATTACAGGTGTGAGCCATCGCGCCCGGCCCTTCTGTTCCTTCTAATTGTAGCACGCTTTCCCCAGATATTCTCCTGTCTGGCTCCATTTCAGCATTCAAGTTTCAGTTCCAATGTTACCTCCCAAAAGGTCTCTCAACCTCCTTGACCTTTCTAGCTAATGTCCCCCCTGCCTTCAGTTTCCGTCAAATGGCCTCGTTCAGTTTTCCTTCTAGTGCTCATCATAATCTGCAAGTATCTTGTTTCCTGACTTGTGGGGAGTTTACTGTCTGTCTCTTCCACACTTGAGTGAGAGTGTGGGCTACAGAGCAGGGGCTGTTTCTGTCTTGTTCAGCTGTATGCCCAGTGCCCAGCAGTACCCACAGAGCCTGGTGCATACATGACAAACACTCAGTAAGTAGTTGTTGAATGAATGAATAAGTGAATCAATGGGAGAATGAGTGAATGAATGGAGACAGGAGATTCACAGGGAATCTCCTGCTGTAGAACTATAGACCAAAGTGGGGGCTAATGGTGGCTGAGGGTCAAGGCCCTGGTCGACCAATAGCTGAGATCTCAGCCCTGAGGCCTGCTCTGCGTCTAAAAGAGGCCCAATGGGTGGATGGAGGAGGTGCATAGGGCTGACAGTTGCAGAGACCTGGGAGGGGCTGCGGAGGCACCTACCGCTTCTCATTTCCGTATGATTTCTGGGCCACCTTGGCATGCAGGATCCGCACAGTCTGTTCACACTGTTGCTGCAGGCACCTGCGCACGCCTCCCCTCAGAATGGTGGTGTGCTCTGGGGATGACCTGGGAGTAGGGCAGGCAGGTCGACCAGCCACAGGAGGGAGAAGGGTCAAGGTGGCACAGGGTCCAAGCACTCAGGTTGAGTAAAATGAAGTGAGCAGGGGGTTAGAGTGAGTGGGAGGGTGGGGCTGCTCTATATCCTGCCCCTGTGGGGTCAGGAAGAGGAAGCATTAGGTAAGGAGGAGACTTGGCTGCAAATTGTAGGCTAAATATTTAGGCTGCAAGGTGCTCAACGAAGCCTGCATGGAACCCATGGGACCACCCAGGTTCCACTCTGTGGGTCTGGCATCATGCCCATTGGAGCCCAGGGCCATAGGGACACGTGGCTGTGACACAAAGGCTGCACTTATACTGGCCTTGGGATGGAGAAGAGTATTTTAGGGCTGATGGAATTGGTAGAGATGAAGCTTCCCCACCCTGGGGAAGGCAGGGTGGGGGGTGAGGAGGGAGGGGAAGGGAGAGCCTTTCCTGGGCTCCTGGCCTGGAGCGCTCTCTAGCCTCCTGCCTGCAAACAGAAAAGGGCCCAAAACCTTGTCCTCAGGATGGGGGATGGCCTGGGGGAATCTGAGCCTTTCTGGGGCCAAAGCCATATTCTTCCCTTTCTCCCATGAGAAGTGGCCTGTTGCTGTGTGGGCTTTCCTACCCTTGATTACAGGAGTCAAGGCAGATGACATTGGTCCTGCAGAGTGAGCCAGGTTAGAGCCTAGAGGTCTGGTGGCTTCTTAACCTGGGGGTCTTGAGCGGTGTGGGTGGGTAGGCCCGAGCAATTGCAGGGAGCAAGTAGAGGAGGGGAGGTGGGAGAGATTTGGGGGGTTAGCAGGTTGAGGCCCAAGGAGAGCCATGAAAACTGAGGCTGTCCTTCTGAGCCCTTATTCCTCTTGGCAGGACCAGAGTCTCTCCTCACTCCTGGAGGGGACAGCGCAAGACCGCACCCTCGAAAGCCAGGCCAGACAGGCAGCAGCCACAGCCAGGACCGCTCCACCCCTTGGGGCTCTCCTCAGGGAAGTGCCTTCTAAGCTTCCAATGAATTCCGGCTGTGGAGTGTGGCTGCCCCGGTCTCCCCAGTCTCCCGCTGTAGCTGAATTCCAGCCTGGCCCGCAGCTAGCCCTGTCTGCAGCTCCAAGCGTGGTAGGAGCAGGGGGTGCTGGGTTTGCCCCCCCTCAGGAGGAAGGGGGGATCCCTCCCTGCCAGTGGGAGGGGTTGCAGCCTGCACTTCCCCTCCCCACCCGCCAGCCCTGGGTTAAATGCGGCCGTTGCCTCTGTGTGCTCCAGCTGCCTGGCAGTCCCCACCTAGGGCACGCTGCCACGCCGCCGTTACCTGGTCCAAGTGCCCGGGAGGCTCCGCCTGTCGGCTTCGCTCTGCAGCTGCATCTCTGATCTGTCCTGCAGGCTCAGGTGAGTCAAAGGATTGGGAGGCACTGAGGGGTCTGCAGGGGAGTAGGCATCAAGCCAGGTCAGGCGAGTGTATTTTAGCAGAGACGCTGCCTAGGGTGCCCTATCTGATTTGCAGTGCCCTTCCCCACTTCTGCAGGGTCCTTTCCAAATCGAGCCCCCACCCTCAAAGCCATCAAAATAGGATCATCCCTTTTCTACTCTCATCCCTCCAGGAACCCCCTGAAATGTCCCTAAGGGACTTTTGAGAATTTATTTACAGGCCTCTCCTCCCTTGCTGCTCCACTCCCTCAACCTCACCTCAGGGCATCTCTGAATCTTTCTTTTTTTAATGCAAGGATTAACTCCTCAGAGGAATCCCAGGTTCTAGTATCAGTCCTGCCACGACATCGCCATGTACCCTTCAGCAAGACACTACCCTCTCTGGACCTAGTTCCTTTCTTTGTAGAATGAGGGGTTTGGAAAGGTGATGAACTTTGAGGCATTTGCTATTTTGACTTTCTAGGATTCCTGGGGTGGAGGCAGGGTGCCAGGTGAGAAGTTGGCTCAGACCAAGAATGGGATGAGGGGAACCTTAACCAAGATTTAGGGGCCCAGAGGCATCTCCGGGTAGGAAAGTATGGGAGGTGGCAGAGGCCCCTTGTGCCTTAGCCCTCATGCTGTCCAGGGATGTTGGCTTTGCCTGTGGCCCAAGCTTGACAAGGGTTCCCCGCCCTCCCACTTCCACCAGCGCTGCCACATCTTGCTTGGTCACCCTCCCACGACGGGCCCTGCCAGAGGATTTATGTTCTTCTACCAGGCCTGGGAGGGGAAAAGGGAGAAGAATCCGGGATGAGAAGGTCGCCTGGAGTGAGAAGCAGGCACTGGCCTCGCTCAGAATAGGCGCATTCACGGAATTGGGGGGCGGGGGCGGAGCTGCTGTTGGGTTAGGGGCAGCTGGCCCTCTCTGCCAAGAAACAGCAACAGAAAAATGGCTAACACAGCTTCAGCATGGGGCGCGGCGGTGGGGTAGGAGCTGGAAGGAAATGAGGTTTAGTGAATTCTAGGCGCCAGGGGGCCTCAAGAGAGAGAAGGGGAACCAGGAGCCCTAGGTTCTAATCCTGCTTTTGCAGTTCGGCGGGCTGCCTCCTTGGGGCTTAGTTTTCCTATTTGTATAGTGGGGAGGGGGTGGGGGGGTGGTCCTTCGTAGTTCTCACGGGGCGTCTCCGGGGCCTCGGGAGGGTAAGCGCTCACCTGCTGCCCCTGCGGGGTCCATGGTGGCTCCACGGGGCCCCAGCCGCTCACCCGCCGCCCTCTGGACGAGTCCAGTGCTGCTGTCGCTGGAACCCTGCACACCCCTGCTCCTCGGCTCTTGCGCGGGTTATATCCTGTCCAGGCCTTATCTCCAAGGCCCCGGGCCCCGGCCCCCTGTTTGCTCGGGGTGGGCGCACCTGCTGGGCAGATGTGGGCTTCCCACGCCCCCTGCCATCTCGGGCGCCCCCTGGCGGTCGCTCCTGAGAGCAGGCGGGAAACAGGCGCCAAGCCGCGCGTTCTCGTGCGCAGTGGGTTTTGGTCCACTCGCTGCCACGCCACCACGCTCAGCCCCGCAACAGGGCGCAGCCCCTCCCTGCCGCCTGCGGTTGGGCAGTGCATGTCTGTGTTTGTGTGTGTGGAGGGGTCTGGGGGGGTTGGCGAGTTGCAAAGACAGCCACACAGAAGCCTGTGTGCGTAGGGGAGTGGGCCGAGGTGGGGAAGGGCTTCTGTCTGCAGAGGTTCGCCTGGCAGGAGGAGAGGCACCAAACGCCCAGGCTGGCTCACAGAAACTAGCAGGCGTGGGATTGTATCCTGCCGCAGCCACTTTTTGGCCGAATGACTTTGGGTACCAGCGCTTAACTTTTCTGAGCCTCAATTTCATTGTCTGTATGATGGGGGACAATCACAGCCTTAGTCTTACAATTGCAGAGAGGATTAAATGCCACAATGCGTGAAGAGCATTTAACACTGTGCCTGACATTTAAGGAAGACCTGTTTTTTTCTGTTTAAATTTTGCATATTTGTATCTATGTATCTATTCTTATTTACCATTCTCTTGTGGGCCGAGCGCGGTGGCTCACGCCTGTAATCCCAGCATTCTGGGAGGCCGAGGTGGGAGGATCACCTGAGGTCAGGAGTTTGAGACCAGCCTGACCAACATGGCAAAACCCGCTCTCTACTAAAAATACAAAAAATTAGCCAGGTGTGGTGGCAGGAGCCTGTAATCCCAGCTACTCGGGAGGCTGAGGCCGGAGAATCGCTTGAACCTGGGAGGCAGAGGTTGCAGTGAGCCGAGATCATGCCACTGCACTCCAGCCGGGACGACAGAGCAAGACTCTATCTAAAAAAAAAAAAAAAAAGAATCTCTTGTGTTTCCCAGCAATCCCACTGTGATGAGAATTTTTTAATTCTGAAACATTTCAAACATACACAAAAATAGAGAGATTAGTAAAATAAACCTGTAACTGTCTTCCCCCTCCAAGTGCCTATCACCCAGAATAAGAGCTCTGTAAATACTGTTGCTTTTCTATTTTCCTTCCTCCCTCCAGGCTCTGACACCTCCATTCTCTGTCCCCAAGCGCCATGAGAGGCCTTCTTTGCTGGCCCGTGTTGCTGCTCCTTCTTCAGCCCTGGGAAACCCAGCTCCAGTTGACAGGTGAACTGGGGCCCAGCCCTCACCAGTGGGAGGAGGGGAGCGGAAGCAGGTCCTCCCTCTGCAGCCAGCTCCTCCTGCTGGGGAGAGGGAAGCAAGGGCTTTGGAACATATGGGACTGGGTTTAAGTTCCCCACTTCACCTTTCTGGGCCTCAGTTTCTTCATCTGTAGGATGTGGCTTAGTTTTGGGCGCATGCAGAACTGCCCATGGGGTGTTTAATTTGGAAAAATTATTTGAAAACATGGAAAAAAACCAGGAAATTTTACATAAAAATCCCTGTTTAGTATTTCTCTTGAAAAACCAGGGATCTGCTGACATCCAATTCGCAGGGGCATGGCCTCATTTGGATGCAGCTACCTGCCCAATTTAGGAGTGATAGGGGCTCTTTGGGTCTCCAGCGTCCTAACCCAACCAGTTCATCCATGTTCCCTGCCTGGTCCCTGCAGGCTTTGAGTTTGCGACGCTTCCTTGCCCCCTCGTCAATGGGTAATACCGCCTCAGAATAGCCCTCAGATCTGTAAGATGAGGGAATTTGTGAAATCTCCTAGCCCAGGTGCTAGGCACATGCCGGGCGAGTGCATCTGTCTAATCTGCGTTTGCTGTGCTGGGCGCTGTTATGTCGGCATAGCGGCATTTCCCCTGGGTTTCCTAGGGGGTCTCCTCGGAGGTGAGGCTTTGCTGACCTAGGAGAGTCCTCCCTGATCTCCCCGCAGGTCCCAGGTGTCACACTGGGCCCCTGGATCTGGTGTTCGTGATTGACAGCTCCCGCAGCGTGCGCCCTTTCGAGTTCGAGACCATGCGGCAGTTCCTCATGGGCCTCCTCCGAGGCCTGAACGTGGGTCCCAACGCCACGCGCGTTGGCGTGATCCAGTATTCGAGTCAAGTGCAGAGCGTCTTCCCTCTCCGCGCGTTCTCTCGCCGCGAGGACATGGAGCGCGCCATCCGCGACCTGGTGCCTCTGGCGCAAGGCACCATGACGGGACTGGCAATCCAGTACGCCATGAACGTGGCCTTCAGTGTGGCCGAGGGCGCGCGACCGCCAGAGGAGCGCGTGCCGCGTGTCGCTGTCATCGTGACAGACGGGCGGCCCCAGGACCGCGTGGCCGAGGTGGCGGCACAGGCGCGCGCCCGCGGCATTGAAATTTACGCGGTGGGGGTGCAGCGCGCGGACGTGGGCTCCCTGCGCGCCATGGCATCGCCCCCGCTAGACGAGCACGTCTTCCTCGTAGAGTCCTTCGACCTCATCCAGGAGTTCGGCCTGCAGTTCCAGAGCCGGCTGTGTGGTGAGTTAGGAGGGCGCTGGAGTGAAGCTCGAACTCTCAATCCAAATGCTTGGATTCCTTTCCCACCACAGTAAATCCCATCCCGTGGGGGTGGCCCCGCGATTTCCAGGTAGAGTTGCCCTGACCTACCGCAGGCTGTGTCAGATTTCAGCTCTGACCACTTCTGCTCAGCCTCCATCAACAAGGAGCAACCTATAATTTCTTGCCCTACCCGCCACAGCTTACCACAGGCTTAATGTCAAATTCCAGCACCAACCCCCTGCACACACGGAACCAGTGATTCTCAAAGCTAAGAGGGATCGGCTGCTCCAAAGAGTCGTGGCCCTCCCACATGGGGATGACTTCTCCCATTATCATCTTAGCTCCTCCCACAAATGCTGCAAGATCTGTTCTGATCTGTTTTGAGTTTATTCCGCCCACCTCGACTTAGCACCTCTCCACCTTCCTACCCACTCCTGCCCCTGTGTAGTCCTGTCCCAGCCCACTGACGTGTCTAATTGAGTGTCTCCTCTTCTGAGCCTACTCACAGGGGCTCCTTAAGCCTTATTCTTTCCCTAAGCCCTCTCACTTGGTACGGCCCTTCTCAAATTAGTCATTTCCTTCTGAAAGCCATTTGAGGGTGATGCCTGCCTCTGACCCCATCCCCATCCAGCTCTCTCTTGTTGGAGGCTTCTGCCCATCTGTTCCCTACTGATTCTAGTCCTGTGTGTCCTCAGGGAAGGACCAGTGTGCTGAGGGGGGACATGGTTGCCAGCACCAATGTGTCAATGCCTGGGCCATGTTCCACTGCACCTGCAACCCAGGCTACAAGCTAGCAGCAGATAACAAGAGCTGTTTGGATGACAGCTATCCCTGTCCTGCAATCTCACTGCTCCTGAACCTTCTTTGGCTCTCCATTGCCCCAACATCAGACCAATGAGTCTGGAAGGGCCTTTGGCAGTAAAAGCACACCTCCATCACTTTACAGGCCTAAGAAAGAAAGGTATTGCCTGGGGTCACATAAGTCCCTGGTGGGAGCCCACAGTTCAGTGTGCTTTCTGCCCTCTTTCTCCCTGTTTTCAGGCCAGTCTCTAATCAACCTCCCAAACTTGTTTCTGTTTTCTTCTTTTCTTTTCTCTCTCTCTTTTTTTTTTTTTTTTTTTTTTGAGACAGAGTCTGGCTCTATTGCCCAAGCTGGAGTGCAATGGTGCGATCTTAGCTCACTGCAACCTCCGCCTCCCGGGTTCAAGTGATTCTTGTGTGTCAGCCTCCCAAGTAGCTGGGATTACAGGTGCTGGCCACCACACCCAGCTATTTTTTGTATTTTTAGTGGAGATGGGGTTTCACCATGTTGGCTAGGCTGGTCTCGAACTCCTGACCTCAAGTGATCTGCCCGCCTTGGCCTCCCAAAGCGCTGGGATTACAGGCGTGAGCCACTGCGCCCGGCCATTTCTGTCTTCTTACAGGCACATCCTTACAGTTTCTCTTCTTAGATACTGTTGGGGGGTCTTCAATTAGGTGGGTGTCCCCCCTCATGCCACCCATTCTTGACTCTGCACCTCAGCTCTTTGTGTGCTGCTCACCTGAGCTGCCCTTGCCACTCCCCTCTGCCTTTGCAAATCTTTCAAGACTCTCTCTTTTTAAGAGATAGGGCCTTGCTATGTTGCCCAGGCTGGTCTCACACTCCTGGGCTCAAGAGATCCTCCCGCCTTGGCCTCTCAAAGTGCTGGGATTACAGGTGTGAGCTGCTTCTTCATTTTTGTCTTCTGAAAAGCTATGGCATAGAATACCTCGCTTATTCAATTCAGTTTTTTACTGAGTACCAAGTTAGTATTAGACATTGTGCTAGGAGCATTACACATGTTATTATCTCTCAGCCTCACAACAACCTGGAAAAAGAAATCATGTAATCCCAATAACCCAGATGTCAGCTGGGGTCTTCTTGTTTCTAGAAACTAAAAGTTGGCTTGAACTCTGATTTGATGACTGTTTAACATTCAAATCTCTCTCCAAGACCTCTGGAAATCCCCCAAGTGCTTATCTTCTGGTTGTCACCTCTTGCTGTGAGCCTCTGCTAAATTCATTTGATTTATGGATCCTCTCTCATTTCTCAACCCTGCACATGCTGTTCTTGTTCCATGCATGTTAATCAACCTCTTCGTTGGTTTACACACTTGTGTATGCAGGGGCATACACAAGCGTGTATGTGCTAAGTAACTCATAGCGCGTGCACACACACACGAAAAACTCATTATAATTGAATATTAGACAGCTTTGTTTCTGAAAGTCCTCAGTCAGCCTAGTACAAGGGATTTTTCACAGGCAGCCTCAACCCACAGAGTTACTCATCTTCATACTGGCTCTCTTGTTCTTTTTTTTTTTTTTCTTTCCTCTCTCCACTCTCATCTCCTTTCCAGGAACCCCAAATACTCACTTTTTTATACAGGGTAATTATCTTCTCTCCAGTCCAGCTCTCGGCCATCTTTGCCTATCCAGATCATCAAGATGCTCAACAGGGCAATAGTTCCCCATCTTCCATGGAAGGAAGCTGTGAATAGCAATCACTGTCTTCCATTATATTCCCATTTTGCAAATAGAAAAATGGAGGCTCAAATAGGTAAAGTGGCCAAACCTGTCCTCTGTAAGTCAGAGAGCATCTTGAGGACAGGGGCCCTGACTAATTAGGTCAGGATTTTTGGGGTTGGGGCCCAGGCGTAGGTATTCTTTAAAATTTCCTTAGGTGGTTGTGCTACCAGAGCTGAGAAGGGCAGTCCTGGGCATAGACTGACCCCATTTCTTCCTCAGCCATTGATCTGTGTGCTGAAGGGACCCATGGATGTGAGCACCACTGCGTCAATTCCCCAGGCTCCTATTTCTGTCACTGCCAAGTTGGCTTTGTACTCCAGCAGGACCAGAGGAGCTGCAGGGGTGAGCAACACCCCCACCCTCCCACCACACCCTGGACTGTGGCCTCCGAGGGCTCCAATCAGAGGCAACATCTTGCTGTTTCTTCCCTCCTGCCAGCCATTGACTACTGCAGCTTTGGGAACCATAGCTGTCAGCATGAGTGTGTTAGCACCCCTGGTGGGCCACGGTGCCACTGCAGAGAGGGCCATGACTTGCAGCCTGATGGGAGGAGCTGTCAGGGTGAGGAGGGCTCTCCTACATTTGTGGGAGGGGTAAGAGATCTTAGCTGGTGGGGTCCATCCTGACTCATCCTGACCTGTCTCTCCTTTCAGTCCGGGACCTTTGCAATGGCGTGGACCATGGCTGTGAGTTCCAGTGTGTGAGCGAGGGCCTCTCCTACCGCTGCCTGTGCCCCGAGGGGCGGCAACTTCAGGCAGATGGCAAGAGCTGCAACCGTGAGTGATGGGCGGGAGGGTGTTCTGTTGGCTTCTGCCCCATTGCCCACATTTGGAGTGTCCTTGACTTTGCCATTGCTGTGGCCCCTAGGCTGTGGTGTGAATGTCTGTGTGTGTTGTGGGGGTGACATTGGAGGGTGTGCCATTCCCTCCTTCCATCTCTTTCCTACAATCCTCTACTCTGCTGTCAATGTTAATTTAAAAATACATATTTGATCACATTCCTCCTTTGTGCACAAGCCTTCTGTGGCTCACCAATGACTACAGGAGAAAGATCAAATGACTTACCCCTAAGTATTTCAAATGGTGAGCAGAACCACATTAATGAATAATGAAATCAAATTACTGGGTTACAACCAACATTAAAAAAAAAAGAGTGGAAGACAATATAGAGTTTACTGCCTGTAGAAAGAGTTATATTATTTCTGAAATTTTAGTTCTGTGTGAAATGTCTCATGATGTATTGTCATTATTATTATTTTTACTGTGGGCTGTGATAAAAATTTTGAAACCACTGCCTTAGGTCATCACGATCTAGCTTCAGCCAACTCCATCTGCCCATCTCCTGCCACACTTGAACATTTCAGTCTTACTGGCCTGCCCCTCCCCGGATGTGTCAGGATCTCCCCAGATCCCAAGCCTCTGCACGTGCTGCATCTCACCTTCTAGACTGTCCCTTACTGCCTTGGCAAACTCCTACTGATCTTTCAAGACTGTCTTAGATCATTCAGGCTGCTATATCAAAGTACTGTAGACTAGACATTTAGTTTTCACAATTCTGGAGGCTGAGGAGTCCAAGACCAAGGTGCCAGCAGATATGGTGTCTAAAGAAGGCCTGTTTTCTGATTCTTAGATGGCACACCTTTCAAAGCCTCCCCACGCCAACACACACACACACACACACACCCCTACACACACACACCCACACACACCAATTTTCTTGCTGTGTCCTCACATGGTGAAGACAGGAAGCAAGCCCTCTTCGACTTTTTTTTTTTTTTTTTTTTTTGAGACTAAGTCTCCCTCTGTTTCTCGGGCTGGAGTGCAGTGGCGCGATGTCGGCTCACTGCAACCTCTGCCTCTGGGGCTCAACTGATTCTCCTGTTACAGCCTCTGGAGTAGCTGAGACTACAGGTGTGCCCCACCATGCTTGGCTAATTTTTGTATTTTTAGTGGAGATGGGGTTTTGCCATCTCAGCCAGGCTGGTCTCGAACTCCTAACCTCAAGTGATCTGCCCGCCTCAGCCTCCCAAAGTGCTGGGAGCCACCATGCCTGACCTCTTCAGACTCTTACAAGGACAGTAATTTTACTCATAAGCGCTGTACCCTCATGTCCTCATCTAATCCTAATTAACCTCCAAAGATCTCACCTCCGGAGACTATCACATAAAGGCGTAGGGTTTCAATAAATGAATTTTGGGAAACACACTCATTCAGTTCATAACAAAGATCAGATAGAAGGCCATCATCTCCATGCAGCCTTCCTTAACAACTCCAGGAAGAATACACTATTCCTACCTTGGGATCCCTGCATGATCTTCTCTTCTAGCACTTTCCTTGACCAGAGCACATAGCATGTCTGACTTGCTCTGCTCTGTCCTCATGGAACAGGATTATGTTTTAATTATTTCAAAACCTTTGAAAACCTCCCCACGCCAACACACACCACATTTTGGGCCTAGCAACTTTCCTGGCTCAGAATAGGGGAGGTGACATTGTAGAGTCATTCAGGAGCATGGGTTTTGGAGTCAGATGGACCTGGCTTCATGTCTTGGCTCAGTCAGTACTAGCTATGAAATCTGGGGCAATCACTTTATCCATCAGAACCTCAGGTCATAGAAAATGGGGACAATATTCAAGCTTATTGGGAGGATTGAGAATATATATAAGCACTTCACCCAGTACCTACCACATGGTAAGCTGTCGGTAAATAATGTTTTTGTTATTATTATTGTTAATACTGGTAGAGTGCTTAGAAGTGTGCCTGATACATAGTAGATGATCAATAAATGGTAGTTATTGTGGTCATTACTATGATTGTTGTTAAAAAAAGATGCTTTTAGCAGAGTGGTTTGTTCTAAGCACTGAATAAATGTCAAGGGCGATGATGAGGGTGATGATGATGGTGATGGTGATGATGATGGTGATAATTATTATTACTTAGCACACTGCCTGGCACAGGAAGGACTCAGGAAATGTTGTCTGTTATATAATAAATGTTTGCGAATGAACGACTAGATGGATAGACAGCTGCTGCCAGTCCAGAATCTGGTCCCTCAATTCAAGCTTTTCTGGCTGTGCAGGGTGCCGGGAAGGCCACGTGGACCTTGTTCTGCTGGTTGATGGCTCCAAGAGCGTGCGTCCACAAAACTTCGAGCTAGTGAAGCGCTTCGTGAACCAGATTGTGGACTTCCTAGATGTGTCCCCCGAGGGCACGCGGGTGGGGCTGGTGCAGTTCTCGAGCCGCGTGCGCACCGAGTTCCCTCTGGGTCGCTACGGCACCGCAGCCGAGGTGAAGCAGGCGGTCCTGGCCGTGGAGTACATGGAACGCGGCACCATGACAGGGCTGGCGTTGCGGCACATGGTGGAGCACAGCTTCTCCGAGGCGCAGGGTGCACGGCCCCGTGCCCTTAACGTGCCTCGTGTTGGCCTGGTCTTCACGGATGGCCGCTCCCAGGATGACATCTCGGTGTGGGCAGCGCGCGCCAAGGAGGAAGGTGGGCTTGGCATGGGACACAGTGGGCTGGGGTTGGGTCAGACGCTGGGAGGCAGCTTTCCCGAGGCCTGGGGCACCCTCTGAGACCCCGGCCTTGCAGGCATCGTCATGTACGCCGTGGGCGTGGGCAAGGCGGTGGAGGCGGAGCTGCGCGAGATCGCCTCGGAGCCAGCGGAACTGCACGTGTCCTATGCCCCGGACTTCGGCACCATGACGCACCTGCTGGAGAACCTCAGAGGCAGCATCTGTCCAGGTGAGCGCATCTCTCTCGGGGCTCCTCCTCTCTCTCATTGCCCGTCCTCTGATATCTCCCCTTCCTATTCACTCCCTGCCCACTTTGTAGTTATAGCCAGAGGTTGGGCTCACTAGACAGAGCTTTGCTACTCCAAATGTGGTCTGCAGGCCAGCGGCAGGGCGGTCACCCGGTAGCTTCTTAGAACTGAAACATTTCTGGTGCTCTCCAGACCGAATGAATCAGAATTTCCACTTCGACAAGATTCTCAGGTGATTTGTAAGCATATTAAAGTCTAAGAAATCCTAGACTAGGCTACCTGTCCCCCAAATCAGTGGAGGTTCAGAATAATTTGGGAAATTTTTTTGAAGGCACACCAGACAGCATTTGTAAGTGGAGCCACAGCATATATCCCTGAACTTGTTAGAATTCAACCTTATGAACTTGGCAAAGTGGCAGGACTGAATATATTTTAAGTATGCAAAGACTTTTTTTTTTTTTATTGGGGACAACATACCTCATAAGTGCAATCCCTCTACTTCATCATCTGGTGCTCAGCTGAGGAAAAAGAGACTGACTCTACCTGTGAAGAAGGGGACTCTTGAATCGCATGCAGTGTACTGTGCTCTAGGTGATACAGGGAATGTCTCCAGGGTAACTTTTACCCTAGAGACTTTAGACACTAGCCCAGGCTTAAGATGTGACTCTTCTTCCCATTTATCAGACTGCAGCTCCAGAAACAGACTAAGTAGGGCTGGTTTGGGTCTGGAGAATTTGCCTTTTTTTTTTTTTAGATATATGTAGGGGGGCTGGGCGCAGTGGCTCACACCTGTAATCCCAGCACTCTGGGAGGCCGAGGCGGCTGGATCACTTGAGATCAGGAGTTCGAGACCATCCTTGGCAACATGGTGAAACCCTGTCTTTACCAAAAAATACAAAAATTAGCTGGGCAAGGTGGTGGGCACTGAGGCAGGAGAATTGCTTGAACCTGGGAGGTGGAGGTTGCAGTGAGCCGAGATTGCACTACTGCACTCCAGCCTGGTGACAGAGTGAGACCCTGTCTCAAAAAAAGTATATATAATATACTATATATACTATATTATATAATATGTGTTTGTGTATGCATGCACATGCACGTGCATGTATATACACATACAAATATACACATACAGTCCTTCCCCCAACTCTCCTTCCCTCCCCGCTCTCAGCCAATTCTAATTATTGTGGCTCTTTCAGATTAGGGGCTCTTTCAGAGCTCTTCCTATGTGACTCTTATGGGCCCTGCAGTGTGACTTTGGACGAGTCACTTACCCCACACCTACCTTAACTTTTCTCTTCGGTAACAGGAGAGGCACTGGCTGCCCAAGGTTACCTCTAGTTCTAGAGTTCTAAGAGAAGTCTGGGTTTTGTGGTTGAAGCTCTTTATCAATTGGTGGTATGACTGTTCCCTGTCTCCAACCCTTTGTTTAGAGAAACAAATCTGTGAAGTTAGGGGTCTTTGCTGGATTCCAGCAGTTTGTTCATAGTACATATAAGACTAAGATGAAGAGACAACTTTTAAATCATTATGGCAGTGTTTTCAAAGGTTAAATGGCAGGTATTGTGCTTATTATTTCACCACGTGTAATCCTTTTTCTTTTTTTTCCTAAGGTACTTTTATTGTAGCATTTTTTTTTTCTATGTCATTCCCTGTAATCTTTTTTTTTTTTTTTTTTTTTTTTTTTGAGATGGAGTCTCGCTCTGTCATCCAGGCTGGAGTGCAGTGGTGCGATCTCGGCTTACTGCAACCTCTGCCTGCCAGGTTCAAGCGATTCTCCTGCCTCAGCCTCTCGAGTAGCTGGGACAACAGGCGCATGCCACCACGCCCGGCTAATTTTTTCTAGTTTTAGTAGAGATGGGGTTTCACCGTGTTAGCCAGGATGGTCTTGATCTCCTGACCTCGTGATCCACCCGCCTCAGCCTCCCAAAGTGCTGGGATTACAGGTGTGAGCCACAGCACCTGGCCTCCCTGTAATCTTAACAATGGCACATGCTTATAGAATTTCAGTGAATCTAAGATACCATTCATTTTAAGATTCATCACTACCTTATGTACTGCTAAGAAAAAACATGTGCCAGTTTTAATTGTAAGGCCTCCTGCCCAACCCCCAAGATGTTGATGTGTGGGGAGATAGAGTTGGATCAGGATCAGTGGTTCCTAAAAATTAGGTCACACCAGAATCACCTGGTGGACCTTTAAAAACACAAATTGCAGCTGGGCATGATGGCTCATGGCTGTAATCCCAGCACTTTGGGAGGCCGAGGTGGGCAGATCACAAGGTCAGGGGATCGAGACCATCCTGGCTAACACAGTGAAACCCCGTCTCTACTAAAAATACAAAAAATTAGCAGGGCATGGTGGCACATGCCTGTAATCCCAGCTACTCGGGAGGCTGAGGCAGGAGAATCACTTGAACCCAGGAGGCAGAGGTTACAGTGAGCCAAGATTGCACCACTGCACTCCAGCCTGGGAGACAGAGCTCAAAAAACAAAACAAAAACAAACACAAATTGCTGGGCTTCAACTCTAGATTTTCTAATTCAGCAAGTCTGGGGTGTTGTCTGATAATTAGCATTTTTGATAAATTCCTACACGATGCCGATGCTGCTGGTCCAAGGACCACACTTTGAGAATCACTGGTCTAGTTGAAATACACTATAAAGCAGTGGTTTCCAACCTTTTTGGCACCAGGCAGTGGTTTTACGGAAGACAATATTTCCATGATGGTGGTGGGGAGAATGGTTTTGGGATGGTTCAAGCACATTACATTTATTGTGCACTTTATTTCTATTATTACATTGTAATATACAATGAAATAATTATACAACTCACCATAATGTATAATCAGTGGGAGCCCTCAGCTTGTTTTCCTGCAGCTAGATGGTGCCATCCGTGGGTGATGGGAGACAGTGACAGATCATCAGGCATTAGATTTTCATAAGAAGCCTGCAACCTAGATCCCTCACATGCACAGTTTACAATAGGGTTTGTGCTCCCATGAGAATCTAACAATGCCACTGATCTGACAGGAAAGGAGCTCAGGTTGTAATAGGAGCAATGAGGAGCAGCTATAAATACAGATGAAGCTCCCTTGCATGCTGGCTGCTCACCTCCTGCTGTGTGGCCCAGTTCCTAACAGGCCATGGGCTGGTACTGGTCCATGTAATGTGCTGGTACTGGTCCATGGCCTGGGGATTGGGGACCCCTGCTGTAAAGTATTTACTTGAACCAGGCAGTGTTCTAGATCTGTGCTTTTTCAAAAAGGTAGGCAGTACCTATTTAATTACAATTGATTAAAATAAAATACATTTTAGTCCTTTAGTAGCACCAGTCATATTTGAAGTGTTAAACAGCCACATGTGGCTTGTAGCTACTGCTTTGGACAGGGCAGATGTAGAACACTTTCATCATTGCATAAAATTTTATTTGGAGAGTGCTACACAAAGTGTGGTCCACAGACCAGGAGCATCAGCATCATTTGGGAGCTTATTAGAAATGTACCTTCTGAGCTTCTTCTCCATTCTGAAGCAGAATCTATATTTTAACAAGCTCTCCTGATGATTCCAATGAGCATTAAGGTTTGAGAAACAGTCTTGTAAGTTGTGCGTGAGCACACACACACACACACACGTACACAGGTGAATGAATCCTCGAAGCCACTAATGCGTACACTCTTTCATTATATCCATTTTATAGATGAGAAAACTGAGCTTAGAAAGGTTAGTGAGTTTTTCAGTATCTCACAGCTACTTAGCTTGGGACTCAGCCCAGGTCTCTCTAAATCCAAAGCCCATATACTCAACCATAGGCCCAGTGCAGGGAAATCAGAGGGCCAAAGCTAGGGCAATTTCTCATCCCCCTGACCCTCTGTGTCCGGCTTGCAGAGGAGGGCATCAGCGCAGGGACAGAGCTTCGGAGCCCATGCGAATGCGAAAGCCTCGTGGAGTTCCAGGGCCGCACGCTGGGGGCGCTCGAGAGCCTGACGCTGAACCATATCCTTTGGGGCTGGTGGCGCGGGCTGGAGGGAAAGTGAAGGGACCTCGGCGAACCCCAACGGCCTCCTTAACCGCTCACTGGCCCAGCTGACGGCGCGCCTGGAGGATCTGGAGAACCAGCTGGCCAACCAGAAGTGAGGGCCACGGACGGCCCAGACCCGGGCTGGGGCGCGGCACCACGGACGGTGCCCCTTGCGCGCCATCGGTGCGCCGGGGCCAGGCAGAACCTGGGCCCGTCCGGCTTGGGCTGTCGGGGCGGAGGCGCTGGCGGGCTTCCGGCATTGAGCTGAGTTGGCCTCGCCCGGACCATTAGGCGGACTGCGGCGTCAGGGGGATAGCGGGTGGTGAGGGAAGGGGCACGTGCTAGACCGGCACGCCCTCGCCGCGTGCTGCGCTCAGTTCTTTGTTGGATTTCTTGTTTGTGTTCTTAAAAAAATAAAAAAAACTGATTTCCACGGGGTCCGTTTTTGGGTCTTGCTGCGCCGCCTGGGGGAGGGGAAGCCAGACGGAGCGTGCTGTGGCGGCGCCCGGGCGGCGTCTCCTTGGAGAAAGGCGCATTGTGCGGGGGTCGGGCTCGGGGGCAGGAGACCCGGCGCTGCTTCCCCCTGCTTGTTTATTCAGCCGAGAACAGATGGCTCCTTATGCAGGCTGCGGGAAGGGAGGGGGCTCAACAGGAATCC
Organism: Homo sapiens; assembly: GCF_000001405.40. Lineage (NCBI taxonomy): Eukaryota > Metazoa > Chordata > Mammalia > Primates > Hominidae > Homo > Homo sapiens. Next base: position 45,293,224 of record NC_000020.11, on the reverse strand, counting down.
TTGGGGTCTGAGTAAGTCTGCGCCACTCCATTCCCCAGCGGACTGAACGCTTCGCTCCCGGCCACGCCTATCCCATGATGCCCCCAAATCTGGCTCAAAAGCTGCTAGTACTGAGCGCTGGTAAGGGGTGCGGGGGTGGCGTTGGTGGGAAAGTGAGAGGCAGTAATTGAACCCCTAAATGGATGGGGTGGGAGTGGATAGATGAGCTTTGACCGATTTTAACTCTCTCCTGCACTAGGTAGGAAGAGAAGGAGGTATCAGCTAGGACCCCTGTCTGTCCAGCCTGTGGCCTTCCTTCTGTCATCTTATCAACCCCTCCCAAAACACCTCTATCAGCAAAGAACACAAACCAGTACCATTTCCCGAGTGCATGTAAGAAACAACGAAGTTTAAAATGCTTCCAGTCCTAGAGTGATTTGGGGAAAATTATTTTGTGTTTGTTTCCTCATCTGCAAAGTGGAGACTGGAATTGTTACCCCCAAGCGTGATGGGGAGAATCAAGGACATTCTTCTAAGGCATGTGCCTTGTACCTATCCCTCAATTAATGGTAGCTATTAACTGTTCTTATAGTAACAGCTAACATATTTAGTGTTGGGCATTATTGTAACTGATTTGCAGGTATTTTCATTTTATACTTGGAACCAGTGAAATAAGAATTATTGCCTTTATCATCCCCATTTTACAGATGAGGACACTGAGACACAGAAAGGTTAAGTTTCCAACAGTAACATAACCAGTACGAAGCTGAACCAGGATGTTTCCTATGGCTGCTCTAATAAGTTACCACAAATTGAGTGGCTAGCAACACACATTTATTACCTTACAGTTTTTAGGTCAGAAGTCTAAGATGTGTTGGCAAGGCTTTATTCCTTCTAGAGGCTTTTGTTTCCTGGCCTTTTCCAGCTTCTAGAGGCTACCTGAATTCCTTGGGTCATGGCCCTACATCACTTCAGACTCAGTTTCCATCAGCACATCTCTTTCTCTGACTCTGACCTTCCCGTCTCTGTCTTATAAGGACCCTTCTGTTTATATTGGCATGACCTTGATAATCAAAGATAATCCCATCTCAAGCTATCTTTTTTTTTTTTTGAGATGGAGTTTTTGCTCTTGTTGCCCAGGCTGGAGTGCAATGGTGCGATCTCGGCTCACTGCAACCTCCGCCTCCTGGGTTCAAGCGATTCTCCTGCCTCAGCCTCCTGAGTAGCTGGGATTACAGGTGTATGCCACCACTCCCAGCTAATTTTTTGTATTTTTAGTAGAAACAGAGTTTCTCCATGTTGGTCAGGCTGGACTTGAACTTCCGACCTCAGGTGATCCGCCTGCCTCAGCCTCCCAAAGTGTTGGGATTACAGGCGTGAGCCACCGCGCCCAGCCTCAAGCTCTCTATCTTAACCACATCTGCAAAGTCCCTTTTGTCGTGTGAGGTGAAATCACAGGTGCCGGGGATTAAAATGTGTACATCTTTGTGGGGAAGGCCATTCTGCCTACCACATGGGGCTTGAAGCCAGGCTGACTGACTTCAGAGCAGCTGCTCTTAAGTACTCTGTGCCGGGCACCTTGCTAGGCTTGGTGAAGAGGGAGAAACTGATGATTGAGAAAAACTCTTGAGCTGAGGAAGCTCCGGGCTAGAAGGGCTGAGGTCCACCTGACTGTTGCAGAAAGAGGGAACTTCAGATGAGAGGAGGGAGAAATCCTGGAGAGGTGATCCTTAAACGGTGGCTGGAATTTCCGCAGGAGGCCATGGAAGACTTTACAGGTGAGTGAAGCTTGAACTATGCGTGGTCAGGAGGGACTGGAGTATGGGGGGATGGGAATGATCATCTTACCTGGCCATGAGGATCAGATGAGCTAAAGACCTATGGACTTGGCATGTGACCTCACCTTGCCTTACCATTCATTTTACAGTTGGGGAAACTGAGGCCTAGAGGCCAGAGTTGCCTGCCCAAGGTCACACAGAGAGAAAACATCAGTTGCACCAGGAAGAAGCCTAGTGGGGAGGTCAAACTGGAGCAGGGTAGTCAACTGATAGGGGGCACTGAGGGCAAAGGCCAGGCTCCTTCCTTCCTCTTCCCTGGAGTTGGCAGGCACTGGCTTCTCTGGGGTTTCTTTTCTCATGCTTTTTTCTCTTGCAATCTCCCTAATGGCCACTGGATGGCGCCGGGAGCACTGATTTGGAGCTGGGTCCTAGAGCCTTCGCAGGCCGTTGGCATCTGGCACTTGGGCTGCAGAGCCTGTCCTCCCTTAATTCCCCGACTCTGGCAGCCCCACCACCGAAGTCTACAAGCTGCTTCTGTTCCCATGCAGTGGCCCCATAGTCCTGGATTTGAAGACCAGCCCTGCTACTTACCAGGTGTGTGTTGGTGTTGACAGGTACTGGTTCCCTTTCTCACTTCTTGATTCCTTTCTCTCATTTCCCTTTCCTCCTACCAGCTTAACCCTGCTGGATACAGGGAATTCCTGTTCCCTAACCATGCCCCACATAAGGTCAGCTAGCGCTTGCTTCTTTGTTTATACCCCCATCTTACGTTATGGGATAGAAGACTTACAAAGGACCCGTGAATTCAGGAAAACAAACATCCATTAACTCAAGAACAGAAAGTGAGAACCCAAGTAACAGTGTGAGGAGAGTAACACTGCCAAGAAAGCTTAGATGGAGAAGGCACCGAGCCCGAACAAAGACCCCCGGGCCCGGGTCTTTTGGTACCCAGGCAAGCACGGGTTTATGTGGCTTTCAGAGCCTGTTAAGATCAGGAATAAAGCACGTAGATATTGGGGGAGTCCTGAGCCCAGGTGTGTGGAGAGAACTCAGCGCCCTCAGCCTTCTTGGTTCCCTGGAGAGTTTGAATCATTAAAAAACGACAATATCTTCCCTAGTGGTTAGCAGAGATGCCACTTCTGGAGCTGTTTCTTAGACTTAGTAACATGAACTAGGCATGGCCTTGGGTGGGAAAGGGCAGGGCAGGAAGGGCCTGTAACTTCAGCCAAGTGCTGGACTCGCTTTCTGAATTTCACCTCTGTGTTGTCTGGCTCTGTTTCTCCGTGGTTTTTGGCCTTTCTCTTCTTCTATTCTAGCTCACAGCTCTCTCCATTTCTGCAGCCGGCACAGCTGCTGTCTCTAAGGACTGTCTACTCTTCTGGTTCTTTGGACCTAGGATAGTGAAACAGGAGAGAAAACTATCAATTACCAAACACTGGCCTGCATGCTGGGGGCCAGGCTGTGCCTTTCATCTGTGTTGTCTCGTTGAAACCTCTCAACCTACAGGAGGGAAAACTGAACTTGAAAGAGGCCAGTTAGTTGCCCAAGGCCCAGAGCTTCCAAGTTAGGGTTTGAACCCAGGTGGTCTTGATCCCAGAGTAGGCCCATTTCACATTTCTACCCTTCAGTTATTAGGGACAAATTTGGACTTTTTCAAAGAAACCTTTTTCAGGAAGTTTATGGAGTAGACCAAAGCAAAGCCCGAGATACAGTGCAGGTGAATGGCAGGAGCCGCTCTGCCGTTTGTCAGCAGCACAGCCTCCATGGGACACTTTTGCCTCAGTGTCCCCTCTTGTAAAACCTGTGAGCAGGCCAGGCATGGTGGCTCACACCTGTAATGCCAAGCACTTTGGGAGGTTGAGGCGGGCGGATCACAAGGTCAGGAGTTCAAGACCAGCCTGACCAACATGGTGAAGCCCCGTCTCTACTAAAAATACAAAAATTAGCCGGGTATGGTGGCATGTGCCTGTAATCCCAGCTACTCAGGAGGCTGAAGCAGGAGAATCGCTTGAACCCAGGAGGCAGAGTTTCAGTGAGCCAAGATCGCGCCACTGCACTCCAGCCTGGGCGACAGAGGGAGACTCCGTCTCAAAAACAAACAAAACCAAGAAACAAAACAATAACAACAACAAAAAAAACCTGTGGGCAACGCCAACCTCATAGGTTAAAAGGAAAGAGCGAAGTCATTGATGAATGTGAACATGCACAGTGGATGATCAGGAAGGGCCCCTTTCTCTGCAGGCCATTACTTGCCCTTTTTCCACACCCTCCCACTCATTTGAAGTGGCGTGGCTTCAGATCCCCAGGCCCAATGAAGAAGTTCGGCCACATCACACAATGAAAAGCAAATTGCTGTTAAATACACAGAGGAGGGCATAAGCAGCTCAGCTTTATGGAGCCCAGGAAGGCTTCCTGGAGGAGGTGGCAAGTGAGCTGCACCAGCAAGGAAGGGTAGACATTCCGCAGATGATAAAGGAGGAGAGGGCTCCTGGGCACAGGACTCGAGTGGCTTTTCAAGGGCATGTGGGGAGGGTGAGGCTGGAGAAGACAGTCGCCCTCAGTCCCCCAGGTGGATCATGCTGCATCCCATGACAAGGGCTTGTGGGTTAGTGGTTCTAACCCACAAGACTTCATGGACTTATGAATCACCTGAGGGTCTGTTAAAATGCAGCATCCTGCAGTGGGGCCCAGGAATCTTTGTTTCTCCCAGCTCCTGGGTGACACTGCACAAGTGATCAGAGGAAGAAAGGAGACACAAAGCTTCTGGTGATGGACATGAGTGCTGGGCAAGGGCTCAGTGTCCTCCACCAGGCAGGGGAGCAGACTAGGGTCTCAGGATCTTGGGTGTGGGCGTGTACTAGACCTTGCGCCCCACATGAGCGGACGTGAGGAGCTAAGCTGAGAAACAGCAAATGGGAAAGCAAATGTGAATGCCAGGGCAAGCATTACAAGTTTGTTAGGAGTCACCAGGGGCTGGGCAGAGAAGGCAGGTTCAGTCACAAGGGTTTTAGTCCAGAGACATGTGCTGGAGAGGAGAGGGAAGGCTGGAAGGGGAGGTATGAGGAGCAACTGCTGGGAAGCAATTTTTTTGTTGCGGGAGGTGAGTGGCAGCCCTGGGGCTTTGGAAAAGGTGATAAAAAAGAACATATACTAAGGGCCTGAAATTCTAAGGACTTATGAAGAACCCATTTAATTCCCATAACCATCTTAATTAGAAAAATATATTGTTATTCTTAATTTACAGACAAAGAAACCCAGTCCCAGAAAGTAATTTGCACAGCAAATAAGCCGTGGAGCAGAGACTTAAGTCCAGACTGTGTCAGTCCAGAGCTGGGCACTGATTCTTCATTCTAGGGTATCCCAAGCTCATTTAAAACTCCCGGATCCATGAGCCACTGTTTCTTTCTGTTCTTCCTCCTGCCATGGACAATCCCATCTCCAGCCCACCTCATCCCTTGCTCTGCTCTTTCCCAGGTCCAAGATGGTTCTTTTTCCTGAAGCGGTGAATGGAACTGCTGCTGTTTATCCCTCTCTAGGCAGCCAGGGCATGCGTGTTCTTCCCAGCAGCTGAGATGAGGATGGAAATTAATAGAGGATATAGACAGAAAAAAGCTAACAACTAACTACACTATGCAGATAATAATTGAGGTGTATTTTCTCCCAGATGAACAAGATAATCTGAGTGACCCCTGTTCCCTATTACAGGACTCCAATTCCTAATCTTGGCAGTTGCCCCCCAAAATACCCTCCCAGTAAATGTTTCTTGAATACCTGCTTTGGGAATATGTTAGGTACTGTGCTGAACACTGGGGATTCAGTGGTGAAAAAGAGAGTCCTACACTGTCTTTAAGAAACTTGTGTTCTAGGAGAGGGCAGACAACAAGTCAGTAAATGAATAAGGTTTCAACTAGTGATCATTGCTGGGAAGATGATGAAATTGAGTAAGGGTAGAGAGCTGCGCTGTCCACAGGATTTCCGTGATGGTGGAAAGGTTCTATATCCTTGCTGTCCAACATAGCAGTCAATGTGACTAATGTGACCAAGAAACTGAATTTTAAGTTCTGTTTTAGATAATTTAAATTTAAATAGCCCCATGTGATTTGTGGCCACTGCGTCACTCATCACAGGTATAGAGGACACCTGGAAAGGGGAGAGGTGATTAAGTGAGGTGGTCAAGGGAGACTCCCTGAGGGGGCGAAATTTGAACTGAGGTCTGAGAGGGAGGCAGCCTTCCATTGTTCCAGGGGGAGAGAGTGCAGATGTGGGGGCCTTCTGGGATAAACAAAGCTTGAAGTTCTGGGGCGGAGAGAAGGCTTGTGAGCTGGCATTCACTGGGTGAGGTAGTGTGGTGGGAGCTGATGGTGGAGGGGTGGTGGGTACCGGATAACTGGGGCATGGCAGGCTGCGGCGAGGTGGGCACCCCTCATTCCCCTTAGCAACACAGCAGGTATAGCTGCCCTGCCCTTGCCTGCCCCCTTCTCTCTCAGGGCTGTGGGGAGGACTAGATGAGACCAGGTAACGTGCACATGCTCTGTAAGTTGTACAGAGCTGCCAGGCGATGGCTCATGCCTGTTAATCCCAGCACTTTGGGAGGCCGAGGCAGATGGATCACCTGAGGTCAGGAGTTCAAGACCAGCCTGACCAATGTGGTGAAATCTCATCTCTACTAAAAATAAAAAATTAGCTGGGCATGGTGGCGGGTGCCTGTAATCCCAGCTACTCGGGAGGCTGAGACAGGAGAATCGCTTGAACCCGGGAGGTAGAGGTTGCGGTGAGCCGAGATTACGCCATTGCACTCGAGCCTGGGCAACAAGAGCGAAACTTCATCTAAAAAAAAAAAAAAAAAAAAAAAAAAAAAGTTGTACAGTGCTGCCCATAAGGGTAGAGCTGTGGTTCTGAGTGTGATCTTGGACCAGCAGCATGAGCATCATCTGGGAACACGTTAGAAATGAACATTCTTGGGCCACACCCTGGATCTACTAGTTTAAAGCTCTGGGTGTGGGGCCCAGCAACGTTTCCAAAAGCCCTCCGGGTGGCTGTGATGCAGGCTCAAGTTTAAGAGCAACTGCAGAAGACTGGCGGCAATCACCTCCTCCTCCTCCTTCTCATCTCAGGCCCCCAACAAATTGTCCTTCCAACTCCAACCCTGGCAGAATTCCTTGGTGGCTCATTGCGCGCCCTAGCCCTCCTTCCCTCAGAGCTAGCTCAGCTTTTGGCTTCACATACACAGACTAAAACAAACAAACAAAAATCAGATAGATAAAACCTTTGTATTAAAAATATTTTCACCATACAAGCCGTCCAGGGTCGTCATTAAAATAAAACTTAGGCCAGACACAGTGGCTCATGCCTACAATCCTAGCAGTTTGGGAGGCCAAGGTGGGCAGATGGCTTGAGCTCAGGAGTTTGAGACCAGCCTGGCCAACATGAAGAAACCTCATCTCTGCTAAAAATACAAATATTAGGTGGTCATGGTGGCATGCACCTGTAGTCCCAGCTACTTGGGAGGCTGAGGTGGGAGGATAGCTTGAGCCTGGGAGGCGGAGGTTGCAGCGAGCTGAGATTGCACCACTGTACTCTCGCCTGGGCGACAGAGTGAGACTGTCTCAAAAAATAAATAAACAAAACGTCTATAGCATAGAACCGATCAAGTGAAAAAAGATCCCCTGCTTCCGTTAATCCTATTCCCTAGAGATTACCACAGAATGATTTCTTGTGATTCCTTCTAGACGTCTCCTATGCCTGTAGAGGCAGCTAGTGTAGTGCTCCAAAACCAGTTTGTTTGGTTTAAAATCCCAGGTTTGCTTATTTGTCAAATAAATTGGACAAGTTGTCTCAGTGTTGTCATTCAGAAAATGAAGTTAATAATAGCACCAACCTCATAGAATTGTTGTGAGGATTAAATAAATTCAAATAAAGCAATCAGGAGACAATCCACTTAACATTCTTACAACAGTGCCTGGTATATAGTATGTACAAACATGAGTGTTTGTTAATAAATAAAATGCATGGCTGAGGTTTAATTATTCTATGCCTTTTCCTTGGGGATATAGTCTTGAGAGAATAAGCCAAAGGTGCAGGAACAGTTGGAAAGCCATTTACGATGGGGATGATATTGAGAGCCACTGAAAAAATCCTGACCAGATGATTCTTGCCGGTGACCTCGGCTGACTTCCTTGGTTTCTGATCATTATTTCTTATTTTATTTTATTTTATTTTTTATTTTTTTTTGAGATGGAGTCTTGCTCTGTTGCTCGGCTGGAGTGCAGGGACGTGATCTTGGCTCACTGCAACCTCCACCTTCCAGGTCCAAGCGATTCTCCTGCCTCAGCCTTCCGAGCAGCTGGAACTACAGGCACACGCCAACACACTCGGCTAATTTTTGTATTTTTAGTAGAGACGGGGTTTCACCATGTTGGCCAGGATGGTCTCGATCTCTTGACCTTGTGATCCGCCTGCCTCGGCCTCCCAAAGTGCTGGGATTACAGCCATAAGCCACCATGCCCAGCCTCTAATCATTATTTCTATAAACTCCCTGGTATCTTTGCAAAGCTTCTAAGTTTCACAGTTTCAAAAAACATAGCAGGAGGGGGGTATTTACATAGAACCCAGTGTGGATGGTACACCCTGGACTTGTGAAATGGTCTGTCTGATATCAGCCAGGTGTGGCATGTCTGTTGCTTGCAACCAAGAACTCTGACCATGCCTTCCTCCATTCTTTCTAAGGGCTGTGTAGTATTCTACTCTATGTATGTGTTGTATTTCACTTAACCATTTCTTATTGATGGATGTCTGGATAGTTTAGCTATTCTACACTACACAGACAAATGCAATGACAAGCTTCCCAGAGCCTATTGTCCAGCCCCCACCTGTACCCTATTCCCCCCGCTTTTTTTTTGGAGACAGGGTCTTGCTCTGTCATCCAGGCTGGAGTGCAGTGGCACAATCACAGTTCACTGAAGGCTTGCTCTCGCAGGCTCAAGTGATCTTCCCACCTTAGCCTTCTGAGTAGCTAGGACTACAGGTGCATGCCACCACAACTAGCTATTTTTTTCATTTTTTGTAGAGATGAGATCTCACTATGTTGTCCAGGCTGGTCTGAAACTCCTGGGCGCAAGTGATCCTCCCACCTCAGCCTCCCAAAGCTCTGGTATTATAGGCATGAGTGACTGCATCCGGCCTGAAATGGGCTCTTTATCTTACATGATCCTGTGTAGTGCTCATGCCAACACTGTGAAGTTTGCATCAACACTTTCCCTCTACAGATGAGGCAGCTGAGGTCAGAGAGAGGATGAGATATGCCCCCAAACCATCAGTGAGCCCCTTGATGAGCAGGGCTCTTGCCACTTCATCAGGGTGGTCAGTCGGGGGGAGAATGTTTGGGATGAAAGCGGGGGCCTTCCCTTGACTCAATACCAGCTGGCAAAAGGCAGAGGTTCTTGGAGGAGAGAGGTAAGTCAGGGAAGGACTCGTGGGAGTGCTGGGGAGCCTTCCACTGTCAACTCAGCTGCTTTCCAGAGGGCAAGAGGAGAGAGAGGGTGGAGGACAGTTGGCATGTGGATTGAGGAACAATAATGATGATGATGCTAATAATCACAGTGACTAATGTTTTGGGCGAGTCACAAAGCAATTTCCTATTATGAATAGTTCAGCAGAGCCACACAACCATCCCCTTGGAGGAAGACAAGGCAATGTGGCTACTCCCATTTTGCAGAAGGGAAAATTCAGGACTGGAGAGGGAGAGTAACTTGCCCAAGTTTACATGTCAAGATAATCGCCATGCTGGGTGGGGCCAGACCTTTCAGGTCCCAGCCCAGGATCTAGCTCCCTCCCATGGGCCACAGCTGTGGCTGGCAGAGAGGTGCGGCTTTTGTCAGGGCTGAAGCTCAGCCACACCCTCTCTCCAGCCTCAAGTTGGGTGCCAGGCAGAGGGTTTGGACTGAAGGCTGGGGATGTCAAAGGACAGAGGGGTCTGGTTTGAGTGGGGGCCACCCCCCAAGTCATCCACATGTCCTCCAGATCTCCCTGACCCCGCCCACTGGCTGACTCGTGGCTGGTTCTGCCCCAGGATCTGATTCCATGGGTTTGGCCTGGATTCTGCTCCTTCTCGTGGAGAAAGTGTGTGTGTGTGTGTGTGTGTGTGTGTGTGTGTTTCCATGTATATGTGTGCGTGTGTGGTGTGCTTCTGTGTGTTTGTGTACGTGTGTGTGTTGTGTATATGTGTTTCTGTGTATGTATATGTGTGTGTATGTATTTGAGTGTGTGTACATGTGTATCTGTGTGTTTCCATACGTATGTGTTGGTGTGTGTGTTGTGTTTGTGTTGTATGTTTGTGTGTGTATATTGTGTGTTTGTATGTGTATGTGTGTTTTGGTGTGTGTTTGTGTTTTGGTGTGTGTTTGTGTTGTGTGTGTGTGTGTGTGTGTGTGTGTGTGAGGGAGAGAAAGAGACACCTCTCCTGGCAGTGGCCCTCATTCATGCTGGCTCTTCCCCACACCCTTCCTCCTGGCTCAAGCTTAGCAGTCCCTCTGCTTGAAGAAAACAAGCGTCCTTCATGAATAAGGGCCATGGAGCACCTACTATGTGCCAGGCTCTGTGCTTGGAGCTTTCACCTCTATTGTTTTCACTTGAGCTGCACCTTAACCCTTTCCAGTGGGTTTCCCTGTTACCCTCCCATCCACATCTTCAAAACCAACTGTGGCCCAGGATTGAAACTGCTTTCTAATTTCATCAAAGAAGGAAGGCTGTGGGTTTCCAAGAAGAAAGTGGAGCTACATCACTTTCATTTTGCCATCTTTAATTAGAAGTTCTTGTATTATTTTTCTAATAAAAAAATCACTGGCTAACAGGTGTCTGCCCTGCTGTTGGAGGCACGTGCACCTGGGCCCTGGGCATCACGGCCAAGTGCAACATAAGCCCTAATGCAAACCATCCTTCTACTATGTTTAATTTAAATATTTGTATCAAATATAGAAACAACAGGATGGGAGAGAGAGTAGAAAGGAAAAAACAGACAGTAAGCAAACAACACCTTTAAAAAATGTGTGAGGTAAATTCAAAGGGGCTGATGTGTTATTGGAAAGAATTCTGGATGATGACATTTTGCAATAGAAATGAGAAAATTAAGACCCTAGTTACTTTCCCCAACAGAGACTGTTCATGTCCCCCTCCTCCAGAGGGTGTCACATCTATTTCAAAGAGTCATGTTGCCCCTGGGAGGTGTGCAGAGGACTTGTGGTCTCTTTGTTCCTTGATGTCTTGTGTACCCATTGTAATTTCTTATGCCCTGCAACCCAGAGAAAGGAGTGGTCTTTTATCTGTTTTTTTTTTCTTTTTTCTTTTTTTTGAGACAGTCTCACTCTGTTGCCTAGGCTGTAGTGGAGTGGCAAGATCTTGGCTCACCGCAACCTCCACTTCCCAGCCTCAGGTGATCCTCCTTACCCGAGTAGCTGGGACTACAGGTGCACACCACCACACTCAGCTAGTTTTTTTTTTTTTTTTTTCATTCTTTTTTGGTAGAGACAGGGTTTCGCCATGTTGCCCAAACTGATCTCGAACTCCTAGGCTCAAGTGATCCACCTGCCTTGGCCTCCCAGAGTGCTAGGATTACAGGAGTGAGCCACTGAGCCTGGCCAGGAGTTGTCTTGAGATAGCAGAAATAGTAATTGACTAAAACATCATGTGCATTTCCACAAACAAAAGAGAAACTAATAATATCTTGTTATACATAACTCCAACTGTTTTATTTAGGCATTTTATAAATGGTACAAGCATCTGTAAGACTTTTTGCTATATATTTCCATATTACTTCCTATTTTTCTTTCTTTTTTTTTTCTTTGAGACAGTCTTGCTCTGTTGCCCAGGCTGGAATGCAGTAGTGCGATCTCGGCTTACTGCAACCTCTGCCTCCTGGGTTCAAGCAATTCTCCCGCTTCAGCCTCCTGAGTAGCTGGGATTACAGGAATGCACCATCATGCCTGCCTAATTTTTGTATTTTTAGTAGAGATGGGGTCTTGAACTCCTGACCTCAAGTGATCCACCCGACTTGGCCTCCCAGAGTGCTGGGATTACAGGCGTCAGCCACTGAGCCTGGCCCCTTATTACTTTTTAGAAGGAGTGTGAATGTATGTACATTTTATGGATTTGCTCTTCCCCAGAGAAAGTCATTTTGAGGATACAGTATATCATATAGCAAGGGCTAACACTTTAGGGCCAGGCCCACCCGAGTTTGAATCTCTGCTTTGCCACTTTCTAGCTGCAGCATGTTCAAAAAAATCTCACTTGTAACCCCTCTGAGCCTCAATTTCTTTAAAAAAAAAATGAGAGTACATCTTGATTTGTAAATCTCAGCCCACAATGCAGGGATTAAATTAGAGCATGCATGTGAAGCGTGGTGCAGAGGGCAGTAGTAACAGCAGGGTAACAACAGCAAACACTTATTGTGTGACTGTTATGTGCCAGGCATCTTATTTAATCCTCAGAATTGGCAAATGAAGTAGGCGTTTTTATTTTCCCCATTAAACAGCCAGGAAGGGGAAGGCTAGGACCTGAACTCACCTCTTGGTGCAGCTTCAATAAATGGGAGCCATATAGAAGAGAAGCTGGGATAACCTCATTGGCTTGCAAGGTCTTAGCAAGAGACTTTCTGGGACCTGGCAGTGGCAAAGAATTCAAGGAGACTTGTCTAGATTGACATATAATCTGGGATGAGAGGCCAGCTGGGGACACCTCCTACTTCAGAGGTGAAGTGTATAGGAAGATGTACGCATTGTGGGGACAGGAGGGAGCCAGGGTAGCCAAGAGCAAAGGAGCAGGGAGGAAATGGCAGGAGGGGAGGTGGGAGCCCAGGCTGGGGCAGGAATGAAGGACACATCAGGGTGAGTACAGGACATAGAAATTAGGCGGGGTAGAGCTAGAACTTCAGAGGGTTGGAGGCTAATGTGCTGCAGCCATGTGCTGGGGGCAGGCAGCATTCAAGCGGGGAAGGACGCCAGGGCCACTTTGTGTTAGATCCTAATATTAAGAGATGGAGGGAAAGGTGGACCCCTTCCCCTACCCCGCTGCGTGGGTTAATAATATTTCAATTTAGGAAATTACAGGTACTTCATATATAATTTTATAATCACATTTTGAAGGTAGGATGAATTAGATTTCCTAATGGATTGGATATGGAGTGTAAAAGTAAGTGAGGAGTCAAAGATGATGTCAGGATTTTTGGTCGGAGTGACTAAAAGGATGATGTCATCATCAACTGAGATGGGATAGGCAAGGCAGTTTTGGCAGGTGAGATCACCTCAGGTGAGGCAAATGAGCCTCAAAAAAATTGAGGCTCAGGAATGCAGTTTTAGATCTGCTAAATTTGAGATGTATATGAGGCATCTATGTTGAGACATTAGGAAGTCAGTTGGATATAAGAGTTTGGAGTTTAGGTGAGAGGGCTGGGCTGGAGATACAAATATGGGAGTCATCAGCATTCAGCAGTACTTGAAGCTACGATACTGGTGAGAAAAAAAAGAATGAGATCATGTCCTTTGCAGGAACATGGATAGAGCTGGAGGCCATTACCCTTAGCAAACTAACGCAGGACCAGAAAACCAAATACCACATGTTCTCACTTACAAGTGGGAGCTAAATGATGAGAACACATGGACACATAGAGGGGAACAACACACACTGGGGCCTGCCTGAGGATAAGGGGTGAGAGGAGGGGGAGGATTAGGAAGTATAATTAATGGGTATTAGGCTTAATACCTGGGTAACAAAATAACCTGTACAACAAACCCCCGTGCCATGAGTTTACTTATACTACAAACCTGCACGTGTACCCTTGAACTTAAAATAATAGTTAAAAAAAGGAAGGAAATGAGTATGGATAAAAAGGAAGACCAAGAGCTGAGCCCAGGGATCCACAGAATTTGGTGTTTGGGGAGGAGAGGAGGAACCAGCAAAGGAGACTGAGGGAGCAATCCATGAGGAAGGAGTAAAACCAAGACATCATGCTGTCCTGAAGCTAAGTGAAGAAAGTAAATCAAGGAAGAGTGAGCAATCACCCATGGCAAGTGCAGCTGGTGGGCCAGCTAGGACTAGAGATGAGAACTGACCATGGACTTAGCAAGCTGGAGAACAATGGTAACTTTGACAAAGACATTGTCAGTGGAGTGATGAGAAGGTGGTGGTGGGGGCAGACTGGTTGGAGTAGGCATAGGCGAGAGAGGATGGGAGGTGATATGATTTGAATCTGTGTCTCCACCAAATCTCATGTTGAACTGTAATGCCCAGTGTTGGAGGTGGGGCCTGGTGGGAGGCAGTTGGATCGTGGAGGTGGATTTCTCCTGCATGGTTTAGGGCCATCCCCTTGTGCTGTTCTCGTGATAGTGAGTGAGTTCTCATGAGATCTGGTCATTTAAAAGTGTGTGGCTAGGTGCAGTGGCTCATGCCTGTAATCCCAGCACTTTGAGAGGCCAAGGCGGGCGGATCACCTGAGGTCAGGAGTTCAAGACCAGCCTGACCAACATGGTGAAACTCCATCTCTACTAGAAATACAAAATTAGCCAGGCATGGTGGCAGGCGCCTGTAATCTCAGCTACTCGGGAGGCTGAGGCAGGAGAATCGCTTGAACCCGGGAGGCGGAGGTTGCGGTGAGCCGAGAGTGCACCATTGCATTCCAGCCTGGGCAACAAGACTGAAGCTCTATCTCAAAAAAAAAAAAAAAAAAAAAAAAAGTGTATAGCACCCCCACCCCCCTACTAATCTCTGTTGCTCCTGCTCCTGTTATGTGAAACACCTGCTGCCCTTTTGCTTTCCCCCATGATTAGAAACTTTCTGAGGCCTCCCCAGAAGCCAAGCAGATGCCACTATGCTTCCTGTACAGCCTGCAGAACCGTGAGCCAATTCAACCTCTTTTCTTTATAAATTACCCAGTCTGAGTTATTTCTTTATAGCAGTGCCAGAACAGATTGATACAAGCAGAAAGGAATTAGAGACACCACGTGTGGATATCTCTTTGAGGAGTTTTGCTACAAACAAATTTTTTTTCTCCTTGTCTGAGAAATTCAACTAAGCCTATAAAGAGATACATAAAATAGCCCCACCTTTTTTTTTTTAAAGAATAGTTTCAGGCTTACAGAAAACTTATGAAGATTATACAGAGAGTTTCCAAATATCCCTCATCCTATTGTTAACGTTTTACTTTAGTATGACATATTTGTCACGACAAATGAACAAATGTTGAATCATTATTATAACTTAAGTCCAGACTTTATTCATATTTTCATACTTTTAACCTAACATGTTTTTTTTTTGTTTGTTTGTTTTATTTTTGCTTCAGGATCCCCATCCAGGATTCACATTTAGTCACCATGGCTAGTTAAGCTCTTCCGGACTGTAATAATTTCCCACACCTTCCTTGTTTTTGATGACCTTGATGTTTTTGAGGAGTACTAGTCAGGTGTTTTCTAGGATGCCCCTCAACTGGGGTTTGTCTAATATTTTCTTTCTTTCTTTTTTTTTTTGAGGCAGAGTCCTGCTCTGTCACCCAGGCTGGAGTGCAGTGGCATGATCTCAGCTCACTGCAACCTCCGCCTCCCGGGTTCAAGTGATTCTTTTGCTTCAGCCTCTTGAGTAGCTGGGATTACAGGTGTGAGCCACCATGGCCAGCTAATTTTTTTGTGTTTTTAGTAGAGACAGGGTCTCACCATGTTGGCCAGGCAGGTCTCAACTCCTGACCTCAGGTGACCCACCTGCCTCGACCTCCCAAAGTGCTGGGATTACAGGTGTGAGCCACTGCGCCCTGCCATTGTCTAATATTTTCTTATGGTTAGACTGGGGTTATGGGTTTTAGAAGGAAGATCATAGAGGTGAAGTGCCATTGAAAGAAATAACTTTAAACCTTTGACCTGGGTCTTAGCAAGGTTAAGGGGGGCAGTGTTAGGAAAAATGGAAAGTCCAGCAGTGAGTCTTGTCTCATTCCCCTATTTGAAAAGGGGAAAGGCACTAACATGGAAACACCCACCCTGTGGGGGGCATCCTGAGTGGAGTACAGGGTAGGCAGTTCTCAGAGCTCTCTACACCTAAAAAAAAAAAAAAAAAAAAAAAAAAAGACCGGAAGGTGGGAAGGGGAAAAATTGAATTCAGGCTTTTGACGTGTTTGTGCTAAGGGCAGAAAATTTTGGGCTTTTTTGATGGAACTCCTGAGTCTAGGAATTTTTTTTTTTTTTTTTTTTGAGATGGAGTTTCGCTCTTGTTGCCCAGGCTGGAGTGCAATGGCGTGATCTTGACTCACCACAACCTC
The DNA here is from genome assembly GCF_000001405.40 of Homo sapiens. Lineage (NCBI taxonomy): Eukaryota > Metazoa > Chordata > Mammalia > Primates > Hominidae > Homo > Homo sapiens. Next base: position 45,277,177 of record NC_000020.11, on the reverse strand, counting down.
CGCCTCCCGAGTTCAAGTGATTCTCCCGCCTCAGCCTCCCGAGTAGCTGGGATTACAGGCATGCGCCTGCACGCCCAGCTAATTCTTGTATTTTCAGTAGAGACGGGGTTTCTTCACGTTGGTCAGGCTGGTCTCCATCTCCCGACCTCAGGTGATCTGCCCTCCTCGGCCTCCCAAAGTGCTGGGATTACAGGCATGAACCACTGCGCCTGGCCGGGTCTAGGATCGAGTCTTCAACTTTTCTTATTCCCAAACTTGATCTTAGCAGCTTCATCAGAGATGCTGATGTTCTAGGAATGGAGTGCATCAACCAAATACAGAGAAGACTCAAGCCTACACAGGAGCTTGTGGTTTATAACACAGTGGGAACATACACGGCATCATTTGATCTTCACGACCCTCTCCAGATAGAGGCATTATTGTCTCCGTTTTGCAGATAACTTAAAGGGAGGTTGAAAGAGGAAGCAGTGACTTGCTGAGGAACACATAACTAGCAAGTGACAAAGCAGGGCCGAGAATCAAGGTCAGCTGAAATCAAGCCCAGAGTTCTTGCCACTCCTGGAGAGAGTCTGGAACATAACCTAATAATTTATTCCATGGAGTATCTACCTGGCCACTGTTCTTAACACTCAAGTATGCGGTCTGGAGCCTGTCCCCTGTCCTTCCCTCTATTATGGTACATGGAAAACCCAGTTAGTCACTGAAAATGTTGCTGAGTCTCTTTCAGACATGCAGATGGGACTGCAAATTAGTACAGTTTTCCTGGAAAATAGTCTTGCAATCAACACCAAGGAATTTATAAATATTGGTGTTCACTGACATCATAGTTTTACTTCTGAACATCTGCCCCAAGAAATATGGACCAATGGAAATACATAAAATATAGGAAAAAGTTTTGTGCATGATGAGTGATATTTACGTTAGGGCTTTTATAATAGCAAAAACTAGAAATAACATGAACAGGCAGTAGGGGACTGGCTAAGTACACTGTGGTGGACATTTTTACTGGATGGAATGTCATGTGGATAAGAAAGTGATGTTTAGGAAGGGTTCATAAGAGCATTGGAAAATGCCTGTGAGGAACAGATTTTTTTTTCTAGAATATTTGGATGTAAGAAATGTTTTGTTTGATTTTTTTCTAAATTAAGTTAAATTAAATCTTGTCTTACCCCACCCCACCTACTGGTATGGTATATAAGTCATTTACATCATTGAGCCTCTCTCCCATTTCCATTGGCTCCTACAAGAATCTCAAGGTTTATTAGGACCCTTCAAATCAGAGCAATAGCCTTTTCCTTAGCCCTTGATTGTCAGTACTGTCTACCATTGTTCTTTGACACACAACGCCACTGTCGAGTGTGGCTCTCCATGATTTGCTTCAGGAAGGCTACAGGCAGCGCCTCTTCCAGCAGTCCTCTCCTTTGACCATGGAAGTGGCCACAGAAACTCTTACTTTTTCCTCAAGTCTGAAATATCTCTTAGACTGTGACATAGGAACACATCCCTACACCTCAGTTTTCTTATTTGTATAACGAGACCATAAAACTAACTAATTCATAAAATTTACTGTGAGAGTTAAATGAGAGATAGCATGTGGAATTGGACCTCAGCTCACTCTGACGACAGAGTCTTATCTTCTTTTTGTACCTGGGGCAGACAGCCAGTTGGATGGCCTCAGGAGCTGTTATTTTTTCAGGCTGCCATTGATTTTTAGATTTAAAACTTCTGCACTTCAAAAAAAAAACTATTAAGCAAATGAAAGTCAGTCACTAGGACTTGGAGAAAATATTCACAATACATGTACCTGACAACGGATGATTACATTGTGCAAAGGATATGTGTATATTAACAGAATATAGATATATAAAGAGCACCTATGACTCAGTCACACGAAGACAAAAAACAAAAAAGGGCCAAAGACTTAAATAGCTATTTCACAAAAGAAGATACATGAATGGTCATTATCGGCACATGAAAAGATGCTTAACATTGTTAATTACCAGAAAATGCAAATGTAATCCACAATGAGATATTACTTTGTATCCACTAAAGTGGCTAAGACAAAATGGACTGACAATATTAAGTGATGGTGAGGATGTGAAGCAACTAGAATTCATATGCATTGCTGCTGGAAATTCAAAATGGTACAACCACTTTGGAAAATTTTGGTAGTTTATGATGAAGTTAAATATACATCTACCCTATGACTTGCAATTTTACTCCTAGGCATTTACTCAAGAAAAATGAAAGCATATGTCCATATAAAGATTTGAAAAGAATATTTAAAAATGCTCTATTCATAATAGCCCCAAACTAGAAAAAATCCAAATGCCTGTCAATAGAAGAATGGATAAAAAGATTGTGGATATTCATATAATGGAATATTACTTAGCAATAAAAAGGAACAGGTTGTCAACACAGGCAACAACGTGGATGAATCTCAAAAACATTATGTTTAACCAAAAAAACTAGACAAAAGATTACATACAATATAATTCCATATATCTGACATTCTAGAACACGCAAAACTAATCAATAGTGAAAGAAAGCAGATCAGTGGCTGCCTAGGGCAGGGATTTATTCCCTAGCGGGTAGCAAAGTTGATTATAAAGGAACACAAAGAAAATATTCCGGAGTGATGGAAATATTCTGTATCTTGCTGGGGCAGTGGTTACATGTGTGTATACATTTATTAAAACACATCAACTAGTACATTTGAAACCTGTGCATTTTATTAAATGTAAATTATATGTATGATAGAACTAAAAATGATTCATGCTTTAAGGTTTAATAGTTTAGAGAATCCCCCTCTGGTCCCAGGCCTCTCTTGTGGATAGTGTTCAGCTCTGGTTGACAGACACTTAATCTCCAATGTTCTTTTTTTCAAGGTCTTGTCAGAGCTCCAAACTTCAATTCCTCATGACAGATTGCAGCTTCCTTCATTAGCAATTTGATAAATGGGATGCCTTCCTCTAAGCCCTTGAGAGATTGCCAGAAATGCCCCGGTATGTCTCTGATAAAAATCATTTCTGGGGTGACTGTTGGTGGAAGTCATTCAAGCTCTCCCATTATCAGTCTATTTCCCTATCTTTTAACACAAACCTTTTCTGCCTTTGCCTCAGATTCCAGGTCTCATCTTCCCTGAGACCTCAAGCTCCCCTCTGTAGGGATTTCATCACTGAGGAGAAGCACCCTCTTACCAGCCTACATAGAATTTTATTCTGGGAAATCATTGGGGGCGGGGGGACATTTAACAAGTACAAGTCAGGAATGGTTTAGGTGGGAAAACCCCAGCTGGGGAATGGTTGGACCACACAGTTGTCATCTGTGTAGGAGATGTTGCAGTCCCATCTGTCATCTGTCACCCATTGATTATCAGGGAGGATTTGAATGATCTGATCTTTCCTTATTTTTCCTAATTTCCCAATCTTTTTCTTTGTCATCCAGCTTAGCAGAGTTTTTTTTTCACTGTGGCCAACACTACCATGAGGGCATCTGGCCACCAACCCAGTTGCCTGACCCCAGACTGGGGGTGATATGCCAGTGCCTTTATCCCAGCTTGGTATAAGTTCGCATTTTTAAAGGACCTTTTCTAATTAAGAACAAAGAAAACCATAAATGTCCAGACACGGTTTAGGGGCCCCAGGGATGGGCAAAGTTGGAGAGTGAAGTGGCTTCTTTCTGAATGCATTCACTTGTTCATTCCACAAGTTATTTTCTGCATCTGATGTTTATTGAGCACTGACTATGTGTCAGGTCCTATGCCTTGCATCTAAGACAAAGATATGAACCAAACACAAAGGTTCCTACATTCATAGAGCTAGCATCCCTAGTTATTGAGTACTGGGTATGTGTTATTTTGCTATGAATACAGAGGTGAAAAAGATTGATACAGTCCCTACTCTCAAAGGGCTCTCAGTCCAGTGCAGGAAGATACAGATTAACAGGTAGATGTAATGTAGAAAAAAGGAGAAGGTTGGGGAACATCAGAGGAGCATCCAACAGACAAGGAAATCAGAATTTAAGTGATAGAGGCATGAACTAGACTTCCAGCAATGGGTCTTAATCTTTTTGGGATCTAAGCCATTTTGAGAAGCTGATGAACTCACACCTCTGAAAAATGCACATGACAGTGGCATATCATTTCCTGGGATTTATGGATCCCAGAAGGGATCTAAGGACCTCAGATAAAGAAGCCCTGACAGAGAAATAAGGCCTCAGAGTGGAATCGGGACAGCCAGAATGGCCCCATCTAAGAAAGAAACCCCTGCCCTTCCCAAAGAAACCTGCTTGGAGGTGGGAGCTGGCTAAGGGTTCACCTCTACTGGGGCTGGGGGGATGGAGAAAGCATGGCATTTCCTGGAGGCCCAGGAGTGTCAGTGCTAGGAGGGGTCTTCACCTTGACTTAACACAACCCAGCACACTCTTTATACAGATGGGAAAATTAAGGCTTGGGAAGGGCAATACCTTACCCCTCCCAAGCCATTCAAGATTATGCATTGAATCAGAAACAAGTTCCCAAGAATTCTTGTCTCTGAGCTTCCATTCAGAGAGAATGGTGCACAGAGTAGAGGGACTCCAGCCAAAGCTAAAGATAGCAAAGCTAAGGCAGTGGAGAGGGAACTGCAGTCTTAGACAGAGGAGACAGAACCAGGTTGGGCTAGTGGTCAACTAGTCTGAACTAGATCTCCCCAGAGATGAGTGTCTGAAGTGACAGAAGAGACTGACATCCCCTCTGAGATCCAACCTGGCAGGAAGGACATTGTAATGATAATAATAATAACCACTCTTTTAGACTTACTGCAAGCCAGACACTGAGCTGGGTGCTTGATGATTGTTCTGCCATTTACTTGTCCCAGTAACCCTAGGAATGCATGAATAAGTCTGCTTCACATAGGTTAATGAAAACAGCAGAAGTCTCTTCACTTGCCCAAGATCACACAGGAAACAAATTGTCGAGCTAGTCTTTGAACTCAGGTCATGCTAATCCCACAGTTTACCTCTTAGTCGTAATTGTGTCTATGTGTTTCTTATTCACATTTGTATTCCCAGTAGGCATTTGTGAGGGATTGAATGAGTAAACAAGAGTTAGGAAGAAGTATTGGATGCTGGCTGGAGAAGGCTCAGTTGGATTCGAGAAGCCAGATTGAGTCAAGAGGCATGTGGCAGCAGGGAACAGGCCCCAGGGAGTGCCCATGGGGGTAACTCTACCTGGCAGGTGACTTGAGCAGGGCTCCTCCTCTCAAGTCTCAGTTTTCTTCTGCTGAGAAATGGTTGATTTGGCCTAGATGATCTTCGAGACGCCTTCCAGTGCTAACACACTATGGTTTTGGGATTTAGAACCAAGAACCAGGTCAGGATGGCTCTGAGCTACTAATATAAAACCTGATTCTGACCCAGAGGGTACTTGGGGACTAGACGGAGGTGACCACAAAATTGTAGGTGGACCAGGAAGACTGGGCACAGAGAAGGGAAACAAAAACCTTCCATTAGGTAAGTCTGCCAACAAAAATAGGAAAGTATATGCATAAAAATAATGCTGGGAAAGCAAGCTATTTCAGACAGTTGACAAAACCAAGGGATAACCTTTTCCTGAGTTAGAGCTAATTTTGGTTAATTTAATACAAGCCACAAGGCTGAAGTTTTAGAAAACCAAGATACCTAGAAACCAATCAAATGGTTTTTCTGTTGCCCTAAAGTCTGTTTCCAAAACACTATTCAGCCATCACCACATTGATTCCAGTCCTAGTAATAGTAGGATAGTAATGGTGGGAAGGAGCATAGAAGGTTTTTATCATAACTTTATTTATTTATTTTGAGACAGAGTCTTGCTCTGTTGCCCAAAGTGCAGTGGTTTTGCCAGGATGATCTTGAACTCCTGGACTCAAGCAATCTGCCTGCCTTAGCCTCCCAAAGTGCTGGGATTACAGGCATGAGCCACCCCACCCAGCTATAATTTTATTTTTAAGAAAGGAAGTGTTCTTTTGTCTTTCCCGATCTCTCTTGATGCACAAATGATTGGCTGTAGTAAAACCTATGTTAATTCCACTGCTTCCCTTGAGGCAGGTTCCATAGGCACGTCCTACCGTGCTTTGAAACTAAACAAAACAGCCAGCTGGCACAATGTTTCCATAGAGAGAAACTTCTCACAGGTACTTTGTAATCACTTCATGTCCTGTTTGTTGCAACACATAAATTTTGTTTCTGAGAAATGTACACCAATCTTGGTATAACTTGCTTAATTGTGATACTCAATTTAATTTCACTTTTAAACCAATACTGAGAAAAATAGTTGTTAGTGTTGGGAGGTTCCAGGATTATAAAAGGCATTTTGATTAGGGACCTCTTGAAACAGCAACAAACTTAACAATTGTCACTCGAGACAAAATGTAAGTAACAGCCTAATCCCCAAAATCACCTTGAAATAAGAATTTTAAGACTTTTAGGGGGATAAAAGGAATAAGATCCATAAAAAGAGAAGAGGTTCCATAAACATCCATCCACCCATGTTTTCTTAACATCCATAAAAGACATTAGGAAATAAAACCAGGTAGATATGAATCAAGAACAGATGGATATGGAAAAAATAAGAGTGTGTAAACGCACCCAATTCAAGTTTTAGAATGAGGGAAAAGAGAGAGGAGGATATTTAGAGAAGTAATAGGAGATAAAAATTTTTATTTGTATTTGTATTTTTGAGGTGGGGTCTCACTCTGTCACCCAGGCTGGAGTGCAGCGGCACAATCTTGGCTCACTGTGACCTCCACCTCCTGGGCTCAGGTGACCCTCTCACCTCAGCCTCTGGAGTAGCTGGGACTACAGGTGCACACTACCACGCTCGGCTACTTTTTGTATCTTTTGTAGACACGGGATTTTACTATGTCACCCAGGCTAGTCTTGAACTCCTGGACTCAAGCAATCCACTCATCTTGGCCTCCCAGAGGGCTGGGATTACAGGCATGAGCCACAGTGCCCAGCCAAAAATTTTTTTAGAATTAAAAATGTGAGCGATCACCTCAAAAGCATACATGAAATATGGAGCATAATGAATTAATTAACATCTATACAACAAGATACTTGGCTTTGGTTACAAGTCCATGGAAGCAAATAGACCAGAAGCTGACTAACATTACGGGTTGTATTGCCAGGGAAAGTTCAACACTGGCCAACAGGGTGGTTGCTTGTTCCTGAAGGCAATTCTCAGGCTTGATTGCATCCACTGGAAGTGGTGGGGCAGAATCCTAGGGACAGGGATGACATATGGTCTTGCTCTCTCTTGTTATGCCGAAGGTCTGGAAGTACCAGAGGCCAGTATGTGATGCCCAAACCCCCAAACAACTGTGAGAAGAAAGGCCAGTGCTAAGATGAATTCTAGTACTGTAAGGGCATGTATGGAAAAGCATGTATTCACATCGTGAAAAATCCAGGAGAGGCTGACTTCATGTAACTCACTTATGACCACAACTGCTGGTGCCCTGGGCCATTAATAAGAGGTCACCTGCTTATTTATCCCTTTGAGGGAGTAGCTGCCTGGCACTGCTATCTTCAACACTGTTTTTTTTCCCATCATCTCAACAATTTTGTTCAAGGAGATGTGGTCCAAAATTTAAAATTCAAATTCAATCTTATCTGCTACCGTGACATCTGATAAAATCACGAGGGACCTGGAATTTACTAATCTCAAGTTTCCCTCTTTACTGTATTCCCATGGTAAAAGTCTCATAGCTAAACAACCTCTTTATTAAGGGACCAGCTACAGGTCCTGCTTACTCCTGATGAATGGGTTTCAGTTTCCTGACAGCCTGCAGAATTATTCAAGCAAGCCAGTCATACCCTCCTGTGGGAGGCAGAGAACATCTCACCCTCATAACACTATAAACCTTGCCTCTCACAGCCCCCGGTGGCACACGGGGCTCCCAAGTGCAATCTCCCTGTGGCCCTGGGTGGCATGCAGTGTCCTTGTCCCCAGGCTGGGATGTGAAAAATAAACAGCTATGGATCTCATCTGTTCAGCAATGGGTGTCATGTGGTTGGCCATCCTTATAACCCTAGGTCAGAAATTCCTCCTTCACCAATGGGGTGAAGAGGAGTCAGCTAAAACCGGGGAACACAGGATCTCCCTAAGAATTCCTTTTACCCCAGCCCCACTGATTGGTGTCCCAAGAGTTCAGGTTACTTGAGGTTGGGAGCAGAAGGCCACATCCTAAGATTCTTGAGTTCGAACCTCAGCTCTGGCATCAACTAGCTGATTGACCTCAGGCAAACTCCTGTATCTCTCTTATCTTCTATATTGGTTAAGCATCAGTTACAAAACCAGGAACTACTCTAGCTAGTTTAAACAGAAAGTTTATTATTAGGATTAGATGTCCTACAAAATCACTTGGAGGGCTGAAGGAGAAGCCGGTACACTGAGTATCAGGAAAATTTCCTCCCCCTGAGTCATGGTGCCTTGGCTACAATTCAGGAAGCTCCCGGCTGGAGAACCATTCTGCTTCTGCCATGGTCTGTACCAGCAGAATATATGTCCTACACTCTGCTTTCCTCTAACTTAGCCTTGGTTCAACCCTTGTGAGAGTGCATCTGACTGGTGAAACATAAATGACAGCCGACCCTACCTTCAGGGGGTCTGGAGAATGTAGCTTTTAACATTGTAGCCTCTGCACTATAGAGAGATACATAAAAAATGGTTGAAATGGATGTGGATTGCATCAGTCTGTAGATTCTGCCATAGTCTCTTCTCTTCATTTAAAAAATGGTTTGTTAGGATCTCCCAGGTTTGCGGGATCTCTGGGTGGGTTGGGAATGGGCATGAGATGGCTGACGAGTCAAGCCTAGACTAGTATAGTCAGAGTCTCTCTAGAGATTATCTAAGTGTTTTCCCACCCTGTTAGACTCAATATATTTATTTATTTATCTGTTTACTTTTAAGAGACAGAGTCTTACTCTGTTGCCCATGCTGAAGTGCAATGGTGCAGTCATAGCTCCCTGTAACCTTGAACTCCTCGGTTGAAGGGGGTCTCCTGCCTCAGCCTCTCAAGTAGCTAGGACTACAGGTGCATATAATCACACCTGACTTTCCTTTCCTTTCCTTTCCTTTCCTTTCCTTTCCTTTCCTTTCCTTTCCTTTCCTTTCCTTTCCTTTCCTTTCCTTTCCCTTTCTTTCTCTCTTTCTTTCTTTCTTTCTTTCTCTCTTTCTTTCTTTCTTTCTTTCTTTCTTTCTTTCTTTCTTTCTTTCTTTCTTTCTTTCTCTTTCTTTCTTTTTCTCTTTCTTTCTTTCTTTCTTTTTTCTCTTTCTTTCTTTCCCTCCCTCCCTCCCTTCCTTCCTTCTTTCCTTCCATCCTTTCTTTCTTTTTCTTTTTTTCTTTTTGAGATGAGGTCTCATAGGCTGGTTCAAGACCAGCCTATGTTACTCCTAGCCTCAAGTGATTCTCCCGCCTCGGTCTCCCAAAGCATTGGGATTACAGGCATGAGCCACTGTACCTGGCCCATGGTCTAGGACATGGGGGATGATGGGAGGAAAGGAGAGAAGTGAGAGAGGTGGTGGGATTTGTGGCCTTGCTCTCAGCATGTGGAGTGGAAAGAATAGTGGATTTTGAGTGAGACAGATCATATCTTAAATCATAATTGTGTGAGTTATGTCCAAATTGCTCGGGAATTCATCCTTCTGAGCGTCAATTTTACCATGTATGTATGGGGTTAATATTAATTCCTTTTTTGTATGGTGGTGAGGAATAAAGGCATTGTTTGTGAGAGAAGTGCACAGTGACATCGGTCAACAACTAGTAGATATTTATTTTCCTTTAGGATCAGCTCCAGGTTCCTTGTGGCACCAATCCTCACTCCACCTCCTATTGAGAATGTTGCTGTTGTTGGTCAGGTTTAGCACTTTCTTTGGGGCACTATTCAGAAATCACACACACATGAGTGTGATCCTCTTTGATTTCATTTATCAGGAGTTGTAACACAGGTCTGAAATGAATTGCTTCAGTGGTTACCAGGCATGACCAGTTTCCTCTCCTCTCTTTGTCCTTTCTGGTTCCAGGAAGAAATTTGAAACCTGAACAAACCTCTAATCATTAAAGAATTTAAAATGGTAATTAAATTTCTCCTTTTATAAAAGAAAACAAGTTAAGAGGTTTTCACTTGGTAATTAAATCTCTTCTTTTAAAATGGGAAATAATATGAAATGTATTCATTTTTTACCAAACCTACAAGAAAGACAATTTCTATCCCAAATGATTTCAGAGACTAAAAGAAGGGAAAGCACGGATGGAAACTTTTGTGGTGCTTATCTTTGATATTGTGTGTTTATATCATAATCAGAGTTTAAGAAACTAGACTCTTTTTTCTTATGAGAATACATGGGAAAATCCAAAATGTTGGGATTTTTTGTCAGTGTTGAATTTTTTGAAGTTGATAACTGTACTGTGGTTATATAAAGGTGTCCTTATTCATAGCGAATACACACTGAAGTATTCATGGACAGAGGAGCATAATGTATACAACTTATTCTCAATGGTTGGAATAAAACATTCTATTCTCTCACACACACAAAAGAGAAAGAATGATAAAACAAATGTGGCAAAATGTTAATATTTAGTGAATCTGGGTGAAGGGAATATGGTAGTTCTTTGTACTGTTCTTCCCATTTTTTTCCATACATTTGAAATATTTCAAAGTGACAAGTATAATACATGCTAGGACATTTATTATAATAGTAGGGTATCCCTATAATAAATATAATAAATAAATAAATAAACAGATATGCAAAGATAGTTCAAGAACAGAAAATCTATCAAGGGGATTAAGCAAATTAAAAGTTTAAAGATGACCCAAATGAGTCTCTAAATAGTTTCATAAAAATCATTCTATATTGTATTCTACATTCATGTGTAATAAAAATAGAAACACCCTAGACCAGGAACAAAAGTGAACATAACTAATCTGGTAAAAGGTATTTACCAACAGTCGCAGCAAATATACTCAGTGATGACACTTTAGAAATGGCATCCTTAAAGACAGGTACAAGGGCAGAATTTCTCCCATCTCCATTTTCAGTCAATCTCATATTAGTGATCTTAGGCCAATGCAATAAAATTGGACATAAAAATAAAGAGGTATAAGGATTGGAAAGGGAGAGATAAAATTGTGAGTGTTTACAAATGATATGATTGTCTCAGGATGAAATCCAAGAGAATCAATGGGTAAACTATTCACAACAGCCATAAAATTTATGATTACCTGGAAAAATTATATGATGAAAATAAAATTTTATTAAAAGACTTGAAGAGGCCTTGAATAAATAGAGTGAGACTTATTTTTTTATACTTGGGAAGACTTACTATGGTAAATATTTTGGCTCTTCCAGGTAATTTATAGCATGGATGCAATCATAATAAAAATTCAACAGAGTTTTTAAGGACCTTGTCAAATTGACCCTAAAGTTTACATGGTAGAGTAAAAGCACAGGGATAGCCAAAACAATTCTAAACAAGCAAAACAGAAAAGACTTCTACTGCGAAGCACCAGGTTATAAAAAATATAGATGCAAATTAAAGGAGTATGGTATTGGTCTGGGAGTGAACAAATTGAGTAAGAAAACCTAGTAGAGTGCATCCATCCACATATGAAAACTGGTACAAAATTAATACAGTTTTATGATCAAAAGGGGGATCAATGATATAGGGAACAATTGGCATTCCATATTGGAAAAAAAATCAAACAAAGTCTCTACTTAAACCTTTCACAAAAATAAATTCCAGATGGATTAACGACTTAAATGTGGAAAATACAACTTTAAAAATGTGTTTATAAAATTGGAGATTGTCCTATTTTTAATCAAGATGACACCAGAGACAGTTTATGCTAACTGATGCTTCTATCTGGAGCTCACGCACCATCTGTACAGCAGGCACATCAGTTGCATGAACTGAAGAGTTGACCCTCAGTGGTTCTCTCTCCTTACCCCAGCTTTGGGCACAGGGAATCATGGCTGCTCTTCAGGCCTGGGTAAGAAGCATTATTCCTTAGACAGCCCCTATCAAATTCACCCAAAGCATTCCTTCCTCCTGTCACCTTGTATAGGAGGCCGACTCTGAGCCTTATTTTTCCTGTTTGTAAAATTGGATACTGTACTACCTGCTTTATTCATTGTTATAGGTTTAAATGTGAAAAAGCATGCAAAGCCTTTAGCACAGTGTCCAGCATAAAAAAGATGCTCAGTAATTATTAGCCACAAGTATCAGAATTATCAAAGGGAACATATTTATTAAGTGGGAAAGACAGGATTTAAAAGCTGGTCAGTCTGATTCCAAAGTCTGTGATCTTTTAATGAATGTCACTGAGATCAAGCGAAAGGATATAGGATAATTTGGGAGATGTTAGTCCAGGCTGTGGAATTGGGGGTCTGCATCCTCCTTGTTCTAGAGTTTGATAGGTCATTTTTCTTTCTCCTCTTGGCCTCCCCTGTAGGTTCCAGCATTGCTGACAATTGCCTAATTTCCAATACTCATTCTTTCTCCCAACACTTTAAAATTGTAAAACAAAACATGCATTAGGAAAAGCACATAAAATAAGAGTAAGATTTAATGAACAATTACAAAGCAAACACATGTTCAACCGCCACAGAGGCCATGTTCTTTTTTTAATATGTCTTATCAAGGCCCACAACTTCCTTAGTGACAAGTCATGGCTTCTTTTTTGTTGGTCCTTGAGTAAATGGATGTCTCCCTTTGGGGAGATATGCCAGCCCGTGGGGGAAAAATGTGAGAAACATCTTGGTCTTCAATCCGACACTGTCACAAATCATTTCTTGGGAGGGGAGGTTTCGAATGCTCCTGCCACCACTGAATTTTCTTGGCTTCTACTTCTGGTTCAGACATTTGCTGCTGTTGCCCCAGATCCCAGCTCTCCCCATCCATGAGTTCTCTAACTCTTCTTTGTACTGTTTTTTTCTGAGGGCAACCACCTTTCTCAGTCTCTCCAGAATTGCTAAGAAGAATCCAACCTGCACAAATGGCAAAATTCGAGCCAAGGGAATTCAAGCCTTCTGGTAAAAGAAGGAGGTGGACACCCAGCCTCTCCCTTGAAGTGCATTGCTGCTCTTAGACCAACAGGGATGACTGGACATGCTGCCCCTCCCATGTTTTTATTCCTTTCTCAGCTTCTCCTTGCCCTGTCTCCACAAGTGATTTTTTTTCTTTTAAATTTTTATTTTTTTCTTTTATTTTTCTTTAGAGATGGGGTCTCGCTATTTTGCCCAGGCTGGTCTTGAAATACTGGGCTCAAACGATCCTCCCACCTTGGCCTCCCAAAGTGCTAGGATTACAGACACCAGAATAGAGATATAATTGCCTCCATTTTCTATGGGAAAATCTTAAGGCACACTCTAGGTTTGCAAATCATGCTAATTCCTTTCCAGCATGCACCAATTTATAACTTGTATGTCTTATTTTGTAGGGGATGACCTTGGTTAGCTGTCTAATTGAGGAAGACCTTAAACATAAATGCACATAGAGGCATTGCTGATTGATAATTTGATTTATGTTCATGGGAGGAAAAACAACATCAAACAAGAGAGCTATGGTTAGGTGCTTATTGTTTATTGATGCTAAGTCTCTTTCTATGTCTTTTAAAACAAGCAATGAGGCTGAATTTTCAGAGAATGCAGATACCTAACAATTGGCCTAAGGGTTGTCCTGCCTAATTTGGTAAAAAAGTGGCAGACAACTGTACATTATTTAGATTTACCAGATGAACATATAAAAAAAACCAAGTAGAAATACTGGAAATAAATGATTATTGAAATAAAAATTCATTACTTACTAGATAGAACTAGCATTCGACCCAGCAATCTCATTACTGGATATATACCCAAACGAATAGAAATTGTTCTACCATGAAGACACATGCGTGCATATATTCATTGCAGCAGTATTCAAAATAGCAAAGACATGGAATTAATCTAGATGCCCATCAATGGTGGACTGGATAAAGAAACTGTGATACATAAACACCATGGAATACTATGCAGGCATAAGAAAGAATGAAATAATGTCCTTTGTAGCAACATGGATGGAGCCGGAGGCCATTATCCTAAGTGAATTAAAGCAGCAACAGAAAAACCAAAAACAGAGTATCACATCATCTCACTTATAAGTGTGAGCTAAACACTGAATACACGTGGACACAAAGAAGAGAACAATAGGCATTGGGGCTTACTTGAGAGTGAAGGGTTCGAGGAGGGTTAGGACTGAAAGAGTACCTATTGGGTATTACCTGGGTGACAAAGTTATCTGTACATCAAATATTAACATGCAATTTACCCATGTTAACAAGCTGCACATGTACCCTTGAACCTAAAATAAAAGTTGGAAAAACATTGGATAAAGTAGAGTTTAGACTGGATGCAGCTGAAAGAAAACTTGGTGAATTTTTAGCCAGTACTGAGAAATTCACCCAGAGCCCAGCACAGAGAGATGAAGAGAAAAATATAAGAGAAAGGCAAAACAACGATAATAAAAATAGAAGGTCTAGTAAATATCCGGTGGAAGTTCCAGAAAGAGACTGGAGAGAATGGCACAGAAGTAATATTCAAAGAGATAAAGAAAGGACTTTTTCTTTTAGGATTAAATTAAGACATGCATCTTCAGACTAAAAGTGCATATTTGGAGTAAAGCAGAATAAATAAAAGGCAAACATGACTCGGCGAGATTTCTGACAATAGTTACTAGTTCATGCTTTTATATGAAGCAAATGGACCAGGAGCCAACTAAACATGAAAACCAAGCCTCATAATGGCCACTGATTGTTCATGTCGATCCCCACATCCTGCTGCACCTATATAAAGTGAATTCTTGAAAAGGTGCAGATGCCCTTCCTTCCCCAACAAAAGGGCATCCTCTGCAATACTCCTCCAAGATGTAGCCATGGAAGGTGACAGGCAAAGGAGAGGCTCCCAGACAGCAGAACTGGATTCTTCAGATTTATTGAGTAAGGAAATCACTCCAACATTAGGTAGGAAGTCCTCACATCCCTGTCTTACAGGATGTACAATCCGTATTACGGGCCAGTGACAATTTGTATATATCTTCCTATATTTCCCTTTTGCAAATAGGACTTTTTATTGCAGTCATTCCGCCCTCAATCTACCATTCTATATTGGGTGCATTTGAAGTGGTTAAATTTACTTAAGCTTATTAAACTTAATCTGTGAAGACTATAAATTTAACTGACAGAACTGCTTTCACCCACATTGCAGAACTGGAGATGAATATAGTACCCAGAGAGACATTTTGTTGTCTTTCTTTGGGAGAGAGGTTGAGTGCATTTTATGTAGATGTTGGTTTAGAAAGTATTTGAAAAAATTTAGTTATGTAGATTTCAGTAACCAAAAGGGGTATACTTTAGAGAACACTCACTGCTATTTTTACCACTGAGCATCCTTTCACCCTTCTGCTGGTAGCTATATCCTAATTTACCCCAGGAGAATCATTCCCTCTCCCACTCTGAAAATTCCACTGGATTTGGGGATGAGTACACATGGTGATGAGTATTGTGGCCTTGGCTTAAACCAATCGGTACATCCCAGTTCCCTGGTCCCAATCATTGGTTTAAAGATTTAATTCTAGCCACTCCTAGTTAGTTGAGTTGCCCAGAAAAAGCCCTTACTAGACATGAATTTGGGAAGATGGGAGGAGATGCCACAGCCATATTATAAATGCTAAGAGGGAGCCTGACTAAGAATGAAGCCAACATGAAGAGAAGTGCCGTGGAGAGAATCTTGTGGGAGCTATAGTTTGAGCCCTTGCTCAAATTGCACCTGAAAATAGCACCTATTCTCCTTGGTTTATTCAGCACTCTCACTTCTTGCATCTTTAAGATCATTTTTTAACTTTCCGCCGAAGGATTATCTGGACAGTGCTACTATCCCAGGCATCTCCAACTCTGGGTTTAGGACTAAAGAAGTCTTGGAGGGACCATAATGAAGCAGTATGTGGCTGAATTCTGAAGACTTGGGTTTGAATCTTACTGTACCTCTGACTTGCTGTGTCATCTTGGGCAAGTGGGCTTACTCTCTGAGGTTCCATTTCCTTTTCTTTAAAATGGGATATAAAAGTGCTTGGTCCACTGTGAAGTTCGGGGTCATGCATGGTGTCTATTCCTAGGCTTTTTATTCAGGAAAGTTGGCTCTCTGGGTCCTGAGAGTCCTCTATAAGGCAAAAACCCAGCTAGAATCTAAGACTTGGGGCCTCTAAAGAGCATCTGTTCCAATGCACTGATCTTACAAATAGGGAAACTGAGGCCCAGAGAAAGGAAGGTTCTACATCAAATTGGACAGAGCTGGGATTCCAGCCCAGTGTCCTGAGTCCAGTATCATCGTCATGCCTCTCTAGCTGACCACAGGGTCCCAGAGGCCAGAAGTGATGCTATCAAGTGTGAGTCTTTCATGGTCTTTCTGGCACTCTGCTCTGTTTGGGCCACAGAGGTGTCCTCATAGTGGTGCTCTCCACTGACCCCAGGCTTAGACACCAAACTCTCCCATAGTAATGATCAACCAGGCATCGTCTGCCATGTCCATCTAAGACCCTACCATCTCCTGATCTGCAACAGGAACGTTTCTCTGAGACTCACTTTTTCTCATCTGTAAACTGACTTGACATTAGTATCTACCAAGTTTTGTGTGACGCTTAAATGTAACAAAACATGCTAAACCAAAGGAGATGGATTCTAGTGATTTGGGGACATCTTTTCCCAAGCTGCTTATAGCTCTGTTCCACAGTTTAATAATCCAGTTTTTCTATTCCCGGTTTTCTTCCATGGGTAGTCATGATGGCAGTTTCTTAATGCCGAGCACTGTTTTTCTTTTTGTTTTACCAGGTCCCTAAAGCATTTCCTCATGACATACCACAGACTTTGTTTCTTTAACCTTAGGTTAACTGGATCCCTTCCTCTAGGGAGACAGACATGCAGTTTTTGAAGGAATAAAGTGCAGAGCCCTGATCTGTACACCAACCATCTCTTGCATGGTAATAAGTATGAAGACACCTGAGATCCACCGTTGTTGGTTAATTTCTCCTGCCAATTCTTTGATGGTGGATGTTTTTCACCCTTGCCCAGATTCTGCTTTACTGCCCTTCACCCATTCACTTGTGGGCCTAAAAGGACAGTTCATATTTCCAGATTTTATTAGGACTATGATGAGCAGTAGGGGAGGAAGTACAAACATTGCAGAATTCAAACTTTCTTGGGTGGGAAAATGATAAGGAGTGGCTAAGCCATCTGTTTCTCTGGAAGGTCTAGGGAGATCCAGTTGCCATGTCCACCACCTGTGGATGACACTTCCAGAGGTGATTTAAATGACCCCACCTCCCTTGCAGTCATCTCTTTCTCATCTACTCTTCCTGTCTCAGCTCGGGGTTTTTTTTTCCCCAATACTCTCCCCACCACACCTACTACATCTCCATACTCCCTGGCTCTGTGTCTCCATTCCCATTTGGTCATTATTGACGTTTTATGTATTTTGTTTAAGACAATATTTTAAGCTAAGTTATAAAGGCAACTATGAAAGTCAGAAAATTGGCTGAGGCTCTTGGGGAGAGCTGATGGCCTCAGAGGAAGCAGGATGAAGCTGTTTCTTAGAGTCACAGTTACCGTCTTGGGACAGGTAGAGGAACTGAGGCCCAGGGAAAGGTAGTTGCTGCCTTATTCACACAGGAATGAGCTGTGAAAACCTGGTTGTCTGCCAGATTCTGAAAGAGTTTTTTGTTCTGTGTTGTTTTTTGGTTTTGAGACTTGGAAACATAGTGAATTTTAGGTAAGAACACAGTGACTTTTAGTTAAGGGTGAAGCTGGCATCTGCTATCAGAATGGGGCGACCCGAAACACATTCTTCCTTAGACCTGAGCAACGGGGCTCCTTCCCTGCACCTCACACTTCAGGTCGCTCTGTGCCTTGGGGCGTCTTCCTCAAAATTGTCTATGTTCCCCTGGAGTGCCTGAAGCCAGCCAGGATCAATGGTGCCATGGGGCAGAGAATCCCAGCTTGGACTGAGAACTGCATGGGTTCTAGTCCAAGGGGGTGCTTCTCACTCTGTACTCCTTCCCCCATTGCTAGAATCTAGGGCAGTCATCCTACCACCTTGGATGGCTCCTGGCAGGAGCCTGTGGCTGCTCCTGTCTCTTCCTCAGGGCTTTCCAGGCCATCTCTGTGCAACTCCAAAGGGGCTTTTCAGTTGATGTCTTTTTTTTTTTCCTCTGATTGACCTATGCTCTCTCGGGTCAGTGTTGAGCCATAATGGATTAGGCAGAGACATTTCTTGTGCAAATGAGATGCTCCTCTCACTTCAACCCTGAGCCCCTCCAGGGCTGGCTACATAATTTACAAGACTCAATGCAAAGTGAAAATGTGGAGCTGCTTGTTCAAAAGCAGGAAAAAAAGTGTTAACGGTACTAAAATTAATTTTTTAACTTTCTTTGGCAGTTTCTCTCTAGATCTGCCATGGTGTTAAAAAAATTATTTACTGTTGCTCCTCCACAAGTATGTGGATACTCACAGGGAGAGTGCAGACTCCCAGAGGTGCGCAGGGTCCCTGTCCCGCTACTTGGTGTGTGCAGGACCCACCAGCTGCCAGGGTCCCCCTGTCACCAGCACCCTGGTAGTCAGGGACAAGCGGCCACACTAACAACATTTGAGACAGTAATTGGAAGCCAGTATTCAGAGAAGGCATAAAGGATGATGCAGCCTCACAAGTAATGATGTAACCAACTTTAATAAATGGCATTGGGAAGTGCAGAGGCAAGCAGGTTCCATCAGCCAGGGTTTTCCAGAGAAACAGAACCAATAGTTGATTATCTGGCTATCTATCTATCTATCTATCTATCTATCTATCTATATCTATCTATCTATCTATATCTATCTGTCAGTTAAGATCTGTCTATCTGTCTGTCTACCTACCTACCAATAGGCCCAATCAGGTCTATTTTGTCAAGAAATAAGACCATGTTTTGTCAAACATTTAATGGGACAGAGCCAGATGGGTCCAGACCCAAGGACTAAGCTATTTAGTTAAAGACTGACAGCTCCCTGTGCGCTTAATGTGTGCAGGGACACGCCGGTAATAAAAACAATGTGTAATGTACTGAGGGGACCAGACAGTTTGCTGAGTGCTTTCCAAATACTCCTCACAACAACTGTACGACTCCAGAGGCAGCAACACTCTCATTTTTCAGTGGAGGTAGCTGAAGTTCAAAGAGGTTCAGTGATTTGCTTCCAACCTGTAAGTCTGACTTTGAAGTTCAGGTTCTTAACAACCATGTGGTGTCGACTCCGTGGGCGTGCTCTTTTCTGTAGCCCTAGGCCTAGTGCAATACCTGACATGTGGTAAGAAATGTTAAACAACTTTTGTGTGAATGGTTTGTATAAATGAATGAAGGAATCTATAGGATTTAGGTAGAAGGCAATAAAGGGTGTGTGAAATAGATTTTTTTTTTTGAGACAGAGTGTCACTCTTGTAGCCCAGTGGCATGACCTCAGCTAACTGCAACTCTGCCTCCCAGGTTGAAGTGATTCTCCTGCTTCAGCCTCCTGAGTATTACAGGCACACACCACCATGCCCGGCTGATTTTTGTATTTTTAGTAGAGATGGGATTTCACCATGTTGGCCAGGCTGGTCTCAAACTCCTGACCTCAAGTGATCCACCCACCTCAGTCTCCCAAAGTTCTGGGATCACAGGAGTGAGCCACCACTCCCAGCCTTGAGATAGATTGAATGAGTCAGTCTCAGGTTAAGATTTGGTTAGGAGTGGAAGTGTCCTCCACCAGACAGGTTCTGGGGATCAGCATGTGAGTAACCTGTTTTAGAAAAGCTCAATCTTGTGTGTGTCGTTAATCCGCTATGCAGCTTTGGGCCTGGATCTTCTTCTAAGGGATTCAGTCTCTTTTATGCAAGCTGTGGGTTTGGTCTAGGGGTTAGCATTTTCTGTAAAGGACCAGACGATAAGTATTTTAGGCTGTGCAGTAAATATTTTAGGTCCCTGTTGCCATTGTAGTGGAAAGATAGCCTTAGACAATACATAAATTAATGGATGTGTGGCTATGTGCCAATAAAACTTTATGAAAACAGGTAACTAGGTGGATTTGGTCCAAGGACTGTAGTTTGCTGATCTAGAAAACCCTTGAAGTCCTCTTTTTAGTCTTAACATTCTATGATGTAAACATTTAGAACCAATTATGTCAAAGATAATAATGATTATATACTATTATCTTCTTATGACACCCATGGAAGACATTGCTAATTGGGCACAGGGCTCTTTTCTGATGAGAAAGGAGCTGGCTCTAATCAGTCAATCACAGATTGAGCAATCAGTCAATCACAGATTTAAAAAAAACTTAAGCTGTAGCATTTTCCTTTTAATTTTTTTTTTTTTTGAGACGGAGTCTCAGTTTGTTGCCTAGGCTAGAATGCAATGGTACAATCTCAGCTCACTGCAACCTCTACCTCCAGGGTTCAAGTGATTCTCCTGCCTCAGCCTCCTGAGTAGCTGGGATTACAGGTGTGTGCCACACTGCCTGGCTAATTTTTGTATTTTTAGTGGAGATAGGGTTTCACCATGTTGGCCAGGCTGCTCTTGAACTCCTGACCTCAAGTGATCCGCCCACCTTGGTTTCCCAAAGTGCTAGGATTACAGGCATAAGCCACCGTGCCCAGCCCCTTTTCATTCTTTAAGAAATAAATATTTAGAAAACTCCAGATAATTTCTTGAGTGTGGCACTGAGGAAAATAGGAACAAACAGAGAGAGAGAGAGAGAGAGAGAACAGGAACTCTGTGAGAGAAATCAAATTATCCCCTGGGTGGTGGAAGTGAGAACAAAAATCTTGACCTGAGAGTGTCATTACCCATTGGTGGAAATCATAGCCTCCATTTCTCTCTTACCTACCCTACTAAGTACTCCAACTAAGAGTGAATGCACCTGGCTCATAGTAGTTACCTTGTGCATATTAATTTTCTTCCTTTTCTTTTTCCACCAAAATTTGACTGATGATTGATTATGTCCAAGTCTTCTGATCCACCAAAATTCAAACCATGGAGTGACTTTTGTATAAAGGGATCTGCTGCCAGTTGCCTGTTTGGTTGTGGAATACTTAAATACTTCATGTGGGGCCATCGCTACTTGATAATGAGTGGGTCTTTCATGTCTGTGGAAAGTTCCACAAACCTTCACCTTAGGAATGAATGGGAGAATTCCAAGCATGAAGATAATGAGTCAAGAGCTTGGAGTTTGTAGCTAGATGAGCTTTGGTTGAATTTTATTTTATTTTATTTTTTTAAGACAGGGTATCGCTCTGTCCCCCAAGCTGGAATGCAGTGGCACAATCATGGCTCACTGCAGCCTCAAACTCCTGGGCTAAAGCGATCCTCCTGGCTCAGCCTCCCAAGTAGCTGGGACTACAGGCATACGTACGTCATCATGCCTGGCTAATTTTTTACATTTTTTTGTAGAGATGGGGTCTCAATATGTGGCCAGGGCTGGTCTCAAACTCCTACTCTCAAGGAATCCATACACCTCAGCCTCCTGGGCAGCTGAGACAGCAAGTGTGCGACCCTACACTCAGCTATGGGCTGAATTTTAGAGATAATGGTCGCTCTCTTTATAATTAGAAGCAACCTATGCAGACTGGGTAGCAAATAGAATGGGTTTAATTTTTTGCTGTCATGTGAGATCTGTAAGGGATTTTGGGGAATTTTAGGAAGCAATCCTCTAAGATCTCAAATTATCTCACAGCTAAATGTAGATTACAGTGACTGATGAGCTGCTTTCCCCCTTTATCTCAGATTCATTTCAATTCTCTTTAGTGGGAAGGGATACTATTCATTTGTTCTTTTCATTCAGAGTCCCTTCATGCCCTTAATTTCATAACCCTCTGAGAAGGGCTGACTTGTTAGTATCATTTCATTTCACAGCTGAGACAACTGAGCTCCAGAGAGATTTGTGGAGAGCGGAGCTCTTCTTCAGCTTTCATTTGTGAGTGCTTTTCCTGTGTCAGGCACAGAACAGGCACTGGGGATATAACGGTGTAAATATTTCAGGGAACTAAGTATCAGTTGGTTGAACGAGCTGAACTTTTGAGAAAGAAACTGCATTGAGTAATCAGCAGAGTTTCACAATGCCTGAGAGTCCAGTAATGTGAGAATCAGAATTAGCAATGTGAGAATAGAATGTATTGCACAAAGTCTCAGCAGGGAGTCTGTGTCTGGTTTTAGTTCCAGGTCCGGGTAGCACCTTTGCAATTGACCACTTCTTCCCTCTCTCCACCTATAAGGCTAATGGCCTGGGATCTTGTGATGTTTAGGGCTCAGATGGACACTGAGATGGCCTCTTTAATCAACCAACTTCCCAGGCCAATCTCTTCCCTTTCTTTTCTGATAGTTGCTGTGTTGGCCTCATAGCCTTACCTGGCATAGGAAAGATAAACAATCTCCTTGGTGTCAGGATTTCTGGTCTCTGGCTACGTTTCCTGCTTATGCAATAGTAGCTGGGAGAGGCCGAAAGAATTCTGGTGGGGCCACACCCACTGGTGAAAGAATAAATAGTGAGGTTTGGCATTGGCCATCAGAGTCACTCCTGCCTTCACCATGAAGTCCAGCGGCCTCTTCCCCTTCCTGGTGCTGCTTGCCCTGGGAACTCTGGCACCTTGGGCTGTGGAAGGCTCTGGAAAGTGTAAGTTGGAGTCACTCTGGTCTAATCTGGGCTGCAGGGTCAGAGGTGGGGTCTCCTTGTGGTGTGGGTGTGTCCCCTTCTGTAGGCTCTGATCCCTCAGCTTAGTTTCGGGAGACCTCCCTGAGGGTGGAATACATGTCTGGCTGAGCTCCAAGGTTTGTGTGACAGTTTGAGCTTCTGGAAATGCTTCCTCTATGCAGCCATGCTGTCAGCCCAGGTCCCACTCTCTCTCTCTCTCTCTCTCTCTCTCTCTCTCTCTCATACTCCGCCTTCTTCTTCACCTGTCTGCGACTCTCAAATCATTAGTTTCTGACTCTGCTTCCTTGTGTCTTTGCTTCTGCTATTTTGTCTCTGTGCTTCTGCCTTGGGCTTTAGCTCTCAACTTCTCTCACACTGGTTCTATTTATCTTTGTTTACCTCTCTCCATCTCCATCACTCCCAGCCTTCCTCTCTGCCTTTGTGTAGCCTTGTTTTGCTCTTGGGTGGGAGGTCTTGACTAGAAGCCTGCTGCCCTTTTCTTGGGTGTGAAACGTCCCCTGTCCATTTGTCTAATTTAATCAAGCCCATCAATACACCTGGAGATCAGGCAGGCATGACCCTTTGGGCTTTGTGGACAGCTACTGAGGTAAGGGTCTCTCCCCCTCAAAAGTGGTGCTTTGTTCAGGAGGCATGATGGGTCCTCAGTACCCAGCCTCCTCCTGACCTCTTGACTTTCTCTTCAAAAGCCTTCAAAGCTGGAGTCTGTCCTCCTAAGAAATCTGCCCAGTGCCTTAGATACAAGAAACCTGAGTGCCAGAGTGACTGGCAGTGTCCAGGGAAGAAGAGATGTTGTCCTGACACTTGTGGCATCAAATGCCTGGATCCTGTTGACACCCCAAACCCAAGTAAGCAGGTCGGGGAACTGGGTAGAGAGGAGTGAGCCTGGGGACACAGCATTAGAGGGATGGAACTGGGTGATGGGTCCTGCCAGGCCTCCTTGTCAATCCGTCAGTGAGTCACACTGCCCTAAGCAGGAAGGTAGCCAGCAGCTGGTGAAGCAGCGGGCATTTAGATAGCCAGGTAGTTGGAAGCCTCCCACCTAGTCAGCACTGGGTGGCTGGCCACCTGCATCAATGGGGGGCCTGAAGTTCTAGGAGAGCCAGGTGCTATGTTTGGGGGCCGCCTTAGGGAGAAGGTGGTGGTGATAGAGGTGGGGAGGGGATGATCCCCCCTGCTGAAGCTGGAGCAGGGGCTCACTCTAAAAAGTGGGGATGGGAGGGGTTGTATAAAGTACAAGGCCTCTGACCGGTAGCCTCACTCTCACCCAGCAAGGAGGAAGCCTGGGAAGTGCCCAGTGACTTATGGCCAATGTTTGATGCTTAACCCCCCCAATTTCTGTGAGATGGATGGCCAGTGCAAGCGTGACTTGAAGTGTTGCATGGGCATGTGTGGGAAATCCTGCGTTTCCCCTGTGAAAGGTAAGCAGGGGATGAGGGCACACTGAGCTCCCTCCAGCCCTCTCAGCCTCAACCCTCTGGAGGCCCAGGCATATGGGCAGGGGGACTCCTGAACCCTACTCCAAGCACAGCCTCTGTCTGACTCCCTTGTCCTTCAAGAGAACTGTTCTCCAGGTCTCAGGGCCAGGATTTCCATAGGATCGCCTGTGGCTTTGATTCTATTCTAGTGTCTCTGGGTGGGGGTCCTGGGCAAGTGTCTTTCTGAGTCTCAGTTTCTTTATCGGTAAAATGTACATAATGAGATTGAAAGTGCTCTGCAAAGCACTATGTGCACTAAGAATTTATTATTCAGGTTGTTTCCATCATGTTTTCTGAGGTGAAATCACAAAGGATCAGTGGAGTTTGAGGATTATCTAGTTCAATGCTTTGAGTTTAGAGTTTTACGGTGAAAATGAGACTTGTCTCCTGACACTAAGTCTCTCTCAACTATAGCGCTATCTTGCTATTTTCTCTATCTCAGAAGGATCCTTGGGCAGGAGGAAGGATGTGGATATGATTTGGCTGGTTTCTATGCTGAAGCTCTTATCTGATTTTCTCTCACAGCTTGATTCCTGCCATATGGAGGAGGCTCTGGAGTCCTGCTCTGTGTGGTCCAGGTCCTTTCCACCCTGAGACTTGGCTCCACCACTGATATCCTCCTTTGGGGAAAGGCTTGGCACACAGCAGGCTTTCAAGAAGTGCCAGTTGATCAATGAATAAATAAACGAGCCTATTTCTCTTTGCACATCCTGCTTCTGTGATTCGTTGGGGGTATGAGTGGGGTGGGAAGCTGTGAGGGAAGATCTAGATATGAGGCCTCCTTCCTATGAATACGTAGTGGGAGGAAGAGGCTTAGGGACTGGGGGAACTTGAATTTATATCATGAGTGTGAAAGTGCTGACTCTGTGATTTGGGACAAGTGATTTTATCTCCTAAATTTCAATGGGATTAGGGATGTACAATAACATGAAGAATCAGAAACCTCAATTTTACTGCCTCTGGCAGGATTGTCAACTGCAGGTGAAAAACTTTCCTGAGACGAGTTTATGCATAAGAGATCCTGCCAACAGTTAAGCTATTTTAATCCAGGGGGTTTTCATCTAAAGCCATACAGAACTGTTGGGGCAGATTCCTGTGTTCACCTCTGTATGTGTTACGATATATATATTGGTTTTCACACTTGATATGTTGTAGGTCTGTCTGTTGTCTAATCCAACCAACACTCTCTGGACACTCAGAAAAATTAAGATTATCTGCAACTCACAGCAAATGGAGTCCTCAAAAAGACTAACCATGTTACGTCAGTGCCCACTCTCGATTATTTTGAAAGACTTGGAATGCCCCAAACCTCACTGGACCATTCTGCTACATACTTTTCTCACCTCCAGCAAGGGTTATTCCAGACTGAGGAACCTAGGCTCGGGCAAATACGCTACTAGGAGTGTGCCCCAAGTAGCACCTTGCAGGGGGAGGAGACCTAGCGTTGAAATGAGATAAACTCCTGGGTTACATACAGAACACATGCTGAAAAAGTGACAGTACTATTTTTTTTCTACTCTTCTTCTCCAATTTTTGGATAATGATAAACTTTTATAATCTTCCTTAGGTCAGGTTTTCTGGAAAACAGTCCCAGAGGCAAATGTTTGTGAACAGGGGGTTTGCTGGGGAGTGTCCTGGGGAGTGACACCTGTGACAGGGAAAAGAAAGCAGGGCTGACAGGCAAAAAAAGCAAAAATAGACAAGTGGGACTACCTCAAACTAAAAAGCTTGCAAAGCTAAAGACACAGCCACCACTACCAGTCTCTGCATCTTGATGGTAGTGGTCCCCTGGGCCCAGCTGCTTTCTCTTTATCTCTTGGTCTTGTGTCTTTTACAATCTCTTGTCTCTGCACACAGGGAGAACACCCACTAAGCCCTGTAGGGCTGTATAGAAATGCTACTGATTTTTGTATGTTGATGCTGTATCCTGCATATTTACTGAATTCATTGATTGGTTCTAAGAGTTTATTTGCAGAGTCTAAAGGTTCTTCTGTAGATATAATTATGTTATCTGCAAAGAGGGATAATTAGACTTCTTTTCCAATTTGAAAGGCTTTTATTTCTTTCTCTTTCCTAATTGCTCTATGACTTCTAATATTAAGTTGAATAAGAGCAGTGAGAGTTGGCATGCTTTTCTTGTTCCAGTTCAGTATGATGTTAGCTGTGGGTTTGTCTATATGGCCTTTATTGGGTTGAGATACTTTTCTTCTATACCTACTTTATTGAGAGTCCTTATCATGAAGGGATATTGAATTTTACCAAATGATTTTTCTGCATCTATTGAGATAATCATATGGACTTTTTGTCCTTCATTCTGTTGATGTGATGTATCACATTTATTTAAAACATTCATAAATGATTTATATATGTTGAAACACATTCTTCATCCCTGGAATAAATCCTACTTGATTATAGTGTATTATCTTTTTAATGTCTTGTTGGGTTCAGTTTGCTAGTATTTTATTGAGGATTTTTGTATCTATGTTCATAAGGAATATTGGCCTGTAGTTTTTTGGTGTGTGTGTGCATGTGTGTGTCCACGTGCCCTTATTTAGTTTTGGTATCAGGGTAATGTTGGACTCATAGAATGAGTTTGGGAGAATTTTCTCCTTTCTCCTCCTTAATTTTTTGGAATAGTTTAAAGAAGAACTGATGTTAACTCTTCTTTAAAAGTTTGGTAGAACTCAGCAGTGAAGTCTTCCATTCCTGGGATTTTGTTGTTGTTGTTAGGAAGCTTTTTATTACTGATTCAGTCTCATTACTCATTATTGAACTGCTCATGGTTTCTAAATTTTTTTCTGGTTCAATCTTTATAGGTTATACATTTCTAAGAATTTATCAGTTTCCTCTAGGTTTTCCAATTTGTTAGCTTATAGTTGCTCATAATAGTATCTAAGAATCCTTTGTATTTCTGTGTCACCAGTGGTAATGTCTGCTTTTTCATTTCTGATTTTATTTGAGTCTTCTCTCTTTTTTTCCCTAGGTGGTCTAGTTTATGGTTTGCCAGTTTTGTGTATCTTTTCAGAAATCCAACTTTTTGTTTTGTTGATCTTTTGTAATTTTTAGTCTCTCTCTTGTGTATTTCTGCTCTGATCTTTATTATTTCTTTCTTTCTACTAATTTTGGGTTTGGCTTGTTTGTGCTTTTCCAGTTCCTTGAGATGCATCATTAGGTTGTTTATTTGAAACCTTTCTAGTTTTTTAATGTAGACATTTATTGCTATAAACTCGCCTCTTAATACTGCTTTTGCTGGGTCTCATAGGTTTTGGTATGTTGTGTTTATATTTTTGATTATTTCAAGGAATTTTGAAATTGTATTCTTAATTTCTTTCTTCACCCATTATCATTCAGGTGCATGTTGTTTAATTTCCATGTATTTGTATACTTTTAAATGTTCCTATTGTTATTGCTTTCTAGTTTTATTCCATTATGGTCAGATAAAATACTTGGTATGATTTTGATTTGTTAAAATTCTTGAGACTTGTTTTGTACCCTATGGCTAACTTTTGACATTGTTACTTGTGCTGATGGAATACGTATTCTGCAGTTATTTGGTGAAATGTGCTGTAAATGTCTGTTAGGTCTGCTTAGTCTATGATGCAGTTTATATCTGATATTTCTTTGTTGATTTTCTGTTAAAATAATCTTTCCAATGCTGACAGTAGGGTGTTGAAGTCCCTAACTATTATTGTATTGGGGTCTATATATTCCTTAATATCTAATAATATTTACTTTATATATCTGGACGCTCCACTGTTGAGTGCATACATATTTACAATTGTTATATTCTTTTACTAAATTAGTCCCTTTATAATTATATAATGCTATTCCTTGTCTCTTTTTTCCAGTTTCTAATTTGAAGTCTGTTTTGTCTGATATAAATATAGCTACTCCTGCTTGCTTTTGATTTGTTTTCATGGAATATTTTTCCTTCTCTTTACTTTCACCCTATGTATGTCTTTACAGGTGAGGTTAGTTTTCACTATATAGTTGGGTCTTGTTTTTTAATCCTTTTAGCCAGTCTATATTTTTAAAATGGGGAATTTAATCTGTTTATATTCAGGGTTATTACTGACAGGTGAGTACTTACTCCTATCATTTGATTGATTGTTTCCTGGTTGTTTTTGTATATCCTTTGCTCTTTACTTCCCTTCTTATTGTTTATTTTTGTGGTTGGGTGGTTTTCTGTAATAATAAGGTTTGATTCCTTTCTCTTTCTTCCTTGTGTTTTGGTTCTATCAGTGAGTTTTATAGTTTCAAATGCTTTCATGATGGTGTCAATTCATGGTGCACCATGGGACTGAAATTTAAGTTTTATAATGAATGCTTTTTTCCTTAATTCCTGCTTTTATGTCTTCATGACTGTGTAAAAACTTCATTAGTTGATGGATTCAAAAGACTAACTTGAAGTCATTTTGGAATGTGAATCTGGGCCAGATAAACCTTCATGTCCTCTCTACACTATTCTAAAAATGGATGTTCCTCCTGCTTGCTTGGTAGCTAAAAACATATCTGACTTCAGCAATAGTAAGAAGTAGATTTATTAATGCACACAGAAGAATTGGGACCTGATGTGGGAGGCAGAGAGATGATGAGGGAAAGCTCTCTGGAGTAGCTGCTCTATTTACCAACACCGACCTTTCTTTCTAGCACAAACTTGGGGCTACCTCCACACGTTGAGTGTTTTCCCTGTGTAAATCTGCTGTTTTCTTCTAACTCTGAATTGGCATGTCCTCACTGAGTTTCAGTCCAAATTTACAAAAACAAAATCCCTCCCAACTGATTTAATATGCCTGCACTCATATTTTCAAGTGCCTGCACTCATATTTAAAGTGTCTGTACTTTAAATATTTAAAGTGTCTGCACTCATATTTTCAAGATGTTTGTTTGCAACCCCACACACTGACCTTTCTGTTTCCAAACTAATTTGATATGCACTGCAATTCTGTGATACCGAAACATGAGAAGGATATTACATGAAAGGAAAACAATTTTCCAGCCTTGCTATAAACATAAAGGCAAAAATCCTAAACAAAACTTTACACAGGGAATTTGGTCATATATAAAAATGATGAAACATCATACACAAGTAAGGTTTTATGTCAACAATTTATGATTGGTGTAACATTTAAAAGTAAATCAATGGGATACTTCTCATTAATGGAGTACAGGGGAAAATGTTATGATTATCTTCGTATTGGCTATAGAATGTGTGAAAGAGTCACTTATCTCTTCATGATAAATGAGAAAATAATGACAGAACATTAGAAGTTCACTTATTTGATGGCAAGCCTATACAAAAACCATACAGCAGAGGGAACTACTTTCACAACGGTGGAGTAAAATCTGCTCCTTCATAAAAGGAGGGAGAATAAGTTTAAGAATCCATTATTCAAAATTCTTAGGACCAGAAATTTTTCAAATTTTGGATATTTTCACATTTTGTAATCTTTGCATATAAATAATGAGATATCTTAGGGATGAGAGGCAAGTGTAAACATTATCTGTGTTTCACATATACCTTATACACATAGGCTGAAGGTAATTTTATGCAATATTTTTACCGGTTTCCTGCATGAAACAAAGTTTGTATACACTGAAACATCAGAAAGAAAGTTGTCCCTATCTCAGCCGCCCATGTGGACAATCTGTGATTGTTTAGTATCACCATTGTATCTGACTCGAATTTATATGCTACCAATAAGCAATCATTTTATTACACTTATTCACCCATAAATATTTAACAATAAAAATACGACATACCATTAATACTGTGAAAATAATGTGTTCAGGGTAACTAAGCAGCACAGTAGCATCACCAAAATACCTGCCCCAGCTGTTAAACAACAGCAAGAAGCAACAGCAGCAGGATTTCAGTCTCCATCTACGATGCTGTGTTTTGATTAAACGATTATTGGTCACTGTATTTTATTTTTGTAGGTGAAAAGAGACATCACAAGCAATTGAGGGACCAGGAAGTGGATCCTCTAGAGATGAGGAGGCATTCTGCTGGATGACTTTTAAAAATGTTTTCTCCAGAGTCATCTCTCTCATTAACAATGTTTTTTGTCTTAGAAATTTCTTGTTGATTTTTAAACTTACATGATTTCTTGTTTTGGTATGAATACAGGCTGCTTCAGTCCTTCAATAAGCCCATCACACTTTTTCACCATGTCATCTATCAGCACTTTTTCTGCAGTGTTACGAACATCAGCTTCATCACTGTCAGCCTGCGTTTTGCCTGCAACCCATCAAATGAGGTCAGGAGAGGAGTTTTCCACTTTTGGCTTCATGTTGGTGCTCAAAACTTTTAGGATTTTGGAGCATTTCAGATTTCAGATTTCTGGGTAGAGATGCTCAACCTGTACTCACATATATTTTCAATATCAACTTTTTTTCCCCAGAATTTTGGAATTCAGCCAAAGGTTTGTCACAATCCAAGGAGTGGCATCATTAAGAATCATCAAGAAAAACAAGAAAACTTTAGCAAGAACAGAAAGTTTAGTGGCAGTATAACTTTTCCATTCCCATCTTTGTGCCCAGCTGTGTGGTAGCCTGAAAGCCACCAGGTTTGCTCCACAGTGGCTGTGAAAACCAGCAGCCCAGCAGCCCCTGCACGGGAGGATTTCCTTTCTGCTTTCGAAAGCTCTGTCCCCGGA
This sequence comes from Homo sapiens, assembly GCF_000001405.40. NCBI lineage: Eukaryota > Metazoa > Chordata > Mammalia > Primates > Hominidae > Homo > Homo sapiens. The sequence goes on along the minus strand of NC_000020.11, from coordinate 45,246,285 downwards.
AAACTGTCACTATTTCATTTGTATGTCAGCTCTCTAAAAAGGCACCCTTTTCATAGCATGTATTTACCTCGTCTAACTCAGAGTGTGCTCTATGTGGACAGTGCTATTTCTGGGGCAATTTTTTGCCATCACAGCTACTTCCGACGGTGAGGCCAATTGGAGCTAACAAGAGGCTGACCAAAAAACAAAAAAGGAAAAGGTAGGAAAGATTTCCAGGTGCTTAAAGAAAATCTCTGTCACATCTGTGGGACTTTAGAATACCACACTCCTGCACAGAATTGTGTGTTTGCCCCAGGGCTGTGTACATGCTAAGGAAAGACCTCAGATGACCCTAATTGTTCACCTCTGGCTGAATTAAAGTCTCTATGTGAACAGGAGGTGAAATACAACATAAAGTTGCAAGTTTCCCAGTGGAATGTTGACAGTGTATCTCAATGGATACACATGCAGCCCCTTGGAAAAGTCCAGGTGATTTATTGGTTTAGTATTTAAGATCATTTCTGTCCAATCATGAGCTGACCTCTAAGCTAATGGAACAGCGTCTTTAGTGGCTACACATGACACACGATACAGACTTTAGCAAATTAGTCCAGGAAAGTTACTAAGGAAGTAATCAACAGCAAAGACTGTGCAAACAAACCCTGGGGAGAGAATCTGATTTCCAAACTGGCCACATTATATTATGTAAAAAGTCCAATTTCATTAAAGAATTACGAGACATGCAAAGAAACAAAAAATATTGCCCATACAGAGAAGGGAAGGGAAACAATGAACAGAGATGATCCTTTAGGAGCTCAGATGATGGATTAGTAGACAAAGACATCAGCTATTATAAATACACTGAAATAACTAAAGGAAACTCTGGACAAAAGACTAAAGGAATGTATGAGAATAATGTCTTACAACATAGAAAGAATTAAAGATAAGTAATGAAGTTGTAAAGTACAACCAATGAAATAGAAATTCAAAACAGGGGTTCACCAGAAGACAGAAACAGAAGAAAGGATCGGCTAACTTAATTACAGGTCATTTGAGATTATACACTCTAAGGAACAATAAAGAAAATAATTAAGAAAAATGAACAGAGCCTCAGAGACCTGAAGAACACAATCTAGTGTAAAAACATATGCATAATGGGAATCTCAGGAGAGAGAAGAAAGAGAAAGGCGCAGAAAGAATATATGAAGATAGAATGACGACGAAAATTTTTATTTTGATTAAAAACATTAATCTCTACATCTAAGAAGCTCAAAGAACACTAAGTAGGAAAATCTCTAAGAGATCCACACCTAGATCGAAATATTAGTGACAAAGGCAAGGAGAAAATTTTGAAAGCAAGGGACAAGCCACTTATCATGAGCAGTTAATAAACTAAACAGTAATTTTTCATTAAAATCATGAAAGCCAGAAGGTAGTGAGAGAACACATTAAAAACGGCAGAAGAAAAACCTATCAACCAAGGATTCTATATCTTGGTATGTCTATTCTTCAGAAGTCAGGGAAAAATTAAGGCATTCCTGGATATACAAAAACTGAAGAGTTCATCACCATCAACCTGACTGCAAGAAATACTGACATGATGATATATATATATACACGCATATATATGTATATATATATACACGCATATATATGTATATATATATACACGCATATATATGTATATATATATATACACGCATATATATGTATATATATACACGCATATATGTACATGTATATATATATATATACACACATACATACACAGAAAATCCTTAAGAATCCCTCAAAATATTATTAGAGCTAATAAATGACCTCAGCAAGGTTCAGGACATAATGTCAAAATACAACACTCTATGGTTTTAAGAATAAAATTTCATTTACAATAGCATAAAAAGAATAGGATAATTAGGGATTCATTTAACCAAAAAATGGAGAAACTTTTATACTGAAAATGGAAAATTATTTTTCAAGGAAATAAAAGAAGACCCCCAAAATAGAAAGCTATACTGTGTTCATGGATTGGAAAACTCGATGTTGCCAAGCTGGTAATTCTTCACAAATTGATCTATAAATTCAATGCAATCCCTAGAAAACTTCAGGTGAATTTTTGTTGAAATAGATCAGTGAATCCCAAAATTTGTATACAAATGCAAGGGACCCAGAATAGCCAAAACAGTCTTAAAAAAAAAGGGCAGAATTGGAGGACTCACATTTTTTTATTTCAACGTGTACTACAAATCTACAATTTCAAGATGTTGTGTTACTAGCATAAGGATAAACACAATATATCAAAGGAATAGAATTGAGAATCCATAAATAAGCCATTACATTTTAAATTGTCTTATTTTCAACAAAGGTACAAAAACTATCCAGTGGGGATAGAGTAGTCTTTTCAACAAATAATGGGGAAAAACTGGATATGCACCTGCAAAAAAATATACATGGACTGTTACATCATATCAAGTACAAAAATGGGCTCCAAATAAAACAAGACCTAAATATATGAACTAAAATTACAAAACTCTTTGAGGAAAACATAAATGTATATCTTCATGATCTGGTAATCAGCATCAATTTCTTAGATATGCTACCAAAAGCACAAGCAACAAAAGGAATAATAGATCCAAAAATAGATTAAAGTTAAAAACTTTGGTGAGTCAAAGGGCACTAATAAGAAATGAAAAGATAACCCACAGACATGGGAGAAAATATTTGCAAATTTTATATCTGATAAGGGCCTAGTATTCAAAATACAAAAAGAACTCCTAAAATCAACCATAAAAGACAAAAACCATGATTAAAAACTGGGCATCAGATTTTAACAGACATTTCTCCAAAAGAAAATGTACAAATGGCCAATAAGCATGTAAAATGATGGGTGATATCATTAGACCTCAGGAAAATGCAAATCAGAACCACAACGAGAAGCCACTTCACATGTACTATGATAGCTATAATCTTAAAAAAAAAAAACCTAAAATAACAAGTGTTAGTGAGGATGTGGAGAATCTGGAACATTCATACATTGCTGGTGGGAACATAAAATGGTACATCCTCTGTGGAAAACAGTCTGGCAGTTCCTTGAAGAGTTAAACATAGAGTTATCATGTGACTCATCAGTTCCACTTTAAGAATTATACTCAAGGTAATTGAAAACATTTTAACACAAAATTTGCACATAAATGTTCATAGTAGGATTAATAATAGTACATACAAACTAGAAACATCCAAATGTTCACCAATGGATAAATGGATAAACAAAATGTGATGTATCCATTCAGTGAAATATTATTCATACATAAAAAGTAAAAAAAAAAAAAAGATCCCACCCTACAACATGGATGAGCTTTGAAAACATAATTCTGCATGAAAGAAGTCAGATGCAATGAGCCACATATTATATACTTTAATTAATATAAAGTGTCCAGAATAAGTCAATTCATAAAAAGCAGGTTAGTGGTTGCCAAGGGAGAAGTAAAGGTAGGAGGAAGGATTGAGTGCCATCAGGTATAGGGGTTCTTCATGGGAGTAATGAAGTTGTTCCGGAATTAACAAGTGGTGAGGGTTGCACAAGCTTATCAAAATACTGAAAACCACTATATTGTACACCTTAAAAGGTGCATGTCATGGTTTGTAAATTGTATCTCAATAAGAAAGTAGCACAAATAATTAACTGAATAACTAAACAAATATAAGTTAAACACACTTGCTTTGATTCCTGGACTGGGAGACTAGATTACCACTTCTGATTCTGTAAGTGAAGTTTGTTGGCATACAACCACATCCATTGGTAAGAATGATCTTTGACTGCCTTTGTCCTATAGTGGTACAGACAAGGAGTTGCAATAAAGATCTTAAGGCATATAAAACTTACAATATTCATTTCCTGGCTCTTTGCTGAAGTTTGTTGACTCCTATGTTAAAGCAATCAAATTTTTAATGAAAAACCTTTCCAAAAAGTACACTGCTGGTCCAGGTGGCTTCACAGGTAAATGCTATTAAACATCTACAAATTATACATTCTACAAAAATGTTTTAAGACAAGAGAAGCAGAGAAAACACTTCCCAACTTCTTTTATGAGCCTAAGATAACTGTGATACTAAAACCTGGGAAGAACATTATAAAAAAGTTTACTTACAGTCTAACATCCTTCATAGACATAGGCATAAAAATCTCTAACCAAGTAGTCATAAACTCAGTCCAAAAATATGTTAAATAGATTATACATTAAGGTCAAATGAGACACACATTCAGGATATGTTTTGTATTAAAATTAGTCAGTGTAATTCACTATATGATCATCTCAACAGAGAAAGTATTTGACAAATCCAAAACCCATTTATTATAAAACTTCTCCACCTGCAAGGAAGAGAAGCTCTCCCTCTCAATATGATAAAGGGCACTATATTCAACTTAAAGCATATCTTAGTGGTGTACTGAAGTGGAAGGAGGTTATTGGAAGGAGTTCACCCCAGTTGTAAGCAATAAATAGGTCCCCCAATTGTAGAGAATTTAAGAATAATAATAAAAGTGGCTTAAAAAGCTGTACTGTATATTATCACTATGTGCTGGCAATTTTAAACAGAGTCAGAGATAAACACTCCCTCCTCCTCAGATGAACCACTCCCACTGCCACAATCCTTGGTATGCCGCTGATAAACATCATCTCTAATGGTAAAATATTGGATGTTTTCTCCTTAAGGTTAGGAGAAGGCAAGGATGTCTGTCTTCACCATTTCTACTTAACATTGAGAGCTTGGCCAGTGTTTTTGTTTATTTTTATTTTTTTTCTTGAGATGGAGTTTCACACTTGTCACCCAGGCTGGAGTGCAATGATGCAATCCCAGCTCACTGCAACCTCCACCTCCCAGGTTCAAGTGATTCTCTTGCCTCGGCCTCCCGAGTAGCTGGGATTACGGGTGCCCTCCACCATGCCCAGCTAATTTTTGTATTTTTAGTAGAGACAGGGTTTCACTATGTTGGTCAGGCTAGTCTTGAACTCCTGATCTCAGGGTGATCCACCCTCTTCAGCCTCCCAAAGTTCTGGAATTACAGGCGTGAGCCACTGTGCCTGGCAAAAAAAAAAAAAAAGTATTATAGTCTTTACATTCTTTTGTAAGAATTAAACCTTGGGATTCAAAATAGTAACATTGCTGGTTAGAAGTCTAAAGCAAAGACCAGAAAATGCTGACATGTAGAGCCAAAAATTAAGGTCAATGTGTTCAGAGAATGAATCAGGAGCACTAAGGAAAAAGCAGTCACCATCTAATCATGTTGCTTGTACCTGTTGCCACATTAGGAGTATATGCTTATCATTCTGTATGCTACTAATAGTGAGTCATTCTTGCAAATAAAATTAATTTTAATAGACGTACAAGTGAATATATATATAAATCCTATGAGTGGTGTTTCAGGAAATAACAAGTTTGGAAGCAAATAAGTTCTGAAATTGGCAATTTTGGTTTACAGTTCTGTATAGAACTGTTAACTTTGCTAAGGAGATCCGAAATTTTAATTGTTCACCTGCTAATAACTAGCATATTTCTGAGAGTATGAATATTCACAACCTACAGTTCTTTGTAAATGTGATAAACTCAATGTTTCTTAACCATCAAACCATGTCTATAATGAGTAAGCAGTGTGAAGAATGTTGGATAAACTTTAAGAACAACTTTAATTTAAAGAATTCCTGGGAATTCTGAAATATTTTTCTTAAATCTTGAATATAAATATCTGTTGGTAACTTGAAAGCACTAGAAGAAAATATCTACAATGGCAATACAAAATTATGAGTATCATAACTACACTACCATGTAGCACATATAATATTAATTCACTTCTACTGTCACTTGTTTCTATTTGAACTAGGTCACTTTAATTATATAGTCAACTTTATTGGGGCTTTTAAAAGTGGCTTGTTTATAGAATTTGTGCCAATGCTCATGTTAAGTTGAGATTTTAACCAAGAATGGTAATTATAAATTGTTATCATCACTGATAATTTGTGGGATTGAACTTCAGTCCAGAATATTATATACATTGTTAAAAAGAAATGATCTTATTAGGAAGGGGGTTAAGAAGCATTGTATATCAAGAGTGGGCATGGTGGCTCATGCCTGTAGTACCAGCACTTTGGGAGGCTAAGATGGGCGAATCACTTGAGGTCAGGGGTTCGAGACCAGCCTGGCCAACATGGTGAAACCCCATCTCTACTAAAAATACAAAAAGTAGCTGGATATGGTGGCACACACCTGTAATCTCACCTAATTGGGGGCTGAGGCAGAAGAATCACTTGAGCCTGGGAGGTGGAGGTTGCAGGCGCTTCAGCCTGGGTGACACAATGAGGGAGATTCCATCTCAAAAAAAAAAAAAGCATTGCATATCAAAATAATACATAAGAGAAAATCAATGAACTTAGAAGCAGCAACACTGTAGAATACATGTTTGTAAGAACAAAAGAAGAAATAAAGGGAAGACAAACCTTGTGGGAATATATTACAGACCACCCAACTGGTATGGTAATGAATGATACCTTCTGAAGGCAGTTTATAAAAATAATATAAAGGCAGGATAAAATAATAAGCAGTTGCTTTTATCTGAAAATTATTTCATTTATGTTATGTCTTACAGTGCCTGAGTGCATTTATAACAATAAATGCTTCTTAAATGAGAAAAAACAGGCAAGTCTTAAATTGGTAGATGTCAGCATAATGATTGCCCCTGAAGGGTTGGAATTAAATTTGAATGCGTCATAGACAACTTTCAAGGTTGATGAGAATGTTCTATATCTCCATATGATTTTGTGTAACTACACATATGTATTTGCCAAATCTCATTCAAATAAATACATTAGATCTGTGCTTTTCTTTGTATATATTTTACCTCAATATTAAGATATAATAAAAGATTGTTTTATTATTATTATTACCAAATTTGTTGTCATGCTGGAACTTTTTATTGAGCACTGGGGCTGAGATAATCTCACTCAATACCTCTGAAAATCTATATGACATGGTTATTATTATTCCCACATTAAGACGCAGGAGGTCTGGCCAGGCGTGGGGGCTCATGCCTGTAATCCCAGCACTCTGGGAGGCCGAGACAGGCAGATTGCTTGAGTTCAGGAGTTCAAGACCATCCTGGGCAGCATAGTGAAACCCCATCTCTACTAAAAATACAAAAAATTAGCTGGCCATGGTGGCGTGCACCTGTAATCCCAGCTACTCAGGGGGCTGAGGTGGGAAAATCAGGTCAATGCTGCAGTGAGCCAAGATCACACCACTGCACTCCAGCCTGGGTGACAGAGTGAGAAAAAAGAAAAAAGAAAAGAAAAGAAAAAGATGCAGAAGTTCAGCATCAGAGACCTTGCTGCTCAAGACTATGTAAGTGGTGAAAACCAAGGTTCATGCTAATTGTACATTTATGTATAGAACTGTTAACTTTGCTAGGAGATCCAAAATTTTAATTGTTCGCCTGCTAATAACCAGCATATTCTTGAGTGTATTCTCCCAGAGCATTTATGGCTCTGGCTCTTTTGCTTGTTGGCATATCAATTTAGATACCCTTCCTGACTCCATACCATTACCAGTGTGTCAAGAACACTGTTGAATGTATCTCTGGCCACACATAAAAGTGAGAATCTTGTCACCAGACTCTAGCAGGGAATTATAGCTTCCCTGATGCTAAGGCCCCTAAGCCCACCATGGTCTCTCCTCTTCAATTGCTGGGCTGGAAAAATAAGGCAGGTGGCTGAGCACAGGGCATCCGTGCTCTAGGGAACAGTGCAGTGGAGACAGGTTCTCATGCCACTGTGATGATGTCTGTTACCACACACCTACAGGCAAAATTTAGATCTGATAGAGAAGATCCTTCCTTCCTTCCTTCTTCTTTCTTTCTCTCTCACTCTTTCCTTCCTTCCTCCTCTCTTCCTTTCTTCTTTGTTTCCTTCCTTCTTCCTTTCTTCCTTCTTTCTTCCTTTTTTCTTTCTTCTTTCTTTCTTCCTTCCTTTCTCTCCTTTCTTTATTTTATCTTTCCTTCTTTCTTCTTTTTAAATGAACTCCCAGAATGTTGGGCTAGCACGCATGATCAGAATTACTACACCAAATTTTCTATGTGCAGATGAGGAACTTAAGCTTGGAGAGAAAACAGATTTAATTGAAGATGCACAGGTTCTTATGGCAGAGCTGGAACTAAAATCCAGATCTCCTATCCCCAGTCCAAAGGTTTTCTATTCTCCCATTCTGGCTTCTTCTCCTAGAGGTTTATCCTTCCCTGGAAACTTTCTTAGGAGAGGGGAAGAAGACAGTATAGGCAGCAGAGCTTCCATTTTAAGACTTCCCAACCCCCAAAACTCTTTTAGACCATCCTCTGGTATGTCTATTCACAGATTGTTTTACCCAGTCATGCTTACTGAAATGGTAGAGAGTTGCCACATCAATCGCTGGTACAAGATCTTAAGATCTTAATGGATACTGTAGGAGGAGCACAGTCCTTGAACCAAGTGACGGGTTGGGCTGCTGTGGATTTGTGGAATTGATGGCACCAGTAGATTAGGGACTAACAATCTCTCAGAAATACCAGAGAAATGTATTGCAACAGGCCCTAGCAAACCCCCTGATATATCAAGGTACAGAAAGGTCAAAGGTCACCAATCAGATTCAGTCCAAAAAATACCAGACATACATATAATAGTCAAACTATAAAAGATCAAAGACAAAGAAAGGATCCTGAAAGCAGCAAGAGAAAAGAAGCAAATAACATATAAGGGAGTTCCAATATACCTACATACAAACTTCTCAACAGGAACCTTAAAGGCCAGAAGGAGAGTGGCATGAGATATTCAAAGTGATGAAGAAAAAAAAAACTGTTATCCGTGGATACTGTACCCAGAAAAGTTGTCTTTCAGAAATGAAGGAGAAATACTTTCCTAGACAATCAAAAGCTGAAGAACTTCATCACTAACAGGCATATCTTACAACAGTGATCCTAAACCTTTTGGCACCAGGGACTGATTTCGTGGAAGACAATTTTTCCATGGATAGGGGTGGGGAGGGAGGGGGTGGTGGGGCGGGGCAGTGGGGGCCATAGGGAGCATGCAACCTAGATCCCTTGCATGCACAGTTCACAATAAGGTTCCTGCTCCTATGAGAAACTAATGCCACCCCTGATCTGACAGGAGGCAGAGCTCAGGTGGTAACGCTCACTCACTCTCTGCTCACCTCCTGCTATGTGGGCTGAGTGGGGGTGGGGGGCGGATGGGGAACCCTCTCTTACAAGAAAAGCTAAAGAAAAGATGAAAGAAAGAGTACTCATGTGTAACAATAAAAAAATTAAAAGTATAGAACTCATTAGTAGTAGAAGTAATTACATAAATTCAGAATGCTCTAATACTATAATGGTGGTATGCAAATCATATCTTTAGTATGAAGGTTAAGAATAAAAATTATTTTAAAAAAGACTCCAATAATTCAGGATGGGATATGCAGTATAAAGAAATTTAGCTCAGTGATGTCACCAAGACGACTGACTATAGAAGACAGGCACTCATTCTCCCCACAAGAAAGTACCAAAGCAATGAATAAACTGATGAAACTCGATTAGAGAGTCCAAGGAAGAGTATTCGAATATAGCAGGGGAGTGGAGATGCACCTGTGGGGATTGGAAGTCTAGCAGGGCAGCATGGATGCATCCAGCATCTGCCGCCCTGTCTTCCACACCTGGATCCGATCTATCTGGAGTCAGGAGGACATCCTATTGTGGGGAAAAGGTAAGCAAAAGAACCGCACTAGTCTCCACTACCACCACAAACACCTAAAATCCTTACTACGGAGAATCCTGCAGTACTCACACACAAGCCCTGAGCCGTTTGAAACGCTGCTAGGAATTCATGCAGGTGCATTGCTTTGAACTGAAAGCACAAGGGGTGCACTCCTCATAGTCCACCTACCCACTGTCAGCCAAGATGCTGCAGCAGGTGCCATCTTGAGACCAGAGCCACCTGTGGAGTGCGCCCTCCTGTGGAGCCCAGTAGCCACTGCACTTTTCCCTCAACAGGGCTTGGTCTTCATTCCACCAGGCCCACACCAGTGGCTGAATGCCATAATCCCAGCAGCATCAAGTGTGGATACAGGACTGGCTGTGACTCTGGTCCTGTAGAACAAACAACCCCCGCTGCCCTCACTTCCGCCTGGAGGAATGGCATGACAGTCCCGCACAGGGTAAACCTGCCCTTGAACCAGTCAAACTGCTGCACACCCTCCTCTGAGTGAAAGTGGTGCTCAGGCCTCTGAGAAGTTGACACATTCCAAGGCCTGAGAAGCAGGTACACATCCATGTCTAGGGATTAGAAACATTTCCATGGTGCCCCACCCACTCAAACAAGCCCCTGGCCTACCCAATGGCCCTGCACCCACAATCAGGGCCTGAGATACAGACCTGTGGGCTGCCCCTGGCAGACATGCCCTAGGCTGCATGAGCAGCTGTGCAGCCATGCCCTGGGACTGAGAAACAACACCACAGGCTTCCTCACCAGGGGAAGCCTTCAGGTGGGCTGAGCAGCCATTAATTCACATCCTGGGGCTGAGAAACAGAAAGCCCCAGCAGACATGCACTGAGTCCAGCCAAGCAGCCTTGCACCTGTAATCCAGGCTTGAGAAGCAGCCCTGTGGTCAACCCCTGGCAGACATGCCCCCAGGAGGGTCAATCAGCTGTGTGCCCTGCATCCTAGACCTAAGAAGCAGCCCTCTGGGGCCACCTCCAGCAGACAGACCCCCAAGTCCAGCTGGACAGCCTTGTGCTTGCATTCCAGGACAGAGAAGCAGTCTTTCAGGTTGCCCCCAGCCGACATACACCCGGGTCAGCCAAGCAGCTGTGTGACCACATCCTGGGCCTGAGAAACAGCCTCATGGGCTACCCCTGGCAGGAACACTCCCAGGCTGGCCACGCAGCCATGTACCAAACAAAAATTCTAGAGTTGAAGAATTCAATGAATAAAATAAAAAAATACAACTGTGAACTTTAACAACAGAGTAGAAATAATTTCTACACTAGAGGACAGGATACTTGAAATAATATCAGCAGACAAAAAGATAAAAAAGAATAAAAATAAATGAAGAAAGCCTACAGGATTCTGGGGACACCATTTGTTCAAAATTAAGTGAACAAGTATTCACATTACGGGCATTCCAGAAGAAAAGAGAATGGAAAATGTATAAATAACATGTTAAAAATAGCTGAAAACTTCCCAAGTATTGGCAGTGAGATGGACATACAGGTCCAGGAAGCTCAAAACACCCCATTTAGGTTCAACCCAAACAGGTCCTTTCTGAGGCACGCTATTGTCAAATTGTCAAAAGTCACAGACAAAGAAAGAATTCTTAAAACAAGAAGAGAAAAGCATCATGTCACATATAATGAAATCCTCATCAGACTAACAGAGGATTTCTTAGCAAAAACCTTATAGTCCAGAAGAGAATGGAATAATATATTCAAATTACTAAAAGAAAAAAAAAACTAGTGGACAAGAATACCCAGCAAAATTATCTTTCAGAAATGAAAGAGAAATAAAATTCTTCATAGATAAGCAATAGCTAAGGGGATTCATCACCACTAGACTGGCTTTACAAAATATTTTCAAGAGAGTCATGTCTGGAAGTGAGAAGACAACTGCCACCATCATGAAAGTTTAAGAAACTCTAAAACTCACTGGCAGAGCCGATACACAAAGGAGGAAGAGAAAAGAATCAAGAATTGTCACCACAGAAAACAACCCAGCCCAAAACTTACAATAAGATAGGAAGTAAGGAACAAAAGATATATGAAACAATCAGAAAACAATCAATAAAATAAGAGGTTTAAGCCCTCACCTTTCAACAACAGCCCCGAATATAAATGGATTAAATTCACCATTTAAAATATGTAGACTGGCTGAATGGGTAAAACACCTAAACTCAACTGTGTCCTGCCCACGAGAACTCACATCACCTGTAAAGACATATATGGGGTTGAATTGAAGGTATGGAAAAGATATTCCATGCAAACAGAAACCAAAAGCAAGAAGGAGTAGCTATACTAATATCAGACAAAATAGACTTCAAGTCAAAATCTGGAAAAAGGGACAAATAAGAACATTATGTAATAGTAAAGGGACTAATTCAGCAAGAGAACATAATAATTATAAATATATATGCACCCAACACTGGAGCATCTGGATATATAAGGTGAACATTATTAGAGCTGAAGGGAGAGATAGACTCTAACGCAATAATACGTGGGGATTTTAACACCCTACTCTCAGTATTGGAAAGATAATCAAGATGGAAAATTAACCCAGAAGCATCAAGTTTAAACTGTACTATAGATCAAATGAACTTAACAGACATTTGCAAAACATTTTACCCAGCAGCTATGGAATGCACTTTTGTTGTATCTGCACATGAAACATTCTCCAGGATTGACCAAGTGCTAAAATACAAAAGAAGTCTCAAAAAATTTTAAAAAATCAAAATCATATCAAGTATCTTATATGACCACAAGGAAATAAAACTAGACATCAATAACAACAGGAACATTCAAAACTATACAAAATATATGGAAATTAAACGACATGCTCCTGAATGACCAGTGGATGAAAAAAGAAATTAAGAATAAAATTAAAAATTCCTTGAAACAATCAAAAGTAGAAATACAAAAAAACGAAACTTATGGAGCATGGCAAAAATAGTATTAAGAGGCAAGTTAATAGCAATAAGCCCCTACATAAAAAAACTGGAAAGATATCAAATAAGTAACCTAACAATGCATCTCAAAAAACTAGAAAAGCAAGAACAAGCCAAACCCAAATTAGTAGAAGTGTTACATGATCTTTGGGGTGTTCATTTTCTTTCCAGAAACCTCTGTGGCTGGTGGCACCTTTGCCTGAGTTCCTGTTCTGCATCCAGAAAGAATAAGGTACACAGACAAGTGAAGGGTGAAGACGATGAAGAAGAGCTTTATTTAGTGTTAGAAGAGCTCAGAGGAGACCTGTAGTGGGTTGTTACTCTCTGTAGGCAGATCATCCCTTGAGTATTCAGCTCTCAACAGAGAGGGGGCCCTGGAGAGGGTGGCTCCTCTCTGCAGGCAGGGTGTTCGGATGTCTGCTGGTCTTTGAAGCTCTCGCAGAAAGGGTAGCTTCTCTCTTCGAAGCTCTTGCAGAGAGGGTAGCTCCTCTCTGATGTGAAAGATAGAGAGATGATGAGGAAAAAGGACATGTTTTTTTTCTTCCCTAATAGATGTTACTAACAAATGAACATTGTAGTTAGATTCTATTAGAAACCTCATAGAGTAAGATACCCATTTGATTTAAATGACAACATTTATCATATACCTAAATTTTTATCTCTTGAAACTATGCAATGATGATAAAATTATTAGATGTCAGTTTAAAACATGCTTGGGAAAAAGTAGTTTTTCAAAATTGTTAAGATACTTGTCAGAGATAAATAAAATTTTGGAAAATTACTTTCCCAGACCTCTGCAACATTTGTGGGAGTTAAGGAAGAATGAAGCACAGAGTTATAAATTTGGAAAATTCATGGCTAATTACACTTCATTATTAGGTAGACCTAGGGCCCAACCCTCAAGCAAAGACTCAAGGGATGTAGGCTGAACCACAAGGATTTTGTTCTCCTAATTTAGGGTGGCTCAATTTTTAGGAATGAAAGTACCTAGAACTAAAGTACATCTTGCTCAGTTTCTGACCCTAAGTTCCAAATCCAATCGCAGATCATATTACTTCAACACTTGGAAAGGCCACCAGCAGTAGTACCAGAAAAACTGAAGCAAAAATGCCTTGCTCTTCCATTACAGGATTAATCGGCATGCCATTCATAGGATGCAAACCCAGAGAATTTAACTCCAAAATGCACCTGGAATCTGACCAACAGAGAATCTGAGTGTCAGGAGATATTGAAAGAGACAAATATATCAGAAAAACACAAGTGCAGGAATTGATGAAACTAAATGTGAAACAGTAACTCTGTCCATTTTACAGTTCCTAAGGGATTATGCAACATGGCTGAGTAGAGAGGGAGAGCAAGAGATCAATCCAGCAGACTTAGATTTTCAAAGAGTTTTAAATATACAACGCTTTATTTCTTCGTCTTGTTATCATAGTAAGAAGCATTTAACTCTTGCTAAAAGGAAGTTCTGGGCCTGAGCGATCATGGACAACATGGAGACCAGTTATCCCAGACTGAGCCTGTAGCACTTGTGTCTCCTCAGTCCTGGTTAAGAAGGGCTTTCCATCTTGGGAGAGAACAGGAAACCAGAGATATAGGAAGATGCAAAATGTACAGGGCACATGGTTTTGTGTCCCGGGGGCATTGAGGCGTGATTCCTGTTAGGTATTCTCCTCACAAGAACACTGGCAGGTGCTGCCAAAGAGTCAGGGACTGGGGATCAGGGACTCTAGGCAAGCCATCCTAAGGAATTGTGAAATTATAAACTTACCTCACGATGTAAATGTAAAGAGGAAAATGTTTCATGATTGTAAACTGTAAGTAAAAGGATTTGAAAATAAATAATAAAATCCAGTAACTATTGAGTACCTTAGAGATAATCTTGTTGAAATGTCGACATTATAGAGAGTTATAGAGAGGAGAAGAGTGATGCCCATTATGTGAAGTGGAAGGTGCATATCTGAGCAAAGAGGTCTGTTGAGCCTCCTCCTTCACTTTAGAGAGGCAAATGCGTGGACTGACCCAATTTAAAAGCCCTGCTCACAACGGTTGCTAAACGCATGGGAAGTTCTCAGTTCTCTCTAAGACAAATGCTTCTGAGGGAAGGAGTTAGGGGCAGCAAGGAGAACAGCAGATCTGGGGCTCCTCACCTCAATCCAAAGTCCACCAGGGCTCCATACACTGATGCCGACAGTTGTAGTAGCAACACTTCTTGACCCCCTGCAACTCTTATCACGCCAGCGCATAGGTAAGAGAGTGAAAGGGCAGTCAAGATCAAACTCTGGGCAATATCCCGGTTTCCGTGCAGCTGGAAAAAACGCCATAGGTCAGGAGGCTGAGGCAGGAGAATCGCTTAAATCCAGGAGGCGGAGGATGCAGTGAGCCGAGATCTCGTCACTGCACTCCAGCCTGGGTGACAGAACGAGACTCCAAAAAAAAAAAAAAAAGCCGTAGGATGAGTGGGCACCAATGTGTGATTTCCAGGCCAGGTCACCCCATGGACTCCTCAGAGGAAACGTTCCCAACCCCAGCCACACCCAGGGTCGCCAGGCCCTACCTGCACTCCTCAAGACTCCAGGCTGGGTCATTCAGAGGCAAAGGAGGATGTTCACAGAGAGTAGAAAGAAGCCGCTCAGCTTCATAATGCAAGAAAACGGTGTGGGGGCACCTGGAGGCTGGACCTGTCTATGTCAGCTTTGGCGGGGCCCCATCAACAGATGGCGTTTTGACTCCCGGGGCTGGAGGTCAGAGGTGCCTCCGCTTAACCCGGAAGCACCATCTGTTTCCTTTCACCTCCAGGAAGAGACAACGTGAAACAACTGGGATGTAACTTCTGAGAGCCCTCATGGACTGCCTCCTTTCAGGGTGTTACAGAACTCTTCATCATTTTTACTTCATCCAGCAGATTTTGAGGCAATAGGACGCCATTGTCTGGATCCTCTTATGTATTCTCCAAAGAACACTGGCATGTGCTATCCAGGAATCAAGGACGGGGATCAGGGATTCTAGGCAAGCCATCCTAAGGAAGTGTGAAATTATATAAACACTCACAATGTAAATATGAAGAGGAAAGTGTTTCATTATTATAAGCTGTAGAAAATAGGAATAAAAAATAATAAAAACCCGGTAACTGTTGAGGATCTTAATGAATCTTGCTGAAATATCCTCTTTACAGAGAGGAGAAGGGTGAAGTCCGTTGTGTGAAATGGAAGGTGCATAATCTAAGCAAGGAGGTCTTGCTTCATTGTCCAGAGGCAGATCTATGGGTCGACCCAATTTAAAACCTCTGATCACAACGATTTTCTAGGGGAACATGAAGTTCTCAACTCCTTCTAAGACAATGCTTCTGCAGGAAGGTTTCACGGGCAGCAGATCTGGGGCTCCTAACCTCAATCCAAAGTCCAGCAGGACTCCATACACTAATGCCGACGTTCGTAGTAGCAACACCATTTAACCCCTTTGCAAATTTTATCCTGCCAGCACATGGGTAACAGGATGAAAGGGCAGGCAACAGAAAACTCTGGGCAACATTCAGGTTTCTGTGCAGCTGGAGAAAAATGCCACAGGGTGAGTCGGGGACACCAAGTGACTTCCAGGCATGAGGGCCAGGTCGTCGCATGGACTCCTCAGAGGAAATGCTCCCCAACTCCAGCCACAGTACGCGTCGCCACGCCCTACCCGCCACTTTTCAGGGCTCCAGGCTGGGCCATGTGGAGGAGGCAAAGGGGGACGGTCACAGTGAGTTGAGAGAGGCTGCTTAGCTTCATAATGCAAGAAAAGGGATTGGGCGCACCTGGAGGCTGGACCTGTCTATGTCAGCTCTAGCGGGGCCCCACCAGCAGGTGGTGCTGTGGCTCCGGGGGCTGGAGATCAGAGGTGCCTCAACTTGACCCGGAAGCACCAGCTGTTTTCTTTCACTTCCAGGAAGCAACCACGTGAAACAACTTCTGGGGTGTAATTTTTCAGAGCCCCCATGGATTTTCCTTTTTTCGGGGTGTTGCAGAACTGTCCTGGCTCTTCCTAATTCTTACTTTATACTGTCGAATTTTTAGGTAATAGGAGGGCATTGTTTTTCCCAGGGACTGCATCAGGACTGACCAATTTCCCTCTTCCCACTGTGTATCCAGAACATTTGAAACCGACTCCTCACAGCCATGTTCAGATAAGGGTGCATTTGAAGTGTTTACTTTTACTACATTAACATTGAAACACACACAGACAGAAAGTAAGAGCCAGATATTGATCTATTAGCAAGATAATTTCTAGATTTATGAAAAATCTAGTTCCTTGTGCACCACAGGCTTTAAGTTTAATTCGTGAAAAATTTTTCTCATTTAATTCATGTCTTAATGTCTTCATGACTGTGTCAAAACTTCACTAGTTGATAAAGTCAAAAGGCCAACTTATGGCTTACAGGACTTAAGATCATTGGTGTCCATTCATTATCTGACTAGTAAGCAAACGAAACAGGGAATTTAGTGGCTGTACACGATGCATAACACAGACTTTACAAAATTAGTCCAGGAATGTTACTAAGCAAGTATTCAGCAATAAAAACCACACAAACAAATGCTAAAGATAGATTCTGATTTCCAAAGCTGCCAAATTATATTACGTAGAAAGTACAATTTTATTTAAAAATTATGAGATGTTTAAAGAAACATGAAATACTGCCCATACACAGAAAAGAGGGGAAACAATAAATAGAAATGATCCTTTAGGAATCCCAGACAATGGCCTAGTGGACAAAGATATCAGTTATTATACTCAAAGAACTAAAGGAAATCATGGGCAAAAAGATTAACAGAAAGTATAAAAATCAGTTTCACATCATAAAAAAAATTCATGATGAATGATGAGGTTGTAAAGTAAAATCGCTGATACAGAAAGTCACAAGAGGGTCTTACCAGCAGATAGGAATAGACAGAAGAGAGGAACAACTACTATAATTATAGGTCAATTGAGATTATACACTCTGAGGAACGATAAAGAAAGAGACCTGTGTAATACAATCTAATGGAAAAACATGTGCATAATGGAAATCCCAGAAGAAAGGAGAGAGAAAGAAAGAGGCAGACAGATATTTGAAGATGTAATGGCTAAAAACATTTGATTTTGCTTTAAAACACAAATCTCCATGTATAAAAATCTCAATGAACACTAAGAAAAAACTGTAAGAGATCCACACCTAGACAATTTATAATGGAAATATCAATGACAAAGACAAAAATAAATTCTTTTTTCTTTGAAACAGTCTCATCCTGTCGCTCAGGCTGGAGTGCAATGGCACAATCTTGGCTCACTGCAACCTCCGCCTCCTGGGTTCAAGCGATTCTCCTGTCCCAGCTTCTCGAGTAGCTGGGATTACAGGTGCACACCACCACGCCCAGCTAATTTTTTGTATCTTTAATAGAGACGGGGTTTCACCATGTTGGCCAGGCTGGTCTCTAACTCCTGACCTCATGATCTGCCCACCTCAGCCTCCCAAAGTGCTGGGATTATAGGCATGAGCCACCGCGCTTGGCCGAGAAATTCTTGAAAGCAGCAAGAGATAAATAACTCAAAATGACTAATAAATAAGCTTAACAGCTGATTTATCATTAGAACCATGCAAGCCAGAAGATAGTGAGAGAACATATTAAAAGTGGTGAAAGAAATATCGGTCTACCAAGAATTCTATATCTTGGCAAATCTATCCTTCACAAGTTAGGGAAAAATTAAGGTACTCCCAGATATATGAATACTTCATGTTTTTCACCATTAGATTTCCCATACATGAAATACTGACATGATGACATATGTAGAAAACTTTTAAGAATCCACATAACTCCAAAATATTATTAGAGCTAATAAACAACTCATCAAGGTGCAGGACAAAATATCAACCTATACCTTTCAATTGCATCATGAAAAAAATCCATTTACAATAGCATCGAAAAGAATGAAATACACAGGAATTTATTTAAGAAAATAATGGCAAGACATGTACATTTGTTGAAAACAACAAATCATGATGAAAGAAATTAAAGAAGACATAAAAATAGAGAGCCATTCCATGTTTGTGGATTGAAGACTCAATATTCTTAGGCAGGCAATTTTCCATATTTTATCTAAAAACTAAATGGAATTCCTATAAAGTTACAGATGACTTTTTGTAGAAATTGACATGTTAATCCTAAAGTTCATGTGTAAATGCATAGAACCCAGAATAGCAACCACAATCTTGAAAAAGAGTGCAAATGTAGAAGACTCATACTTCCATATTTCAACACTTACGGCAAAGCTACAGTGTCAAGACAGTGTGGTACTAGCATAAGCATAGACACATATATCAAAGGAATAGAATTGGGAGTCCAAAAATCAACCATTACATTGTCAATTCACTTATCTTCAACAAGGGTAGAAAAACTATTCAGTAGAAAAAGTCATCTTTTCAGCAAATCATACTGGGAAAACTGGATATCCACATGCAAAATAATATAGTTAGAACCTTATAGCACACCAGAATCAAAAATTCCACTTCCATAATTATACCCAAGAGAACTGAAAATGTATTCACGCAAATATTTGCACATGAATGCCCATAGCAGCATTATTAATAACTAATAAAAACGAGCATCTGCGAAAAAGGAATCTGGATCTGCACCTTGAGTGGAATGCGAATGTTAATCAAGTTGGACCATAAACCTTAGTATAGATGCTAAACCTATGCAGCTTCTAGGGAAGGACATCACAGACAGAACATTTCTGCAGCCTTGGAGAAGGCAAAAGTTCTTAGATACAATAATATTCATATTAAAAGGAAAATGAATATGTTTGATTTCATCACACTTTAAAACTTTAGCTCTTCCAAATACATCATCATTAAGAAACAAAACAAAACAAAACAAGCCACACCCTGGGAGAAAATTCTACTTCTAGGTATTTACCACAGATATTTAAAAATATATATTACTGTGCCTTGTACAAGAACTTATGTGATATCCTAATTCACAGTGACCCAAACTGGGAACACCAAATGTTTATCAGCAGATAAATAGAAGAACAAATGTGGAGACTCAAACAATGGAATACTATTCAGCAATAAAATGAATGAACTGCTGATACATACAAAACAGAATGAATCTCAAAAACACTGAATAACAGCGATACACAAAAGGTAATGTTATTCCATAAATTCATTATGTAAGGATTAAAAACAGGTGAGTTATGAGTTTCTAGAAGTCAATATATTATTTGCCCCTGAAGAACTGGGACTGAATTTGAAAGGAGCATAAGGCAAGATGAATGTTCCATACGTTCATCTAGGCGTTGTGCAATCATATGTATGTGTTTGTCAAATCTCATTCAAGCAAATACATAAGATCTGTGCTTTTCTTTATATGTATTTTACCTCCTTTTCAAAGAAGGCATAATAAAAAATTATTTTATTATTATTACTTCCAAATTTGTTGTCCTGGCACTTTTTTTTTTTTGAGCACTGGGGTTGAGATCATCTCACTCAATATCTTTAAGCACGTCTATGAGATGGTTATTATTATCCCCACGTTAAGGTGAAGGAACTCTGCATCAGAGACCCCACTTTCCAAGACTATGCAAGCGGTGGGATCCACATTTCAAGCTAATTGTACCACAGCCACAGCATTTATGACTCTGGCTGTCTTGGTTATTTGCATGTTAATTTAGGTTTCCTTCCCTGCACAATCAGCAACATGTCAGGGAAACTGTTGAATGTATGTCTCTCCACATGTAGAGAAGAGAGTCTGTTCAGCAGACTGTAGCAGGTAATTCTAGCTTCCCTGATGCTAAGGCCCCTAAGCCCATCACAGCCTCTCCTCTTTAACTGCTGGGCTGGTAAAATAAGGCAGGTGGCTGATCACAGGGCCTCTGTGTTCTTGGGAAGGATGCAGTGAAGAGAGACAGGATTCTCATAACACTATGACCAAGTCTTTTATCACACACCTACAAGCAATATCAGACCTCATAGAGAAGATTCTTTCTCTCTTTCTTTCTTTCTTTGTTTTTCTTTTTCTTTCTTTCTTTCTTTCTTTCTTTCTTTCTTTTCTTTCTTCTTTCTCTCTCTCTTTTCTTTCTTTCCCTTCCTTTATTTTCCTTCCTTCCTTTCTTTTTCCTTCATTCCTTTTTCCTCCCTTCCATCTCTTTCTTTCTCTTTTCTTTTCTTTCTTTCTCTTTCTTTCTTTCTTTCTTTCTTTCTCTTTCTTTGCTTTCTTTCTCTCTTTTTGTCTTCTCTCTTTTTCTCTTCTCCCTCTCCCTCCCTCCCTCTCTCTTTCTTTCTTTTTAAGGAAGCTCTACAATATTTAGTCAGCATGTACTATGAAGTTAACTGTGTCAAAGTTTTTCATGGGCAGATGTGGGACTTAAGCTTGCAGGAAAGAAAAGATTTAATTAAAGATATACTAGTTCTTAAAACAGAGCTAGAATGGAATCCAGATCTCTTATTCCTAGACTAGTGATTTTTCTTATTCCTCTATGTTGGCTTCTTCTCCTGGATGTTTGGCTTTCCCTGGAATCATCCTTAGAATAAAGGGTGAAAGGGCATAAAAGGAGTAGAATTTCTATTATTAACACACCACCTGCCCCAAGACTCTGGCCTGGTCGTCTGGTCTTTCCATCACAGATAACATTTTTAAATCCACTCACTCTTGCTGAAGTGGTGGAGACTTGACATATCACTCTTTGGTGTGATTGCATCTAAATGTATGCTGTAGGAGTAGGACAGTTCTTAAGCTAAGTGAAGAGATATGCTGCTGTGGACTTGGGGAATACTCATGGCACTAGTAGATCAGGGACTTTCCTAGGGCTTGTTGCAATACATTTTCTCTGTTCTTTCTGGGGGACTGTTAGATCCTGGGGTCCTGTTAGTACAGAGGTCACGAGAGACTTTAGGGTTGGCATCAGGAAGTAGATGTGTGCCTGGCAGAGTAATAGCATCTTGTTTTTAGTGTTGGATTTCTATCAATACATCTAGAAATGTGGCTTTGATTGCTATTCTCCCTAATGCTTAAAAAATATCCCATTCTTTTCTTCCAAAACCATTTTTATCAGAAATGACCTCAGCCCCTTGAGCCACTAGGAATTCAGAGATCACTGGAGCCAAAAGCAGATAAAGCAGAAAATGATCCCTTTATTGGAAGTTTGAAGGGGCTCCGGGTTTAGAAAGCCTAATGCAAGGAAGCATGGGAAGGTGGTGTCATCCATGGACCAAGGATCTGGGACCACATGGGAGTCTGCCTCTCAGAAACATCAAAGACTTCACTGAGGTCGGGTGACACCTAGGGAGAAAAAAGACAACCAGATATGTGAGGATAGTGGAGAGTGGGGGTGAGGATGGGAGAGCTGGGACCCCTGTCCCCTTTAGCGTCAACTGCACCAGCCCCCTGATCATTAGGACACCAGGTCACTAGTTATCAGCTGGGACCATTGTTTCTGCTGCTTACCCTCTCTTCAGGTACAGTGTTACTTATTGCAAAGGGGCATGGAAGAACCATTTCCCCAATCCAGGTTAAAATTTTCCTCTCCTGACATTGCAAGTGTCCAGTTAGCACCTGAGATCTCTCAGCATCTCCTGCACCTCCATTTCCACTTCCTTTTTCACAATCTGAACAGGAATCCTTCTTTCTACTCATATCTTTCCTATATTCAGAGAGAGTGGACTGCTAGTCTTTGGGCTTGTGGTCTCTGAAGGAGCATAGATGAACTCTAACAGGGATGCAAGAACATTCATGTATGTGCAGAAAGAAAATATTAACTGCTGTAATATTTCATACTATATGAGAAAGAATTTGAGGTTTACTAATCTAAAGTATAAGAATTGACAAGAGTATACCATAAACTCATAAATATGCATATATAGTCAGTGCATGTTCAAAAAAATCTTTAGCAGGTAGGCATGTATAAAAATATTATTGAAGAATACTCAATTAAGAATAGGAATTCTAGGACCCAGTGATAGTCCAAGCAGCCTTCCCTGCCACTACCAGGTCCTCTACTCGCCAGGAAATGGTGTTCATCTTCCCACCACTTGTAATATAGCACTTCTATTGATGTGAACAATGGTTATCAGTCCTACCATGTTCCTGGAGAGTCCCCAACTTTGGGACAGGCACCTCTCCTATTTGGTAAGAAAAGCAAACTTACCTTGCTATTGGTCCAGCTTTTCAAGTGGTTGCTAAGCAACAGGGCTATGTAGATATTGGATTTCTGTCTTCATTATATTGTTGTGTCAAATGATCATCTTGGGCAACCTCATGCTCAGTAATTACAATATTATGTGACTCACTGGATTCCTGTTTGTATCTGCCTTTTTGTTCATGACTGAGTAGGTCTTGTTTGCTATCTGCAGATTGACCAGACTTTCCTTTTGCATTTTGGCCAGACCATTGATCTTGATTAGGATTTGGTGTCTGGATTTGAGACTTGCCTTCTACTAGCTTTTCAATTTGGAAAGAAATACTGCTTTGGGATACATCTTTCTGCGTGCTCTTTCCTCCATAGTTGAGTCGTCTTTCTTCTGTACTTGAAGATTGGTATGACATTTTATTTTCCTTATGGCCATGCTCTTGATCTTGACTAGGAATTGTTACCTGGTTTTGAGACTTGCCATGTATTTTCTCTTCAGTTTGGATAGAAATACTGCCTTTGGATACACCTTTCTGTACATCCTTTTCTCCACTGTTGAGACGTCTTTCTTCTGTACTCGAAGATTGGTATGATATTTTATTTTCCTTATGGCCATACTCTTGAGCTTGACTAGGAATTCTTACCTGGTTTTGAGACTTGCCATGTATTTGCTCTTCAGTTTGGATCGAAATACTGCCTTTGGATACACCTTTCTGGATGCCCTTTTCTCCACAGTTGAGATGTCTTTCTTCTGTACTTGAAGATTGGTATGATATTTTATTTTCCTTATGGCCATGCTCTTGATCTTGACTATGAATTGTTACCTGGTTTTGAGACTTGCCATGTATTTTCTCTTCAGTTTGGATAGAAATGCTGCCTTTGGATACATCTTTCTGTACACTCTTTTCTCCATGGTGAAGTTGTCTTTCTTCTGTACGTGAAGACGGGTATGATATTTTATGTGCCTTCCGGCCATGCTCTTGATCTTGACTGAGATTTTTTGTCTGGTGTTGATTCTTGTTATATACTAGGAGCTCATCTTGGGTAGTAAAAATGTCTTTGGGTCCATGTTGGAGTCTGTCTTGATGTGCAGGATGGAGTGAAGTTTGTAGTTTACTTGAATGTTCCTCTCTCACGTCAACCACATTTTGGTAATGCCCTTTATTTTGATGAGAATTTTTAGTCTCACGTTGTTGTTTGTTAACTACTAGTTCTTCAGTTTGGAGAACATAACTGCTTTGGGATCCACCTTGTGTTCTACCTTTTTGTGCACCAGAGGCTGAAGCTTGTTCTTTACTTAGTCCATGAACCCATAGCCTTTTTTCTGTGTTTGAACATTGACTGGATAATCCCTTTCCAGATGGGCTATTCCCCTGATCTTGAGAAGGATTTTGTGTCCCATGATGAGCTTGGCCTCCTTTATGATGTATAACTATCATGTGAAAATGACCTTTTGATTTATCATGGTCTCTGCCTTCTTGTTTATAATTGAGCAGTTGTTGACTTCCACCTAGGTGTTGTTTTGATTTTGTCGCCTTATGTAGGGCATTCAAATCATATTGCTGACTTTTTCGGGTCCAGTCATGATCATTGATGTCTACATGATATGTGTGTTGAATAGAAAAACTGCCTTTGGATTTAGTATGTTGTTGGTCTTTTTGTCCAAAATAGTGCTGGCCCTTTTGTCCATGTGGAAATTGGGAAGATCCGCTTGGCAATTGGCCTTTTGATCCACCTGGTAATTGATAATAGAAATGTATGCATTCATTATCTCCAAAGCTCTCTTGCAACTCTTACCTCCCACCTTTTCCCAACAAATTTCTGATATTTCCAAAAGCCTACAGCGTTGGGTGGAGAAAAATCAATTCTCATCAAGGAGAAGAATCTGTGCCTGAACAGGTTACTGTTTGCACCCTGAATATCCTTAGAGGCCATTTTTTTAAAGTAGCTTTCCCCAAGGCTTACCCTCTCCACTCACCTTTTTGTCCCATCACAGCTGCTTGCTTCTCCAAGATAAGGAGCAGGGAAAGGACAAAGAGGATGATGGACTTCATCTTGCTTGAAAAATCTTGTCTGAGAACTGAGCGGATCTCTTCATTTATATGTTCCTTGAGTGGGTGTGCTATGGGTGGAGCTGAAATGTCAAAAGGCACTGCCCTTTCATAGCTTATTAGTAAATGCCAGCTTCCTCACCCCTGCTCAGTGGGGGATAATGTCAAAGTCCCCAGGGACTTAGCATGGGGACATAATATCAAAGGCAATTTTTTTTACTTTCAGAATCCCCAGCAAAATTTTATCGGTCTTTGTATATCATCATGCCAGATCGCTTGCATTATACAGAAGAAATTCAGTCCGGAGTAGGAAGGAGACTAGCTTCAGGTTACAAAAGTAATTGGTGGCTGACAATGCCTTCATACTCTAAATGCGAGTTTCCTTTCTGATCCAATAACTTAAATACTAAATTTTAGGTATAACTCTATACTTTGTCTTGTTTTAAAGTAATCCTGAGACACATTCTGTTTTACTCGAGAAGGAGCAGTCATAGAAGTAGAATGATACAGAAGAGAAAGAAACTTCATGGAAGCCAAAGAAAAAAATTTCAACAAATAAATGAGGCATACCAATGTCAAATGTATCTGTGAAGTTCATCACAAAAAAGACTAACATGTGTCAAAAACTTTCTGATGTTACTCACTGCTAGTAATGTTAACGAGAGATGAATACAGTTGTGTTGGGTTGTCAGTTGAAGGATGGAGTCCAGCTGAAACCATCTCAAGAAGTCTGATTTCATGGTGGAATGAGAGGTGAGGCTGTATCTGGAGGGTGAGGTAAGCTCCAGAGATTTTTTGAAAGGATGAGAAAAATTTAACATGTTTTTATGATGATAGGAACAACTGTTGGAAAAAGAAGTAAGAATGTTGGTTTCCAAATTGGATTATTTGATGATATTTACCTAAACAAAAATGTATTTACCAAAATACATTTTTTAAATAAAAGCATTTCATACTTCTGTAATAAACTGCTGAACCCTCCAACAGGCTGTGAGGAATATTTGCCAACTTCAGTTCATTAAATAATGTATTGAGAGTGGACCTAAAGCTAAAATTTTTACCTTGGGTGGAAGCATAGGGTTTTTTTGCTTTTGTTTTGTTTTGTTGTGTTGTGTTGTTTTGTTTTGTTTTTTTGCAATTGTGAAAACTTCTTGAAAAATCCAAGGAAGGTTTTTTGTTTGTTTGTTTGTTTGTTTTGTTTTTTTTGTTTGTTTGTTTTTGAGACAGAGTCTCGCTCTGTCGCCCAGGCTGGAGTGCAGTGGCACCATCTCGGCTCACTGCAAGCTGTGCCTCCCAGGTTCATGCCATTCTCCTGCCTCAGCTTCCCAAGTAGCTGGGACTACAGGTGCCTGCCACCACGCCCGGCTAATTTTTTGTATTTTTAGTAGAGACGGGGTTTCACCGTGTTAGCCAGGATGGTCTCAATCTCCTGACCTCGTGATCCGCCCGCCTCAGCCTCCCAAACTGCTGGGATTACAGGCATGAGCCACTGCACCCGGCCAGTTTCTTTACTTTGACTGAAAAAGTCCTTGTTATGAGAAGACAACAGGAGAAGCAGCAACATTTGAACAGTGACCCTGTATGCATTCAGAACACTGTGGAGGGTAGTTCTGGAGAAAGGACGGCTTGGAAACTTATTTTCTATTATTCTCTCTTAAAATCCTAACCTTCCTGTAAGCAATGCTATATGGAAGGGGAGAGGGGAAAGGCCAACCATAGGAAAAAATGCTACTTATGCCATCAAACTTGAAGCATGTGAGCTATGTGGTTTCTCTATGAGCCATTCTGAGATCTTACCAGTTTTATCTGTTTGCCCTAAGGGCAGTAAGTATTTCCTTATGGCAGGGACCCCAAAAGAAAAGAGTAAAGTTTTCCTGAACACAAATTTATTGCTGTACCTGCTAATCACTATAATCTTCCTTACACTTCCCTTAAGGAAATACCAGGAACTGTTGTGTTCCAAGATTACCGGAACAAACAAGAGTCTGAAATATTAATCTTACTTATGGATCAAGAACAAAACTTCCAACTAATCTAGTGTCCAAAAGATACAGATAAAACAAAGGTGCACAAGATTTGCAAAAACAAAGCAGGAAAATGCAAACTAGGCACAACATGTGATTATGATACTCATATCATGATTGGATTTAATGAAATTTGAAAAAAAAGCATTTCAAAATTAAAAATAAATCTATTGATAAAGATGAAAGCAGAAATCGGTAATTTGGAAAGCATAAACATGGTATAGTGCTGCATACATCTTAGATGTGGTATCATGATTGGGAAAATATCAAATGATAAAAAATAAACAAGGAAAAAATAGTAGAATATTTTAAAGTTCACCAAGTAGGAGACAGGTCACTGAGCTTGACACAGTTTATATGCCCCTGTGGCAGCACAGTGGCTATGTGTCCACACTGAGTACCTGAGAAATAGCCCTGTAACACTCTCTCCCTCCAGAGACACATCCATGGCCTGCTCAGTGGCCCTATACTCCCAATAAGAGCTTGAGAAACAGACTCACAAGCTCCCCTGCTGGGCTTGACACCACGCTGGCCCAGCTGCCGAGAGCCCATTTCCCAAACCTGAGAAACAGCCCATGGGCCACCCCTGGTGGGCATACCCAAGCCAGCCAAGTAGTTATGTGGTCATGTCCCAGGTCTGAGAAACAGTCCTACAGATTGCCTCTGGTGGTCACACATGAAGGACAACCAAGAAGCTCCATGCCTACACCCTAGGCCTACAGAATATCTTCTTGGGCCACCCCTTACAGAAATGCTCAAAGCCTAGCCACTCAGCCATGCAGCTGTGTCAAGTGCCTGAGAAAAAGCCCTCTTTCCTCTCTCATTCCCTTCCTCTCGTAGGCCATCCAAGCAGCCTTACACCCACATCTTGGGCCTGAGAAAAAGCCCAGTAGACTGACCCTGGCAGACATGTCTTCAGACCAGTTGAGAAGCTGTACTTCCACGTCCTGAAACCAAGAAACAGCTTCACAGGCCACCCCTAGCCTGTAGTCACACTCACTGACTGAACAAACATGTGCCCATGCTTCCAGCCAGGATAACAGCACCCTGGCCCCAATACCATTGAGTCATACCTTAATTGAATTACCTACCACGTGGATGCACACACCCCTGACCTGAGAATTAGCGCTGGAACCACAGCACTGGCAAAGCCATGCCACTGTAGCAGCACACTCTCTCAACTAGGGCGCTGAGAAACTCTCAAGTGCCACAAGTGTGGATCATAGGTGAAGAAACTCTATGGAAACAATACTGCTACATACACCTGCAACAAAAACCAACAAACTCAAATGAACTAACACCTAAAGACCCATTCATAAAAATAAGTTTTCGCTTATAAAATCTACTCCATAAAATTGGAAGAGGCAACTTTTCCATCAGACGCATAAAATAATAGCAGAAAACTTCTTGCATCTTGGGAGAGAGATAGAAATCCAGGTCCAGGAAGCTATAAGAACCCTAAATAAATTCAACCTAAACGGGTTCTCTCCAAGGCACATTTTAATTGCATTGCTAAAAGTCAAAGACAAAGAAAGATTTTTAAAAGCAGCAAGAGAAAAATGTCAAGTCACATATAAGGTAACCCCCATCTGACTAACAGAGAATTTCTCGGGAGAAACCTTACAGGCCAGGAAAGAATGGCATAATATATTCAAATTACTAAAAGAGAAAACTGTCAGCTAAGAACATTACCCTCAGCAAAGCTATCCTTCAGAAATGAAGGAGAAATAAAATCGTTCAGAGAGAATAAAAATTAAGAGAGGAGGGTGGCAGAACAAGATGGTGGAATAGAAGGCTCCAATGATCCCCCCTGCCCCCACCAAGGTCACCAATTTAACAAGTATCTGCAGAGAAAGATCACCTTTATAAGAACCAAAAAATCAGGTGAGCACTCACAGTAACTGATTTTAACTTTATATCACTGAAAGAGGCGCTGAAGGGGTAGGAAAAACACTTGTATCACTGATGCCACTCCTCCTTCATCTCCCGGTTGCAGGTATGGGGCACAGAGCATTTCTGTGCATGGGGTGAGAGAAAGCACAGCAATTATCAGTTAAAAAGTGGCGGGAATGAAGTTAAAGTATAGAGTCTTTATTAGTTTTCTTTCTCTTGTTTGTTTATGGAAGCAGTGTTAAGTTGTTGTCAGTTTAAATAATGGGTTATAAGATAGTATTTGTGAAGTGTGAGTCTTCCAACTGTGTTCCTCTTAGTCAAGATTGTACGGCTATTTGGGATCCCTTGAAATTCCAAATGAACGTTAGAACCCACTTTTCCATTTCTACAAGAAAGCCATAAAATTTTTGATAAGAATTGCATTGATTCGGGCTGGGCACGGTGGCTGTAATCCTAGCACTTTGGGAGGCCAAGACGGGTGGATTGCCTGAGCTCAGAAGTTCGAGACCAGCTTGGGCAACACGGTGAAACCCCGTCTCTAGTAAAATACAAAAAATTAGCCAAGTATGACAGCGTGCGCCTGTAATCCCAGCTACTCAGGAGGCTGAGACAGGAGAATCGCTTGAGCCTGGGAGGCCGAGGTTGCAGTGAGCTGAGATCGTGCCACTGCACTCCAGCCTGGGCGACAGAGTCAGACTCCATCTCAAAAAAAAAAAAAAAAAAAGAAAAGAAAAAGAGAGAGAATTGCAGTGATTTGATTATCACTTTGGGTAGTGTGCCATCTTAACAATATTAAGTCCTCCATTTCACAAATAAAGGATCTACATCCATTTATTTAGGTCTTTACTTTCTTGGGGAAGTGTTTTGTAGCCTTTAGTGTATAAGATTTACATGTCATGGGTAATTTATATTTCTAAGCATTTTGGTTTTTTTGACATTCTAAATAGAATTGTTTACTGAATTTTAATTTTGAATTTTTCATCATCAATGTATAGAAATACGACCAATTGTTATCTTTTAATCATGTATTCTGCAACATTGGTGATTTCATTTATTAGGTTCCATGGTTTCTTAGTTGATGCTTTGGAATTTTTTGCATATGTATTGTCTGCTAATGAAGGTAGTTTTCCCTGTTCCTTTATTTTTTTAATTTTATTTTTCTATAAGTTATTGGGGTACAGGTGGTATTTGGTTACATGAGTAAGTTCTTTAGTGGAGATTTGTAAGAACCTGGTGCACCCATCACCTGAGCAGTATACACTGCACCATATTTGTTGTCTTTTATCTTTTATCCCCCGCCCCCCTCCCACTCTTCCCCCCAAGTCCCCAAAGTCCACTTTATCATTCTTATTCCTTTGCGTCCTCATAGGTTAGCTCCCACATATCAGTGAGAATGTATGATGTTTAACTTTCCATTCCTGAGTTACTTCACTTGGAATAATCATCTCTAATCTCATCCAGGTCATTGCAAATGCTGTTAATTCATTCCTTTTTATGGCTGAGTAGTATTCCATCATATATACATATATGGGCATCATGGTGAGAGAGAGATCTATATACATATATATATAAAACAGGTTCTCTCCAAGGCACATTTTAATTGCATTGCTGAAAGTCAAAGACAAAGAAAGATTATATATATATATATGAAACACTGATATATATATAAAACATATATATATAAAACTCATATATATATATATATATATATATATATATGTCAGAGTTTCTTTATCTACTCATTGATTGATAGGCATTTGGATTGGTTCCAGGATTTTGCTATTGTGAATTGTGCTGCTATAAACATGGATGTGCAAGTATCTTTTTTGAATAATGACTTCTTTTCCTCCGGGTGGTT
The DNA here is from genome assembly GCF_000001405.40 of Homo sapiens. Taxonomy (NCBI): domain Eukaryota; kingdom Metazoa; phylum Chordata; class Mammalia; order Primates; family Hominidae; genus Homo; species Homo sapiens. The sequence continues at coordinate 45,215,617 of NC_000020.11, read as the reverse complement.
ACCCAGTAGTGGGATTGCTAGATCATACGGTAGTTCTACTTTTAGTTCTTTAAGGAATCTCCACACCGTTTTCCATAGCAGCTGTACTAGTTTACATTCCCACCAGCAGTGTAGAAGTGTTCCCTGATTGCCGCATCCACACCAACATCTACGGTTTTTCGATTCTTTGAATATGGCCATTCTTATAGGAGTAAGGTGGTATTGCATTGTGGTTTTGATTTGCATTTCCCTGATCATTAGTGATGTTGAGCATTTTTTCATATGTTTGTTGGCCATTTGTATATCTTCTTCTTCTTTTTTTTTTTTTTTTTTTTTTTGAGACGGAGTCTTTGTCTTTCACCCAGGCTGGAGTGCAGTGGCGCGATCTCGGCTCACTTCAAGCTCCGCCTCCCGGGTCCACGCCATTCTCCTGCCTCAGCACTCCCCCCCCACCGCCTCCCGACCAGCTGGGACTACAGGAGCCGGCCACAGCGCCCGGCTAATTTTTTGTATTTTTAGTAGAGACGGGGTTTCACCGTGTTAGTCAGGATGGTCTCGATCTCCTGACCTCGTGATCCGCCCGCCTCGGCCTCCCAAAGTGCTAGGATTACAGGCATGAGCCACCGCGCCCAGCCTGTATATCTTCTTTTAAGGATTGTCTGTTCATGTCCTTAGCCCACTTTTTGGTGGGATTGATCGTTTTTTCTTACTGATTTGTTTGAGTTCGTTGTAAATTCTGGATATTAGTCCTTTGTCAGATGTATAGAATGTGAAGATTTTCTCCCACTCTGTGGGTTGTCCATTTACTCTACTGACTGTTCCTTTTGCTGTGCAAAAGCCCTTTAGTTTAATTAGGTCCCAGCTATTTATCTTTGTTTTAATTGCAATTGCTTTTTGCCTTTTGGTCATGAAATCCTTGCCTAAGCCAATGTCTAGAAGGATTTTTCCAATGTTATCTTCTAGAATTTTTATAGTTTCAGGTATTAGTTTTAAGTCTTTAATCTATCTTGAGTTGATTTTTGTATAAAGTGTGAGATGAGGATCCAGTTTCATTCTCCCACATGTGGGTAGCCAATTATCCCAGCACCATTTGTTGAAAAGGGAATCCTTTTCCCCACTTTATGTTTTTGTTTGCTTTGCCAAAGATCATTTGGCTATAAGTATTTGGGTTTATTTCTGGGTTCTCTATTCTGTTCCATTGGTCTATGTGCCTATTTTTATACCAGTGCCACGCTATTTTGGTGACTATGGCCTTATAGTATAGTTTGAAATCAGGTAGTGTGATGCCTCCAGATTTGTTCTTTTTGCTTAGTCTTGCTTTGGCTATGTGGGCTGTTTTTTGGTTCCATATGAATTTTAGAATTGCTTTTCCTAAATCTGTGAAGAATGATGGTGGTATTTTGATGCGGATTGCCTTGAATTTGTAGATTGCTTTTGGCAGTATGGTCATTCTCACAATATTGATTCTACTCATCCATGAGCATGTATCATGACATCAGCTGGTATACTCCAAGAACTAAAGGAAATCATGGAGAAAAAGACTAAAGAAAAGTATGAAAATCATGTCTCACAATATTGAAATAATTCAAGATAAGCGATGAAGTTGTAAAGTACAATCGCTGAAATAGAAATTCACCAGAGGGGCTCACCAGCAGGTAGGAATGGACAGAAGAAAAACCCAACATAATTATAGGTCAATCGAGATTATACACTCTGAGAAACAGTGAAAAAAAAAAAAAGAATGAAAAAAATGAATAGAGCTTCAAAGACCTATGGAGCATAATCTAGTGTAAAAACATATGCATAATGGGAATTTCAGAAGAGAGAATGAGGCAGAGGATATTTGAAGATATAATGGCTAAAAACATTTTGATTTTGCTTAACAATATTAATCTCCACATCTAAGAAGCTGTTGCTGGTGGGACTATAAAATGGTAGAGTCATTGTAAAAACAGTGTGTCAGTTTCTTCAAGAGTTAAACAGTGTTGCCATGTGACCCAAAAATTCCACTTCCATGATTATACCAAAGAGAACTGAAAATGTATTCACACAAAAATTTGCACATGAATGTCCATAGCAGCATTATTAATAATTAGTAAAAACAAGAGCATCTTGGAAGAAAGGAACCTTGATCTGTACCTTGCATGGAATGCACATATTAATCAATTTGAACCATAAACCTTAATATAGATGCTAAACTTATGCTGCTTCTAGGGAAAGATATCACAAACAGAACATTTTTGCAGCCTTCGAGAAGGCCAAAGTTCTTAGACACAATAATATTCAATTTAAAGGGAAAATAGATATATTTGATTCTGTCACACTTTAAAACTTCTACTCTTCTGAATACACCATCATTAAGAAAATGAAAAAAAAAAAAAAAACCCAAGCCACACACTGGGAGAAAATTTCACTCCTGGGTATTTACCACGGATAATTAAAAATATATGTTATTGTGCCTTGTACAGGGATTTATGTGATATCTTAATTCACAATCGCTCAATTGGGAACACCAAATGTTCATCTATCAGCAGATAAATGGAAGAACAAATATGGAGACTCAAACAATGTAATATTATTCAACAATAAAATAACTGCTGATACATACAAAAACAATGAATCTCAAACATTGAATAACAGTCGGACACAAAAGGTAATGTTATTATATGATTTCATTATGTAAGGATTAAAAACAAGCAAGTTATTAGTTTCTATGTCAGTATAACATTTGCCCCTGAAGGGCTTGGAGTGAATTTGAAAGGGGCATAAGGCAAGATTAATGTTCTATATGCTCATCTAGGTGTTGTGCAACCACATGTATGTGTTTGTCAATCTCATTCAAACAGATATAAGATCTGTGCATTTCTTTGTATGAATTTTACCTCTATTTCAAAGAACATATAATAAAAGATTGTTTTATTATTATTATTTCCAAATTTGTTGTCATTCTGGCACTTTTCCCTGAGCACTTGGGCTGTGATCATCTCACTCAATACATCTAAGCATCTTTATGAGATCATTATTATATCCCCTCATTAAGAGGCAGGAGGTCAGTATCAGAGATCCTGTGGCCCAAGACTATGCAAGTGGTGGGAACCAAAGTTCGTGCTAATTGTACCACAGCACACAGCATTTATGACTCTGGCTCTTTTGCTTGTTTGCATGTCAATTTATGTTTCCCTCTCCCATGCAATCAGCAACATGTCAGGGAAACTGTGTAATGTATTTCTGTCCATACTTAGAGGAGAGAATCTGTTCAGCAGACTGTAGCAGGTAATTCTAGCTTCTCTGATGCTAAGGCTCCTAGGCCCATCATAACCTCTCCTTTCTAACTGCTGGGCTGGGAAAATAGAGCAGGTGGCTGAGCACAAGGTCTCTATTCTCTTGGGAAGGTAGCAGTGAAGAGAGACAGAGTTCTCATGCCACTATGACAAAGTCTCTAATCACACACCTACAGGCAACATGAAGACATTAAGACCTGATGGAGATTTCTCTTTCTTTCTTTCTTTCTTTCTTTCTCTTTCTTCCTTTTTCTCTCTCTCTCTTTCTTTCTTTCTTTCTCTTTCTTTCTTCCTTTTTCTCTCTCTCTCTTTCTTTCTTTCTTTCTTCTTCCTTCCTTCCCTCCCTCCCTCCTTTCTTTCTTTCTTTCTCTCTCTCTCTTTCTTTCTTTCTTCTCTCTCCTTCCTTCCTTTGTTCCCTCCTTCCTTCCCTCCCTCCCTCCCTTCCTCTCTTTCTTCCTTTCTTTCTTTCTCTCCTTGCTTCTTTCTTTGCTTGCTTCTTTCTTTGCTTGCTTCTTTCTTTCTTCTTTTTCTTTCTTCCTTCCTTTCTTTCTTTCTTTCCTTCTTTCTTTCTTCTCTCTCTTTCCTTCCTTCCTTTGTTTCTTCCTTCCCTCCCTCCCTTCCTCTTTCTTTCTTCCTTCCTTTCTTTTCTTTCTTTCTTTCTTTTTCTTTCTTTGCTTGCTTCTTTATTTGCTTGCTTCTTTCTTTCTTTCTCTCTTTCTCTCTTTCTTTCTCTCTCCCCTTCCTTCCCTCCCTCCCTTCCTCCCCTCCTCCCTTCCCTCCCACTCTCTCTCCCTCTCTCCTTCTCTCTCTCTTTCACTCTTTCTCCCTTTTTCCCTTCCTTCCTTCCTTCCTTTCTTTCTTCCTTTCTTCCTTTCTTTTTCTTTCTTTCCTTCTGTCTTTCTTTTTCTTTCTTTCTTCTTTCTTTCTATTTCTTCCATCAGGAAACAATACTTTTATTGTACCTATGAGGCAAAGAAAACAACAACAAATGCTTTGCTGGAGTCATACAGCCAAAGAAATAGAACTAAAAGGAGAATTTATGGTAAGCAATTGCTAATTCTCTACAATTTCTTCCTCACCAAGCTATTGTAGCACAGGGGCCATTCAGCCCTGTATGCGTGTGCTGCATGTGTGTGAGAAGTGGAGATGGGTACCTGTGGGCCCACAGCACAACCACATACATATTTATTGGCTGATCTATACTAATTCTTAGCAATGACATACTTGGTAGATTTTATGACTTCATAATACACACATAACCGGCTGCCTGGCTGTGGTGATGGACAAACATAACTACACCTACTCTTTTGGCTCTTTTGATGAAGCTGACCTACTGACTTTCAAGCTGTTGGCTAGCTTAGGGAATGATTTGCTTCTCCTGGAAGACGTCATGACTCTTAATAAACTTATGGCTCCTTGGTTGTTGTATGTGGGGCCCAGGCTAACCCAACTCTGGGCCTATATGATCCATGGTTTTGAGGGTGGACAACAGTACCAATCTCTACTCCGAGTAGGCCTGTGTCATTCTGAAGCATTCATGTCCATCTGACCTATTCTGGCCCTACCAAATTTACTGCAGCATTAGACACCGTCTTTAAGGTCTTATTGACCTCCTTTCTTTCTTTTTCCTTCCTTCTTACTTCCTTCCTTCCTTCCTTCCTTCCTTCCCTCCTTCCCTCCCTCTTTCCTTTCCTTTCCTTTCTGTCTCTCTCTCTCTCCTTTCTTTCTTTCTTCTCTTTCTCTCTCTCTCTCTTTCTTTCTTTCTTCTTTCTTTCTTTTGAATGTCTACAATTTTGAGTCAATATGTACTATGAAGATTGCTGTGTCAAACTTTTCCATGTTGCAGATGTGGGACTTAAGCTTGCAGGGAAGAACATATTTAGGTAAAGATATACAGGTTATTATGGCAGAATTGGAACTACAATCCAAATCTCTTATTCTTAGGCTTGTGATTTTCTCACTCCCCTATGTTGGCCTCTTCTCCTGAAGGTTTAGATTTCTCTGGAAACTTTTTTAAAATAGAGGGGGAAAAGGCAGTATAGGCAGCAGTATTTCCATTATGAAGACACCACCTGCCTCAAGATTCCTTTGACTGGTCATCTGGTCTTTCCATCCACAGGTGACATTTTAACCCACTTGCTGTTACTGAAGTTGTGCAGATTTAACATATCACCTTTGGTGTAATTGCATCTCAATGGATACTGTAGGCGTAAGACATTCTTAAGCTAATTGAAGGGATGTGCTACTGTGGAATTGATCACCAGCAGATCAGGGACTTTCCCAGGGCCTGTTGCAATACATTTTCTCTTGTCTTTCTGGGATATTTTTAGTTCCTGGGGTCTTATTAGTACCAGGGTCATGAAAGCCTTTAGTGTTGGCCTCAGGTGGTAGACATGTGACTGGTAGACTAACAGCACCCTATTTTTAGTGTTGGTTTCTATCAATATATCTTGAAATGTGGCTTTGATTACTATTCTCCCTAGTGCTTCAAAAATATCCCTTTATTTTCTTTCAAAACCACTTACATTAGAAATGCCCTCAACCCCTTGAGCCACTAGGAATCCAGAGAAAACAGGAGTCAAAAGCAGATGAAGCAGAAAATGATCTCTTTATTGGAAGTTTGAAGGCGCTTCAGGTTAGGAAAGCCTAATTCAAGGAAGCATGGGCAGGTGGTGTCATCCATGGACCAAGAATCTGAAACTACACGGGAGTCTGCATCTCAGAAACATCACAGAATTCACTGAGGTCAACTGACACCTAGAGAGAAAGAAGAGAATCAGTGATGTGAGTATAGTAAAAAGTGAAGGGTGGGGATGGTAGCTGGGCCCCCTGTCCCCTTCAGCTCCAACTGTACCAGCCCTCTACTACTAGGATACCAGGCCACTAGTTGCCAGCTGGGGCCACTGTTTCTACTGCTTGCCCTCTCTTCAAGTGCAGTGTTACTTACTGCAAAGAGGCAGGGAAGCACCATTACCCCTCTCAGGGCTTCAGTTTTCTTCTCCTGATGTTGTAAACACCCAATTGGCCCATGAGATCCCTCACCATCTCTTGTGTCTCCCTTTCCATCTTCTCTTTCACAACATGAACAAGGATCTTTCTACATATCTCTTTCCTGTATTCTGAGAGGGAGGACTGATAGTCTTTGGGCTTGTGGTCTCTGAAGGAGCATAGATGAACCCTAACAGGGATGCAAGAACATTCACTGGTGTGCAGAAAGAAAACATTAATGGCTGTAATCCTTTATACTATATAGGAAAGAAACTGAGGTTTACTAATCTAAAGTATAAGAACTGACAAGAGTATACCATAAACTTATAAATATGCATATGTAGTCAGTACCTGTTCAAAAAAACCTTTAGCAGGTAGGCATATACAAAAAAATATTATTGAAGAATATTCAATTAAGGATAGGAATTCTAGGACCTCATGATAGGCCAAACATCCTTCTGTGCCACTACCAGACCCTCTCCTCACCAGGGAATGGGGAGGCTCATCTTCCTACCACTTGTTATACAGCACTTCTATTGGTGCGAACAATGGTTATCAATCCCACAAAAGTCCTGGAGAGTCCCCAACAATTCTAAACAATGAGAGAGATATCTCCCCTATTTGCTAAAAAAAAATTACCTTGATATTGGTCCATCCTTTCACATGGTTACCGAATGGTAGGTTTATGTAAATAATGGGTTTCGGTCGTTGTTAAGATGTTGTGCCAAATGACGATCACTGTCATCTTCCTGCTCTATAATTACAATATCCAATCCCCCATGAGATCCATGTTGGTGTCTGCCTTTTTGTTCATGACTGAGTAGGTCTTGTTCTCTATTTGTAGATTGGCCAGACTCTCCTTTTGCATTTTCACCATGCCATGGCTCTTGCTTAGGATTTGGTGCCTGGATTTGAGACTTGCCTGCTACTAGCTTTTCAGTTTGGCTATAAATACTGCGTTGGGATACATCTTTCTGCACACCATTTTCTCCATAGTGGAGTCGTCTTTCTTCCGTACTTGAAGATTGGTATGATATTTTATTTGCCTTTTGGCTATGCTCTTGCTCTTGACTGGGAATTGTTATCTGTTTTTGAGACTTGCCCTGTGCTTTCTCTTCAGTTTGGCTATAAATACTGCTTTGGGATACATCTTTCTGCACACCATTTTCTCCATAGTGGAGTCGTCTTTCTTCTGTACTTGAAGATTGGTATGATATTTTATTTGCCTTTCGGCCATGCTGTTGATCTTGATTGAGATTTTTTGTCTGGTGTTGATTCTTGTTATATACTAGGAGCTCATCTTGGGTAGAAAAAATGTCTTTGGATCCATGTTGGAGTTTGTCTTGGTGCGCAGGACAGAGTGAGGTTTGTACTTTACTTGAATGTTCCTCTCTCACTTCAACCACATTTTGGTAATGCCCTTTATTTTGATGAGAATTTTTAGTCTCACGTTGTTGTTTGTTAGCTACTAGCTCTTCAGTTTGGAGAACATAACTGCTTTGGGATCCGCCTTGTTTTCTACCTTTTTGTGCACCAGAGACGGAAGTTTGTTCTTTACTTAGTCCATGAACCCACAGCCTTTCTTCTGTGTTTGAATATTGACTGGATATTCCCTTTCCAGATGGGCTATTCCCCTGATCTTGAGAAGGATTTTGTGTCCCACGATGAGCTTTGCCTCCTTTATGGTGTATAACTACCCTGTGAAAATGACCTTTTGATTTATCATGGTCTCTGCCTTCTTGTTTATTATGGAGCAGTTGTTGACTTCCACCTAGATGTCGTTGTGATTTTGTCGTCTTATGTAGGGCATTCAAATCATATTGCTGACTTTTTCGGGACTGGTCATGATCATTGGCATCTACATGATATGTGTATTGAATAGAAAAACTGCCTTTGGATTCAGTTTGTTGCTTGCCTTTTTGTCCAGAATAGTGCTGGCCCTTTTGTCCGTGTGGAAATTGGGAAAATTCACTTGGTAATCGGCCTTTTGATCCACCTGGTAATTGATAATAAGAAGGTATGCATTCATTATCTCCAAAGCTCCCTTACAACTCTTACCCCCCACTTTTCCCCCAACAAATTATTGATATTTCTAGAAAAGCTGAAGCTTTGGGTGGAGAAAATCAATTCTCTTCAAAGAGAAGAATCTGTGCCTAAACAGGTTACTGTTTGCACCCCAAATAATCTTAGATTATTAGCTGTCTGAGCAGCTTTCCCCAAGGCTTACCCTCTCCACTCACCTTTTTGTCCCATCACAGCTGCTTGCTTCTCCAAGATGAGGAGCAGGGAAAGTACAAAGATGATGTTGGGCTTCATCTTGCTTGGAAAACCTTGTCTGAGAGCTGAGCCGACCTTGTCATTTATATCTTCCTTGAGTGAGTGTGCCATGGGTGGAGCTTAAATTACAAAAGGCACTGACTTTTCTTAGCTTATCAGTAAATGCCAACTTCCTCACCCCTGCTGAGTGTGGGACAAAGTCAATGTCCCCAGCAACATAATGTCAAAGGCATTTTCTTTCTTCTGGCAGCCCCAGCAAATTTTTATCAGTCCTTTTAGATCATCATGCCAGATCACTTTAATTTTACAGAATTATAGACAAAAGTAGGAAAGAGACTGGCTTCAGGCTACAAAAGCAATTGGTTTCTGAGAATGCCTTTATATTCTAAATGTGAGTTTCCCTTCATGATGCAATAATTTAAATACTCTATTTTAGATAGAACTCCATACTTCCTTTTGTTTTAAAAATGATCTTGAGACACGTTCTATTTTACCTAAGAATGAGCAATCATAGAAGTCCAATGATATAGAAGATAATGAAACGTTATGGAATCCAAAGAAAGAAATTTTAAACAAGTAAATGGGGCACTCCAATGTCAAATATGTCTGTCAAGTTCAACACAATAAAGACTGACATGTATCCAAAGTTTTTCTTAGTTGTTGCTAGTAACTTTAATGAGAGATGAATACAATTGCATTGGGTTGTCAGTTGAAGGATGGAGACCAGCTGCAACCTTCTCAGGAAGTCTGAATTCATGGTGGAGTGAGAGCTGAGGCTGTATCTGGAGGGTGAGGTAAGTTCCAGATGTGTTTTCAAAGGATGAAAGAATTTTAATATGCTTTCATGGTGATAGGAACAACTGTTGGAAAAAAAGTAAAAATGCTGGTTTCTAGATTGGGTTCTTTTCATGAAATCTACCTAAACAGCAGAATTTTCTTTTTAATTAAGAGAAGTTTCTACTTCAGTAGTAAACAGCTGAATCCCCAAACAGGCTGTGAGAAATATTTGCCACCATCAATGAATTGAATAATGTATTGTGAGTGGACATGAAGCTAAAATTCCCACCTTTGGTAGAAGCATAGATTTTTCCAATTGTGATGACATCCTGAAAAGTCTGAAGAAACTTTCTTTACTTTGAGTCATAAAGACTTCGTTATGAGCAGACCACAGGAGAAGAAGAAAGCATCCCAACAGTGTCCCTGTGTACATTCAGAACACCTTGGAGGGTAGTGCTGGGGAAAGGATAGCTTGAAAACTTATTTTCAATTATTCTGTCTTAGAATCTTAACCTTCCTGTAGGCAATGCTCTATGGAAGGGGAAAAGAGAAAGGCCAACCACAGAAAAAAAGTGCTATGCTATCAAACATAAATCATGTGAGCTGCATGGTTTCTCTATGAGCCACTCTGAGATCTTACCAAATTTATCTGTTTGCCTCAAAGGCAGTAAGTAGTTCCTTATTGCAGAAACCCCAACAGAGTAAGGTGATATTGTTCTGAACTAAAATTGATTACTGTGTCTGCTAACCACTGTAATCTTCCTCACACTTCCCTTAAGAAAATACCAGAAACTGTTCTGTTCCAAACTTACTGATACAAAATAGAGTCTGAAATATTAATCTTACTTATGGATCAAGAACAAAACTTTCATCTCATCTAGTGTCCAAAAGATGCAGATAAAACAAAAGGGCACAATATTTGCAAAAACAAACCAGGAAAATGCAATCCAAGCAAAACATGTGATTACTATATTCATATTAGAATTGAATTCAATGAAATGTGGAAAAAAACATTTCCAAATGATAAAGGAATGTATTGATAAAGTTGAAATCAGAAATCAGTGATTTGGAAAGCATAAAAATGGTATGGTGATGCATACATCTTAGATATGGAATTATGATGGGGGAAAAGATTAAGTGATCAAATGATTTGTCCTGTTGGACAAATAAAAAATGCAAAAATATTAAAGTGCACTAAATTGGCACAAAAATCTGAAAGTTTTATACTCATAGGAAAAGAAGAAAACAGGAGGACTTAAATGTATTTTGCTCAATTCTATGGGAAATCACTTTACAACTTAGAAAAGATTCAAATATAGTTATTTTTGGGGAATGGGCAGAAAAACCTGGTAGAGTAGGACTCCCCAGAGATTATACCCTCCAAAACGTCGAATTTAATAATTATCCACATATGATAATAGTTTCTCAAAAGCTAAACAGGCCAGATGAGATATTACAGAACCTGATTATAGTATAATAATTAAAAATACACATTGAAGAGGGCACGAAAGACAATTTTGTTTCCTGTATCACCCCTAACCCAATCACAGGCAGCACAGTGCAGAGAGAGCTACTTTCTTTTGGGGGGAAGGGAATGAAGTAAGGCTTGGACTTTTTCACGGAACAAAATACTAGTCTATAATAGTAAAATTCAGCACTGGGAGGACACCCATAGTGACCCTGCTTGAATACCTGTGGCCTAAGCAGCAAGACCTGCCCCAGCAGCAGAGAGGAACACATAGTTCCTGTGAGATAGACTTGCGTTCTTACCTGTACCACTGGCAGCCAACTACAGCAGCCTTGGATTATGAATAACCAACATACGTAGGCAGGTATCAGTGAGGAGGAGTTGGGAATGCATTCCATCATTGTGCCAGCCTCTGCAGCCATGGGTTACAGCCTGGTGCAGAACTGGCCATGGTGGTCCTGGGTTTATGACATCTCCTTGTGCTGCAATGACTGAAACAGTCACAGGCTTACAAACCTAGAACAGATGATCTGCCTAGAATTTCCGGACAGAGTTGAGGGACATTCTCAGACAAAGCCAAACTGGAGTAAGTACCTACCTTAAATTCAATATCTGCATTCAAGTACCTACCTGCAATTCAATAAGTACCTACTTCTTCAATGTGCAGACATCAATGCACAATCACAAGGATCAAGAACAATCGGGGAAAACTGATGACACCAAATTAACAAAATAAGGTACCAAATGAACAAAATAAGATACCATTGATTGGCCCCAAAGACATGGAGATGTATGACCTGCCTGAAAGAGAATTTAAAATGGCTGTTCTAAGGAAGCTCAAAGAACTTTAATAAAATACAGATAAATAATTAAATGAAATGATGAAAACAATAAGTGACCAGAAAGAGAGATGTAACAAAGGGTAAAAATGATAACATTTAATATCTAATGTTAATATAGGAGCTGAAGAATGCAATGAATAAAATGAAAAGTGTGAAAAGTGCAATAGAGTGCATTAACACCAGAAATGATCAAGCAGAAGGAATAATCTGTGAGCTTGAATACAGGTTATTTGACAATATATACTCAGAAAAGGAAAAAAGAAAAAAGAATAGAATGAAGGAAACTTATGAGATGTATGGAATAGCATTAAGTGAGCAAAGGGACAATTTACTGGCATTCAAGAGAAGTTAGAGAAAGATAAATGGAAAAGTAAAGAAAGCTTATTAAATAAGTAATAACAGAAAACTTTCCAAATCTGAGGAGTTCATATATATATATATATATATATATATATATATATATATACACACACACACACACACACATATATACACCCATATATATACATATACATATATACATATATATTATATATATATGTATGTGTCTATTATATATATATATATGTAGTCAAAGTGCAGGATGGTCAACAGTCACCAATCACATTCAATTCAAAAAAGACTAGACATATAATAATTAAACTGTGAAAGATCAAAGACAAATAAATGATACTGAAGCAGCAAAAGAAAAGAAGCAAATAAAATGCAAAACAGTTCCAATACACTTCACATCAGACCTTTTTTTTCTTTTTCAACTGTTATTTTACATTCAGGGGCCAAGTGTGCAAATTTGTTACCTGGGTATATTGCATGATGCTGAAGCTCGGGGTATGAATTTTCCTGTCATTCTGATACTGACTATAATACCCAACATTTAGTTTTTCAACCCTTGTCCCCTTCCCTCCCTCCTTCTCTCCTCTAGTAGTCTTCAGTGTGTATTATTTCCATCTTTATGTTCATGAGTATCTGACATTTAGCTCCCCTCTATAACTGAGAACATGTGGTATATAGTTTTCTCTTCCTGCATTAATCTACTTAGGATAATGGCCTCCCACTGCATCCATGTTGCTGCAAATGCATGATTTTATTTATTTTTTATGACTGTGTAGTATTCCATGGTGTATATACACCATATTTTCTTTATCCAATCCACCATTGATGGGCACCTAAGTCGATTCCATGTTTTTGCTAGTATGAATAGTGCTGCAATCAAATCATATTTCTCAAAGGGAACATTAAAGATCAGAGGAGAGTGGAATAATATTATCAAAGTAATGAAAAAAAAGAAAACCATCCAAGCATACTATACTCAGCAAAGCTGTTCTTCAGAAATGACAGAGAAATGAAAACTTTCCTAGACATACAAAGGTGAGGAAGTATGTCACCATCAGACCTATTTTACAAGAAATGCTAAAGGAGTTCTTCAAGGTGAAAGAAAAGGATGCTAATGAGTAATACAAAATAATCTAAAAGTGTAGAACTCACTAATAAAATTAATTACACAGTCAAAATTCAGAATACTGTGATACTATAATGGTGATGTATAAATCACTTCTATCTTTAGTATGAAGGCTAAAAGATAAAACTTGAAATTAATAATAACTACAATAAATTGTTAATGTATATGGCACATAAAAGCTGTTAATTGTGACATGAAAATATCAAAATGCGGGGAGGGAAGTGGTGGTAAGGTGTAGTTTTATGTTTTGTAATCAAACAAATTATTATCAGGTTAAAATCACTTGTGATAGCTACAGGATTTTTTTTAAAGGCCTCATGTTAGCCACAAAGACAACATTTTTAATAGACGCCCTAAAAATAAAAAATAAGTATCAAAATATACTACTAGAGAAACTAACTTAATCATAGTGGAAGGCAATAAGAGAGAAAGAAAGAAAGAAAGAAAGAATCACCAAAGCAACTAGAAAACAATGAAAAAGTGGCAGTAGTAAGTCCTTACCTATGAATAATTATCTTGAAGGTAAATAAATTCACTAATTAAATGCCTAGAGTGGATGAATGGGAAAAAAATAAGATACATCAATAGGCTTCCTAAAAGAGGCAACCATACTGGTAATTACACACATAGACTGAACGATAATGGATGGAAAAAACATTCCACACAAGTGGAAACCAAAAGAGAGCAGGAGTAGCAACACTTATATCAGATCAAATAGACTTTAAGTCAAAAATGTAAAAAGACATAAAGAAGATCATTATATAATGCTAAAGAGGTCAATTCAGCAAGATAATACAGAAATCGTAAGTACGTATGCACCCCAAATCCAAGCACCTAAAGATATAAAGCAAATATTCTGAAGAGAGATCTCTGCATACAATAATAGTAGGTGTTTTAGGGCATTTAGCATTACTATAAAACAATACCTGAGACTAGAGAATGTATACAGAAAAGAGGTTTGTTTGGCTCAAAGTTCTGCAGGCTAAGATGCCTGGTGCCAGCATCTGCTCAGTTTCTGGTGATGCCACATAAAGTATTTAATCGTGATGGAAGGGATTGGGAGCCAGTGTATCACATGGTGAGAGAGGGAGAAAGAAAGATGCCAGGGTCTTTTAAACAAGCAGTCTTCATGTGAACTAAGAGAGTGAGAACTCACTCATTACTGCGGGGATAGCACCAGGCCATTCATGAGGGATCTAGCCCTATAACCCAAACACCTCACACTAGGCTGCACTTCCAACACTGATGGTCACATTTTAACATGAGATTTGGAGGGGACGGATATCCAAACTATATCATTAGAGGATTTCAAAACCCTGTAATAGCAATGGACAGATCACCCAGACAGAAAATCTGCAAAGACCTGTGAGATATAAGCTGCACTCTAGACTAAATAGACTTTAAGGGCGTATACAGAAAAGTTTATTAAACAACTCCAGAACACATGTTCTTCTCAACTGCACAAGAAATATTCTCCAAAATAGATTATTATATGTTAGGCCACAAAACAAGTCTTAACATTTTTATGAAGATTGAAACCATATCAAGTATCTTTTCTGACCACATTACTATCAAACTAGAAATTAATAAAAGAAGGAACTTCAGAAAATACACAAATACATGGAAATTAAACTACATGCTCCTGAACAACCAACTGGTCAAAGAAGAAATTAAAAAGGAAATAAAAATTTCTTCGAGACAAGCTAAAGTAGAAACACAATGTATCAAAGGCTATGAGATACAGTAAAAATAGTTCTAAGACAGAAAGTTACAGCAATAAATGCCTACACAAAAAAGAAAAAAAATCTCAAATAAACAACCTAATGTGGCACCACAAGTAATAAGAAAAAGAAAAGAGAAAACTAATTGTAATAATACTAGAAGGAAAGAAATCATACGGATATAGTAGAAATAATAAAAATGGAGACTACAAACACAATACAAAAGATCAATAAAACAAAGAGTTGGTTTTTGGAAATGACAAACAAAATCACCAAACTTTTAGCTAGACTAAGTAAAACAAAAAAAAGAAGACTCAATTAAATAAAATCAGAGATGAAAAAGGAGACATTACAACTGATACCACAGAAATGCAAAGATCATTAGAGACTCATGAACAACTATATACTAACAATTAGATAACCTAGAAGAAACTGATAAATTCCTAGACCCCTGTAAGCTATCAAGATTTAACTATGAAGAAATAGAAAATTTGGCAGTCAGCAAGATGGATAACTAGAGACCCATGGTGCTCATCCCCACCAGAATAAAGGGTCAAGGTAACAAACAGCTAAGATTTGGTTGGAGTGTCAAAGGGAGAGTGCTGGAGTGCATGGGGGAGTGGAGATGAACCGTGGTGATTAGAAGTTCAGGAGGGCAGTGCAGAGGCATCTGGTTTTTGCAGTCCTGTCTCCCTCCACTCGGATCAGATCTGTCTGGAGCCAAGAGGGTCTTCCTGTTGCAGGGAAAATGTAAGGAGAAGGTCCCCACCAGTCACCTTGTGACTGCAAACATGTACTATCCTTACAAGAGGAGAATCCCACAGTCCTTTAAAGTCCTGAGCCCAGTTTGGAGAGCTGCTGGGAATTCACACAGCTGTATTGCCCTGCATTAGGGGCACAAGGTGTGCACTACCCACATCCCACTCACCCACTTGGGCCAAGCTGCCGCAGCACAGTCCCATCTTGACAACAGAGCCCCCTCTGGAGTGTAGCCTCCTCTGGAACTTCTGACAACCACACTTCTCCAGCATTTGGGCTCCATCTTCATTACGCCAAGGTCACATAGTGGCTGAACTCCACAACCCCAGCTGTGCAGAGTTCGAGCCCAGGATTGGCTGTGACTCTATTCTGGCACAGCAGGGAAACCAACTCATGCCACTGCATTTCAGCTGGGGAATAATTGTCCAGTCGTACCAAGTAAGCCTGTCCTTGAACTAGCCAAACTGCCACATACCCTCTACTAAGCAGGAGGGGCCCCTGAGCTCCAAGCAGCTGATATGGTCCTCCCTCAATACCTGAGAAACAGCCCTGCAGCACCCTTGCCCTCCACAGATACATCCATGGCTTGCCCAGTGACCCAATCTTTTAAATAAGGGCCTGAGAAACAGTCCCACAAGCTACCCTTAGTGGGCATGACCCCAGACTGCCCAAGTAGCAAAGAGTCCATGTCCCAAACTTGAGAAACAGCCAATGGCCACCCCTGGTGGATATGCCCAGGCCAGCCAAGCAGCTATGGGCCTTTGTCTCACCACTGAGAAAGAACTCCACAGTCTGCCTTGGTGGGCATGCCCCAAGGCCTAACAAGAAGCCCCATGCTTGGACCCTGGGACAACAAAACCACTTCTTGTGCCACCCCTCACAGAAATGCCCAAAGACTAGCCAAGCAGCCATGCAGCTGTGTCAAAGGCCAAAGAGGCAGCCCTGTTCCCTCCTCCAGCAGACATGCCACTAGGCTACCCAAGTAGCCTTGTACCCATGTCTTCGGCCTGAGAAACAGCCCAGTGGGCTGCTCCTGACAGACGTGACCTCAGGCTATCTGAGCAGCTGTGCATCCATGTCCTGAGACTGAGAAACAGCTACATATGCCACTCCTGGCAGGCATGCCTCATGCTGGCCCAGCAAACATATACCCATGTTCCCTGTTGGTATCATGGCACCCTGGTTCCAATGCCAGTGAGCCAGACCACAACTGGGTGATCCACCAACTGCATGCACACAACCCTGACCTGAGAAATAACCCTGCAAGCTCACCCCTAAAAATGTCATGCCACTATAGCAGCAAACTCTTTTAGAGTAGGGCACTGAGAATTCTCAAATGCTCCTCTGGATCTAGCTGCCCAGTGAAGTTGCCACACTCCAGGCCAGTACTGGGGAATGTCTGCAAGAGATCTGGTGATGTGGCCTGTCCTCAAGTCTCCCAGCAGTGGGTAGCCACACCAGTCATGAGGGTAGCAGGGGAGTGATGCAGACTCTGTGAGATTCCTTGGTTATTGATAGCCTTAGTGTGTTGGTTTTCTTGAACACTGGTTATAGTAGCACTGAACTGGTCACTTGGACAGAATCAGTACCTCCTGGTTAGTCAGAGGGGTACAGGCAGTGGTGATAGCTGAGATTCCTCAGCCATTTTCTCCTTCCTAGGTGCAGTGTTATTCTACCGGGAGATGCTATAATGGACTGTGTTGGTTGGCCTCCAGCCCGGAGGTGGTGCTTGCAAAAAAGCACCAGCTATGGTAGTAGCAGTGGGATTTTTGCTTGCTTTAGATTGCCCTCTGGTTTCTCAGGCAATAGTTGGGGCCATAGAGCTTCCAAGAGTTTCTGTTTTTTGTATTAAGCTACCAGGGCAGGTGGCAGAACAAAGCCAGGTGGGGGCTGGGTCAGGCAGGTTTGCACTCTGAGTCTTCCAATTCAGAGAAAGCAGCAGCCCCTGTGGGTGCTGGGGTACAGGAACAGTTCTCAGGCCACTGGGTTGATGTTCCAGAGGGGACTGTTGCAGAATGGCTGTAATTTCAGAGTCAAAAAACAACAGATGCTGTAGGCTGTGGAGAAAAGAGAATGCTTATATCTTCTTTCCCCTTTGGTTAGTTGGTATGTAAATTAATTCAGCCCCACTGTGGAGAGCAGTTTGGAGATTTCTCAGAGAACTTAAAACAGAGCCACCGTTTGACCCAGCAATTCCACTACTGGGTATATCCCAAAAGGAAAATAAATCACTCTACAAAAAGGACACCTGCACTCATGTTCATTGCTTTGCTATGCACAATAGCAAAGATATGGAATCAACCTAGGTGCCCATAAATGGTTGATTAGATAAAGAAAATATGACATGTATATACCATAGAATACTACATAGCCATAAAAAGAATGAAATCCTATCTTTTGCAGGAACATGGATGCAGCTGGAGGTCATTATCCTAAGCAAATTAATGCAGGAACAGAAAACCAAATACCACATGTTCTCACTTATAAGTGGGAGCTAAACATTGAACACACACTGACATAAACACGGGAACAACAGACACTGCAGACTACTAGAAGGAAGAGAGAGGGAAGTGGGCATGGGTTGAGAAACTATCTATTGGATACTACGCTCACTACCTGGGTGATGGGATCTATACCCCAAACCTTAGCATCACACAATATGCCCATGTAACAAACCTGAACATGTACCCCCTGTATCTAAAATAAAATTTGAAAAAAATTTAAAACTATACAAAAATGTTTAAATTGTGAGGCAAAACCAGCCATAGATAAAGAAAAAGTAATGAACAGAAAATGGAAAACATTAATAAACATATATCAGATAAAGGGTGAATTTCATAGCATATTGAAAAAATTTCTTCACTGTGATAAAGAAGGGCATATCATCTAATAAAGAGTGTAAGATATGAGCTCCATCAGGTATTTAGAGAAATTATAATACAAACAGTTAATGCATGTATGAAAACAATTATAGCTTCATTCATAGTTCAAGGACTGCAAGTTAAATAAAGTATAATTTGTCTTTTCACTTATGAGGCTGATTACCCAGTAATGATTCTGGGCAAGTTCCTTCTATCTCCAGCCTCAGTTCTAGATATTGTAAGATGAGAAAATGGGACTATGTAGTCTCTTGAAGTCCTTGCTGTGGCAAGGACTAGCAGATTAAGCAAAGCCCTCTGCCTGGTGAAGAGAGAATTTGCAAGAGCACAACACAAAGCACATGAGGTTGGGATCACTGTGCATGGAGACACCAAAGGAGTACAGAAAACCTCATGATAACCAATGATTTTCTTCACAGAATTGGAAAAAACTACTTTAAAGTTCATATGGAACCAAAAAAGAGCCCGCATCACCAAGTCAATCCTAAGCCAAAAGAACAAAGCTGGAGGCATCACGCTACCTGACTTCAAACTATACTACAAGGCTGCAGTAACCAAAACAGCATGGTACTGGTACCAAAACAGAGATATAGATCAATGGAACAGAACAGAGCCCTCAGAAATAACGCCACATATCTACAACTATCTGATCTTTGACAAACCTGAGAAAAACAAGCAATGGGGAAAGGATTCCCTATTTAATAAATGGTGCTGGGAAAACTGGCTAGCCATATGTAGAAAGCTGAAACTGGATCTTTTCCTTACACCTTATACAAAAATTAATTCAAGATGGATTAAAGACTTAAACGTTAGACATAAAACCATAAAAACCCTAGAAGAAAACCTAGGCATTACCATTCAGGACATAGGCATGGGCAAGGACTTCATGTCTAAAACACCAAAAGCAATGGCAACAAAAGCCAAAATTGACAAATGGGATCCAATTAAACTAAAGAGCTTCTGCACAGCAAAAGAAACTACCATCAGAGTGAACAGGCAGCCTACAAAATGGGAGAAAATTTTCGCAACCTACTCATCTGACAAAGGGCTAATATCCAGAATCTACAATGAACTCAAACAAATTTACAAGAAAAAAAAAAACAACCCCATCAAAAAGTGGGTGAAGGACATGAACAGACACTTCTCAAAAGAAGACATTTATGCAGCCAAAAAACACATGAAAAAATGCTCACCATCACTGGCCATCAGAGAAATGCAAATCAAAACCACAATGAGATACCATCTCACACCGGTTAGAATGGCAATCATTAAAAAGTCAGGAAACAACAGGTTCTGGAGAGGATGTGGAGAAACAGGAACACTTTTACACTGTTGGTGGGACTGTAAACTAGTTCAACCATTGTGGAAGTCAGTGTGGCGATTCCTCAGGGATCTAGAACTAGAAATACCATTTGACCCAGCCATCCCATTACTGGATATATACCCAAAGGACTATAAATCATGCTGCTATAAAAACACATGCACACGTATGTTTATTGTGGCACTATTCACAGTAGCAAAGACTTGGAACCAACCCAAATGTCCAACAGTGATAGACTGGATTAAGAAAATGTGGCACATATACACCATGGAATGCTATGCAGCCATAAAAAATGATGAGTTCATGTCCTTTGTAGGGACATGGATGAAATTGGAAATCATCATTCTCAGTAAACTATCACAAGAACAAAAAACCAAACACCGCATATTCTCACTCAGAGGTGGGAATTGAGCAATGAGAACACATGGACACAGGAAGGGGAACATGACACTCTGGGGACTGTTGTGGGGTGGGGGGAGTGGGGAGGGATAGCATTAGGAGATATACCTAATGCTAAATGACGAGTTAATGGGTGCAGCACACCAGAATGGCACATGTATACATATGTAACTAACCTGCACATTGTGCACATGTACCCGAAAACTTAAAGTATAATAATAATAAAATAAAAAAATTAAAAAAAGAAAACCTCATGATAATGGTTGATTTGATATTCTGTAATGAGTGTTTATTCATCTTCATTACGTTTTATAATGGTTTCGCAAATGGAAGTTTCTTTAATCTTCATGGTCCTCTCATATCTATGGTTTATTTGTTTGCTGGTTGGTTTGTCAAACAAATAGTTTGTATTTGATTACAAATTATCTCTCAATCCTGTGGGGTTTATTCATTTATTTATTCATCCGAGTATGTGAAATTTTCACATGGCTCCCCAGTCAGATCTGTGCATAAAGGTACATTCAGAGAAGAATCAGATATCCATCTCCATTCTCTCTTTCCTTTCTACCAATTCCTGACCACATAGGTGACCACTCTCATTGGTCTCTGGGTTTTTCCTTTCTTTTTTCTTTTTTCCTGCAATGAGTAGGTAAATGGATATTTTCTTATTTTGTATTCATTGTTATAAGACACTTTAAATTTATCATTCCACAATGTATTTATAATTAACATACATCAGTTCATGGACATCTTCCGTGTACCTTTGAATAGCTACACAGTACTTCATTTTATAGTTGTACTATCATTTATACAACCACTCTTTTCTGTATGGGTATTTTGGTTGTTCCCAACATTTTGCGGTCATAAATAATGCTGAAATCAATATGTTTACTGTAATTCCACACTTTGACTTATATTGTTCTGTTGGTCTGGAATTTCTATTATAACCCTACCCCTCTCACCCAGCGTCAGGCCAAACTGATGGAACAATGGTTTTATGAGCAAGATGCTTGCATCTTCCTGTCTTAGTCTACATCCTATGGAAAGAAAAATGACTTGAAATCAGGACTGATTTTTTTCATTTTCAGCTTTACTCCTCAATCCTAAGCAATATTCCCCTTTGTTAGATGAGGGCAGTTTTCTATATGTCAGCAGGTATTTCGACTCCAAATTCAATGGAAGATTATGACTCAGGACATTTATTACAATCTGGAAAGAATTCAGGGCCTGGCTTGGCCTGACTCCTGGACACTCTGTGATCCTAGGGACAGACACAAATGGCTGGCTAGAACTGAGTCTGCAAGGCCCTGGAGAGCGGCTCCAATGTACCTGAGGTCGTCTGTGACGTTCACTGCTCTATCCCTGGGGTGCATCCGGAGCCTGGAGAGATGCTATCTGGGCTCCTTGGTTCAGTAAAGCTGTGTTGCCAGAGGACTCCAGGTATTTGTTGGAGGGTGGTATCAGTTGAGTTGTGCCTAAAATAATACTTTCTGGCTTCTCTACTCACAAATCTCATAGAATACTGCATCTGCTTTCTCTTGGTAATTTAAAACAGTTTTTGTGGTCCCAGAACCCTTCATCTTTCTTTCCCTTCTTCATCTGTCCTCAACAAAGAATCCATAGTTGCCTGAATGAGGCATAAGTGTCTGTATAATCAAGGAATATCATAGTCATGAATGCACAGAGGGCCCACTAACCTCAAAGCCCTTCTTATTTTTTTTGTTTATTATTTTATTTTTTTTTCTAGCAGGTATTCTGAGCATCAGAAGCAGACAGTGATTGTCCAAGATCCTACAGAAAGTTGGTAGCACAGATGGGGCTACATAGAATATAATCTGCGAGAAGAAAATACAAAGTGTTCCTTGCTCCAGGACTCAAGATGTAATGAGTGTGGGTGTTGTAGACATTTCTTGGCTTCTAAGCATAAGAATGTCATTCCTATTTTGGGGGAATTAACCACATAAGCCCTGAAATCCAGAGGCTCTGCCACTTTTTATAACAGAATAGGAAAGTCTGGACACTTGTTTTCCCTGCCTCCACTGAGAGACAACCTTATGTGAGTACATGCCGTGTTCAGATCATCAGATGCACAAACTCTGGGCTGCACTTGGGAGCTAGTGATAGTAGGAGGTGAAGATTCATTTCTGGGGCAGTTACAGCAATGGCAGCTGTATTTGACTTCTCAGAAGAGAAATGGAAATGATGGCCCATGCATTGAAGAGCATCTGGCTTTGGCATATTGGCTGAGAGATGTGTAACCTCCATCTACTCTGAGGTAGCACCAATGAGCTCCACAAAGGCCAATATCTGACTAATTTTGACTGTGATTCTGCATTCAATGACTTCTTTGTTTTTGCCTTTTCTTTTAACTTGAATTTCTAGGTTTCCTAGTGGTTTTGTGAACCAGTCAGATACTTGTATTTTCACAGAGCCAAATAGACTTCTTTGAAATTAAGAAGAAAATAATTGGGCAAGTCTTGCTAGGGAATGGTGTGAAGAGTTCCTTGGATTACTCCAAACCAACAACCACAGCTGGTGAAAGTTATTTTTATTTTATTTCTTTTAGATTTTATTTTTATTGTACATATTTAAGGTATGCAACATGATGTTTTGATATACATATACATAGTTAAATGATTACTGCAGTCAAGCCAACTGCCATATCCATTGTGTGATATAGTTATCTTCCTGTTATTGTGAGAGAAGCACATAAATACTGTCTTAGCCAGTTTCCAGTAGATGATACTAAGAGTTGAGTGACCTGGTGGCTTCTCCTCTGGAATAGCAGTGTAAGGAGATCCATGGAAATACCCTCAAACCAAACAATCATACTTGATAAAAGTTATTTTTTAAAACAGCCACTTGAAGTCTTTGGGAATTGTCTTAAGTGCATACATTTATTTTTAAAACTCTACTAAACCTTGAAAGAACACAGAGTGTCTACAGCATTTGAGTCATAACCCACTCTATACTTTCTATATCCTAGCTCAATATGAGGGAAGCTTCACTCAGGGCACATCTAGCCAAGTAATGGGAGAGTCTCTTTCCTCTCACTTCCCTTTAAAGGGTTATGATATCTCACCAGAGGCAAAAGGTTGCCAGCATCTCTCAAACCCATTCCAAGGTTGTATTGCAGAGATTCCAGGTGAGTGTGATGAAGAGGTACAGAGCTCCATTCTTCCACCCAACACTACTTGTAGTGGAGAGGTTCTATCCCAGGCATTGTAGGTCAAGAATGCTGAGACCCCCATAGCCCTCGGCACAGCTCATTTGCCAGGCAGAATTTTCATGCCAGTGAATGCCTGCCAACAACATCAGAGGATGTTCTGGCTCATGGTCAGAGCCCAGTTGGTAAAGCAGGGCTGTCACTCTGAGAAAAGTGAACCACTCTTTCCAAAACAGCTCCTTAGAAGGAACTCAGTGATTTTCCAAAAGTGAGAGGCAGGCTATAAGAATAGAGAGCTCCAAAGTCCTCCCTAAGGAACTGACAGTATTAGGAACAGAGTATAAGGAATATCCAGCCTAACGGCGCTCTTAAAAACTATGGAGACCGGGCGTGGTGGCTCACGCCTGGAATCCCAGCACTTTGGGAGGCCAAGGCAGGCGGATCACGAGGTCAAGAGATCAAAACCATCCTGGCTAACATGGTGAAACCCTGTCTCTATTAAAAATACAAAAATTAGCTGGGCATGGTGGCATGCAACTGTAGTCCCAGCTACTCAGGAGGCTGACGCAGAAGAATCACTTGAACCCAGGAGGCAGAGGTTGCAGTGAGCCAAGATTGCGCCACTGCACTCCAGCCTGGCGACAGAGCGAGATCCTGTCTCAAAAAAAAAAAAAAAAAAATGGAGATTTTAGTGGGTTTTAGTGATAAACAATGAAGAGTAAGTTGGAAGCCCATGAGATAAAAATCCAATGATTAATGAAATTGAACATACCAACTGATAAAGTAAGCATTTGAGGTTTTCCAGGAAAATATTGATGATAAATTGTCATGGGAGAGTTACCCATGACACATTTTAATTCCACCAAAATTATCACAAAAATATGTCAACATAATTAGAACATACATTAATGGTGAGAAAATGCACACATCTCAATGGAATAAAAGATAAACTCAATGCCTTTGAGAATTTTACAAATGATAAGGGCAGAATTCCACATCACTTAAGAAATGTTAGTAATTCAGCGAATGATGTTTAGACTGATTACCGGCAATTCAAGGAGTAAATACTGGATTTCCACTCCACCCATTATTTCAAAGTACGTTTTAGGTGGTCAAGGATTTAAACATAAAGATCGAACTATAAAAGTATTCAAAGTAAACATGAGACAAGTTTTGTAGAATATTTACACGTGAATGATTTTCTGAAGTAAATTAATATCATTAACTACAAGCAAATAAAAAGTTTTACAGGGAAAATCATGCATACAGTAAGAAAACAGAAATTTTTAAAATGTATAAACACATATGGTGGGAATAGAGATATTCTATAATATATTGAAAGAATTTTTAAAACACAATAAGGAAAATAGATCTTCTCATAGAAAAATAAACATAGACCATGAACATGTGGTTTATTAAAAAGTAATGCAAGTAGCTACTACATATTTGAAAATAAATAAAACTACCCCCATAATTAAAAAAAACCACACCAAGTTAAAACAAACACATGAGTCTTTTGTTGTCATGCCTATGAGATGGTCTTCCAAATTTGGGGCAAATTTCATTTGCCAGCGGTCTGTGTCTCAATTATTGTAAAAGGAGTAGCTCGGTCTCTTAGGACTCTTCCTGCTGTGAGAAAGATTCCAAGAATCTTACTAAAGTTTCTTCCAAGTGAGCTGTGAATGTGCAGTAGAATAGCAGAAAGCTCGTGCAGTGGGCACACCGCAAGTGAGAACACCAAGGTGATGCGGAAGACCTGGATGGTGGCAGAATTAGCATATTGTGGAGGGTTACTTTATAGTTGAGTTGCTGACTTCTTTGGGGTCTCCTCAAATCTATATTTTTCTTTGATTCCACATTTTGGCTTGGATTATTCTATTTTCCTGGAATTCCTATTGTCACTGTGCTTTTTGGCAAATTAACCCCTCAACTAGTCTTTTTTGAAAGGCTAATGAATCCTCCTGCTTTTTCAACATTCTACCAAAGGGAATGACATCATATTAGAACAGATAGTTCCCAGCCCCAGCTCTGCCCCTGATTTCTAGATTAAACTTTGATGGATCCCTGGATTCCGGTTTTCCCATCCACAAGATGGGGGGTTTTGTCTGGATATTTCAAAGGGAGTTTCCAACTTCAAATTCAAGAAAAGTTGGAATCTGTTACAAGCTGAGAAGCACCTGGTACTTGTGCATGACGCTTATCACTCTGGACTCCAAAAGACAGACACACATGGCTAGCTAGAACAGAGTGTCCCCATCCCAGGAGGTACTGGACAAGGAAGGCCTAAGAAGGTTGTTCAAAAATTATCATTAGTGATCCCCGCTTTCAACCCCCATGGAGCACACACAGCCTGCAAATATGTTATCAGTGTTTCCAGTCTCAGCAAAAACTGTTTTGTTAGAGAACATTGTGCCTCTAGGAGGAACATGGTAGCAGTGGAGCTATCCCAGAATAACCATATCTTTTCTGACTGCAATGCAAATTCTGAGCATTGATTTACCATTTTAGAGTCTCTGTGTAATTTCAGTAATATCATGCAGCCCCTGAACTTCTCATCTTTCTCATAATTCTTGATCTCCCCTCATGATTACAGAATTGTAAATGCCTTTTCAAGGAAGTAAGTGGATTAGAGAATCCAGGCAAGAGGCGGTGAAGTCCCTACTATTGCCAATCTCCATTGCCTTTTTACAGTTGATTAAAACTGTAGGTCATAAGCTGAGGCTAGAACACAGAGTGAAGGAAAGGAGGGGCATAGTAGGTGCTCCAGTGCTCACAATGGGATGAGAATGGTTGTGTGGGCAACTTTCCTGTCTTAGCCTCTAAGCCTACAAACACCATTCCCAGCAGAAGCTGCAAAGTCCACATGCCTGTTTCTCTGACTTCTTGGCAGCCTCCACATGTGCATATGCACCGGTTCACACAGTCAGAGGTATACACTGCAATGGACTGAGAATTGGTGATAGAAAAAAGCAGACATGGAGGTGGTAGGAAGTGAGAGTTTACTCCGGCAGCAGTGGCATAAATGGCTACAGCATCTATTTCCAGTGAGGAGAGTGGAAGTGGTGTCCAATTTGGCAATGTTGGTGGCCAGACATGGTGTTGCCATGCCTGGAGGCAGCAGTGGTATGCTCTGTTGTGATTGGAGAGAAAAATACTGTGGGACCAGTATTGTTGAGGAATGAGCGTGCCCATAAAAACACTGAACAGTAGGCTGGGAGGATAAGGTATCATCTAGTGTGGAGAAGCTGAAGATACAGCCTGTGATTAAAATATAGGCAGAAAAATGGGTCAGGCCCATTAAAGGTGACCTTGTGAAATAAATTACTGCCATTGAAAAAACTGATAAAAAAAGATATCTGGCCTTCTGCCCAATAAGAAAAGGCACATTCTTAGGAATATTTCCATGGTGATTAGGGAGTGGCCCTTCTATTTCCAGAGGTGAACAATTGTGCTGTTCACTTTATACCTGCCAATGTGTAAGTTTCAAGGGGAGTTTGGAACCCTAGGAAGATCCACGGTATGGGAGATGTGTCCATGCTTTTGACTGTCCACTATGTGGAACTCCCTTGTTATGTTGTGGGATCTCCCTATTTAAGGCCATCTTTGAGACTTGCTGAGTGACAGAGCTGGGTTCCTACTGCAAAAACAGAACAAAACAGGGGGCACTTTCCTTCACCCCTGAGGCCTAGGGCTGCACAAACATGCTCAGCAAATGTAATGTTCCCATATGTCACCTTGAATCTCCATTGAGTGACTCAAAGAAGCAAGGATGAAGGGGCATTCTTTCCCAGAACAAAGTAGTATTGTTGTCCACAGCAATACCCAATTCCAGAGTCATGGGTGGCAGTGATGAGTGTCCAGGACTGCAGCAGCTGTGTACACATCACACAATTGTTGAGAAGTGGTTCTGGCTGTTGTCATGCTACCTAGACACTCATATCTTACTATGGTCCTGATCCTGAATCTTCAGGCTTCTCAGAAATCTGTGAGCTGTGTTTTGCAGGTTGGGTTATCCAACAAGCTCAGGGTTCTCAGGGGCTGAGACAGAGTTAAGAATGCAAGTTGCCTTGTGAGGTCACACCTGTGAAAGTAAAGGTGAGGAAGCAGTATTAGGCAAAGGATGCCATTGCCAAACTGTCCTGACAACATCTCTGTCAGCCCAACAGGAAGCTCTGGAGCAAGAGCAAGAGCAAGAATTTTTTTATAAGAGAAGTTCAACATTGGGCATGAAGGGTAGAATCTCATACTACAGCCTTACTTTGCCTTTGGCTGGAGGGCCCTGGTTCTGTGTGATCTCAGCTCAAAAACTGAGGTTGTGCCTGAGGTCGAGCAGTGGCTGGCAGCAATTAACTAACCACACTCCATGCAGCTGGGCAACAAGGTGCTCCTTGAAGGGGCATCCAAGCAGTACCTCTGTCAGCCACAGTGCACCCCTGGCACTGCTGGGATCCGGGCTCCACACACTTTGGGAAGCTTCTCCCAGGCTCTGATGGGCTCTCCCTCTGAGATAAACCATAAGAAGGTGGAAGGGAAGGGGGTACACAACAGCTGTGGCCTCTGCAGTTGTTGTGTGGGTGGCAGCT
Source organism: Homo sapiens (assembly GCF_000001405.40). NCBI lineage: Eukaryota > Metazoa > Chordata > Mammalia > Primates > Hominidae > Homo > Homo sapiens. The sequence goes on along the minus strand of NC_000020.11, from coordinate 45,187,718 downwards.
GGTTCTCATCATCACCCTCCTGTATTCTCATTTTAAAGTCTCCCACCTTCAGCTACGATCACTGCTGATGTCAGTGGCTTACCTGGTGGTAGGACTCACATTCTCGTTCCTGGGTGTAACTATGCCCTACTCAGGACAGGGTATCCTGCTAAAAATTTAGAATAAATCTCTTCTTTTGACTAAGCAGACATGCTACTTAGAGAGTCTGCCCTTTAATTATTATGATGTTTGTCTGGAGCCCTGCTTAGTAAAGCTAAAACATTATTCACCATGATCCTTGAAATCCACAGCCCCTGCTGTATGTTAGGGAAGACACAGAATAGGAGCCCTTACCCAATGCCCAGACAGATGACAACCAGTGGCCTTGTCCCTTGCTCAGCCTCCTCATCCTCAGGACCTTGGGGGTCAGCACAGCAGCCAGGAGGTGAGAAAGGAACCTGGTCTACAAAGGAGTCTCAGGGCTTTCTTTTTTCCCTCTTTTGGTGGTGATTCCCTCCATTATACTTGATTTTATTTAGCTGTTCTTCACTCCTTTTCATCTTGACTATAGCAGCAAATGGTTCACCTATTTTGTAATTTTTTCAAAAACAACATTTAAATCTATTAATTAGAGCTACTGTTTGTCTCTTCTTGACCTCAAAAATTTGCTTTTATCTTTATTATTGCTTTTTTTTGGCCTTATTCTCTCTTTTTCTTCTTTTGTTGAAAATTTGATTTATTTACACTTCTTATTTCATTTTTGTTGATATAAGTATTTAAGGCCTGGGTGTGTCCTCTGTATCCTTGTTTACTTTTTTGTCCACTTGGTTTGTCTTATACCAATACAGTGTGTTCAATTCTCCTACTGTTACTGTGTTTTTATCTATATCTCCTTGGTGTATCTCATATTTTCTTCTTTATAAAGTGTTTTCTGTGCTATATAGTGCTTACATACTTATAACTAATATCTTTACTGAGAATTGTGGCTTTTAATGTTCAAAAGCGTCCTTCTTACTGTTTCAGCAACAAAACAAGTTATAACGAATGTATGTAATAAATATCTATGAATCCACGCTGATATAAATAAACAATTGAGTAAGTAAATAAATGAGGGATAATAAACAATTATCTGACATCAATAATTATAATTATCATTTTTATAGAATAATTCCAAACAATTTATTTAGATACTTCCCCTTTAAGGAATATCTTACATATGGTTGTGCAGTGACTTCCTTTCAAAGAGTATAGTATGCAAGGATAGGGGGAAAAGTTGACTTTTCAGTGTAGAAACTTGACGAACACTGCCTCAGACTGGTCATCTAGGTCAACATCATCAACAGTAAATCATGTTGAAGTCAGTACCCTGGATATTACATGATAAGAAGGGCACTTTACCTCTGATGTTTTCCTCCAAAAAACCACAACCCCAGTATGAGAAAAACATCAGACAAATCTCAGTTGAGGGACATTCTATAAAATACTTGAGCAGTACTCCTCAAAACTGTCAAGGTCTTCAAAAACAAGGAAAATGTGTGCAACTGTCACAACCAAGAGGAGCCTAAGAAGACATGACCACTAATTATAATCCACATTGTCCTGGATGGGCTCCTGAAACAAAAAGAACCTTGGTAACAGCAAAGGCAATATGAACAAAGTCTGGACTTTAGTTAATAATGTATCAATACTGGTTCATTCCTTGTGACAAATGCACCCTAGTAAAGTGTTAACAGCAGCAAGGACTGCACACCAGCACACAGAAAGTCTAGCAAATGCTCTGAGCCTCCAGGACTCTTTCTCTGTATTTTCATATGTGGACATCCTCCTGGGAATGAGTTTATTTCAATCATAGGCTCTCCTATTCTTTACACACATATTTCTGGACCCCACTGTTTCCTTTGAAAAGGGTAGAGGCAGAAGTTCAAGAGAGCTCTCCATTGAAAATCAGATGTTCTTTCTGTATAATTTGAAGTTTTTACTGTTCTCTGACTTCAGATTTTGCTGAAGAAATGATGTTTCTGAGGTTTTCTCATTCTTCTGTGTAATGATATGGCTTTATAAGAATACCTTGGGAGATTTACATTCACAAGGACACCATAACTCTAGCTACCCTCAAAGTCTGGCGAATTTTTATTTTTCTGGTAAAATACCCAACTGGAGAATATTTTTGTAAGAATTTTTAAAAATTTTGACTTTATAGAAATTGAAAAACTTTGTAAGGTTAAAATATATAATCTAGCTAAAACAATGGTTAACAACCAACCAGAAAAAAATTTTTAAATGTATGAGAGCAAGAGTTGGGTTTTCTTTGTATAAGAATCACTCTTACAAATCACTTGAAATATTATGGACACCTAGTAGAAAAAAGAGCAAAGGGTATGAAAAGACAGTACACAGGGAAAAATAATGTTAACACATGAATCAATATGAAAAGTGTACCGCCTTGTTCATCATTAAACACAAGTTAAAAATTATCATGTTATCATTTCATTTCCTGTATCACAAATTTAGGCAAATTATTTCCCATCTCTAAACATGCTCAGTAGACACAATGCTCCCACCTGGAATTTTAGATCTCCCTGGAGTGACTCGAAGCAGCAACTATGCTCGGATACTCTTCTCCAGCATGAGGCAATGTTTTGGTCAGCAACGAACCGCATATGTGATGGTGCTCTCATAAAACTATAATGGAGCTGAAAAATTCCTATCACTTAGTAATGTCATAGCTGTGGTAATGTCACAGTACAAGGCACTACTCACATGTTTGAGGTGATGCTGGAGTAAACAAGTGTACTCCACTGCCAGTCATATAAACATATAGCATGCAATCATGCACAGTACATAATACTTCAGAATGATAGTAAACGACTATGTTACTATAATTACTATACTATACTTTTTATCATTATTATAGTGTCCATCCTCTACTTATTAAAAAATAACTCAACTGTAAAACAGTCCCAGGCAGTTTCTTCAGTCTGTATTCCAGAGGAAGTCATTGTTATAACCGGAGGTGACAACTGTATGTGTTATTGCTCCCGAAGACCTTCCAGTGTGGCAAGATGTAGAGGTGGAAGACAGTGATATTGATGATCCTGGCAAGATGTAGAGGTGGAAGACAGTGATAGTGATGATCCTGACCCTGTGCAGGCCTAGGCTATTATGTGTTTGTGTCTTAGTTTTTTTTGTATTTTTTTTTTTTTTTTGGAGGTGGAGTCTTGCTCTGTCACCCAGGCTAGAGTGCAGTGGCAGGATCTGGGCTCACTGCAAGTTCCACCTCCCAGGTTCATGCCATTCTCCTGCCTCAGCCTCCTGAGTAGCTGGGACTACAGGCGCCCACCATCACGCCCGGCAAATTTTTTGTATTTTTTAGTAGAGACGGGGTTTCACCGTGTTAGCCAGGATGGTCTCGACCTCCTGACCTCGTGATCCACCTGCCTCGCCCTCCCAAAGTGCTGGGATTACAGGCATAAGCCACCATGTCTGGCCAACAAAAAAGTTTTAAAAGGAAAAAATAATAATTTAAAAGGAAGAAAGCCTATAGAATAAGGATTTTTTTAAAATATTTTTGGGTAGCTGTACAATGTGTTTGTGTTTTAAGCTAAATTTTACTACTAAAGAGTGAAAAAATTAAAAATAAAAAAGTGTATAAAGATTTTATACTAAGTTAAGGTTAATTTATTATTGCAGAAAGAAAACTTTTAAATAAATTTTGTGTAGTCTAAGTGTATAATGTTTACGTCTACAGTAATGGACAGCAATGTCCTAGTTCTTGACATTCACTTACCATTCACTTAATGATTCACAAGACCAATCAACTTGCAGACCTTCAAGCTGCATTCATGGTAAGTCCTCTATACAGGTATGCTATTTTTAAATATTTTATACCATATTTTTACTGTACCTTTTCTACATTTAGATATGTTTAGATACACAAGTACTTACCATTGAGTTGCAATTGACTACACTGTTCAGTACAATAACATAGTGTACAGGTTTGTAGCCTAGGAACAATAGGCTATACCATATTGCCTAGCTGTGTAGTAAGCTATACATCTAGGTTCCTGTAAGTCCACCTTATGATGCTCTTGCAAGGTGCAAGATACAAGAACATCATAGAGTGGACCGCCAAGACTCCAGTTGTCCTAAAAGTCTGGTGAGGTTTTTGGTTTTTTCTTTGTTTTTTTTTTTTTTGTAAAATGCTGATTTGAGGATTTCCTGAGAATGATAAAAATTTGACTTTATAAAAATTGATAATCTTTGGAAGGGAAAATATGATATAAGCAAAGGAAAAGAATAAAATCATGCATTGCATAACTAAGCCACAAAATCACCTAACAACCCATTTCTGAGACCATATCACTTGTCACTAAGTGACCCATGACTGTAGTTAACAACTCACCAGAAAAATATTTGTTAATGTATAAAAGCAAATAGTGAATCATATTTAAATAATAAGCACTCCTACAAATAGATTGAAATAATCTGGACAATCCAATAAGAAAGGAAGCAAACGGTATTAAAAAGCAGTCACTGGGGAAAGGTTAACATCTGAATCAATATGAAACCTCTACCATCTCACTGAAAACTAAATACAAGTTCAGAATTCATCATGTTTCCTTTGCATTTTTTTTTTCTTTTTGAGATGGAGTCTCGCTCTGTCACCAGGCTGGAATACGGTGGCGCGACCTCAGCTCACTGCAACCTCCGCCTCCCTGGTTCAAGCAATTCTCCTGCCTCAACCTCCTGAGTAGTTGGGATTACAGGCGCCTGCAACCATGCCTGGCTAATTTTTGTATTTTTAGTAGAGACGGGGTTTCACCATGTTGGCCAGGATGGTCTCAAACTCCCGACCTCAAGTAATCCGTCCACCTTGGCCTCCCAAAGTGCTGGGATTACAGGCATGAGCCACCACACCTGGCCTTCCATGGCTTTTTTTTTTTTTTTGGTATCACAGTGGATTTGCTAAAAACTAGGCAAATTCTTTCCTATCTCTGGAATTCAGTTCTAACAAACGTAAAAATGAATGAGGTAGAAAGATTGTCTCTAAAACTCCTACAGCCCTTTCCACAATGAAAGAGGCTAAAAGATACTATAAAGCTATTTTATTGAAACGTGTGAGATAAGAATAAAAAATACAGAAAGTTAAGATAATTAAAATGAGAGAATAAGGGGGTGCTGAAAATTCCACTGAGAATAGCTGACTTGTCACAGAGTTGTAGAAAATTATCTCAGCCAGATTGCTTCCATCTGCAGTGTCTTCTCTTTGTTTTTGCTTTCACACATTACCTTATGCTGTTCCATCACTCTAGGCTGTCAGGCTCAATCCAATGGACCACCTTTCATGGCCCAGATCAAGTGGATCCATCAAAGTGACCTTATTAGGAAGTTAGCGCTACATCTTAGTTCTAGGCCCAGCAAGGCTACGGAGCACTCTGTGACTGAAAGACCTTCATTCTCCTCTCTGGGACTCAGTTTTCTCCTCCTTAATGTGAGAAGGTGGTTCGTGATAATGTCAAGGGGTACTTCCTGTTCTAAATTGGATGGAAGGCTGTGTAATCAGGGGACATGCTAAGAGCTGATAAACACTAGGTGCCTGTTTTTACCTCCTAGGGCTGACACCTGCTTACCCTTGAGATGGCTGACCCACATGACTGGTTGGAGGAGAGTCTCTCTGTCTCAGTTCTAGACAGGGCATGAGAAGTGGCTTGATTTTTCCTGAGGCTGACCAGTGGCTGCTCTATCGTTCCGTCTTGGGAATCACCATAAAGCCTCAGGGACAAGCAGAGGGCTGCTGGCCTCAGACAAGAAGCCAGAACCCTGCTGGGTTTTGGATTATTGGATCCAGATGGTGGAAACAAAGGGAGGAGAGCAGAGAATATATGTCTTCTCTTGTAATTGAAAACTTGATGTCTGCTAAGCTCATTAAGCCACTGTGACTCACTCAAATGGCATTTTAGAGGACTTAAATGTGCCAGGTGGACCCCAAATCCAGTCATTTTTCCCCTTCTTCTGACTTCCTCCCAAAAGTTGCCCACATAGTCAAATTTCTCCTTAGAAAGCTCTCAGTCAGGGGTGTCCAATCTTTTTTTTTTTTTTTTTCTTTGAGCTGGAGTCTTGCTCTGTCGCCCAGGCAGGAGTGCAGTGGTGCAATCTTGGCTCACTGCAAACTCCGCCTCCTGGGTTCACGCCATTCTCCTGCCTCAGCCTCCCAAGCAGCTGGGACTACAGGTGCCCGCCACCACGCCCGGCTAATTTTTTGTATTTTTAGTAGAGACGGGGTTTCACTGTGTTAGCCAGGATGGTCTCGATCTCCTGACCTCATGATCGGCCCGCCTCGGCCTCCCAAAGTGCTGGGATTACAGGCGTGAGCCACTGCGCCTGGCCTGGGGTGTCCAATCTTTTGGCCTCCCTGGCCCACATTGGAAGAATTATCTTTGGCCACACATAAAATACACTAACACTAACGATAGCTGATGAGCTAAAAAAAATCACAAAGAAACTCATTTATGAATTTGTGTTGGGCCATAATCAAAGCCATCCTGGGCCACATGCAGCCTGCAGGCCACAAGTTGGACAAGCTTGCTCTAGGTAGTTTGGAGGCTCTATTAGAGGGGCTCAAAAACTCCACGTGCTTAGGCCTTCTCTTTTCCAGATGGTGTTACTGAGGTTAGTGAGAACAGGGAACTTATCCAGGTCTGTTAGGAGTAAGACTTAGGTCTGGGAGGTGACATAGTACTACCTGTTCCTGAATTCCAGAAGGGAATCGGAGGACAGAGGGTACCTGGAAGGGACTTGAAGCTGGATAAGTTAACGTGGGTAGAAAGACTCCCTTCTCTGCACAGTTACACAGCCTCCTAGGTGGGCAGGACCAAGCTTAGATGTCGCAAAAAAAAAAAAAAAGATACTTGGTCCAAAGTCACATCTCCCAAATTGGGCCCTCATCATGCTGTGAATTCCTTATTTCTATTAATTAATAATTTCCTTTGAAATTCTAAACAATTGGAAAACAATGAAAGACTCCAAGTATTAGGAGACAAATACTGAGGCATCAATTGGAATTATAGAAATTACATTTGAAACAATTTGATCAAGTCAGCTATTTTCAGACAATTGTACAACGAACCCATGTCTGGGAATCAGAGAACCAGTTCTTTTCTGGGTTTGACTTACTGAGTGAAATTAGGAAATGCATTTCTCCCTTCAGGGGTCTGTGCAATCGTGATAAAGTAAGGAGGGAAATGACATCTCCCCACAGTCATTTTGTTGTCCTTTATGCCATTCAAGATTTGTTAATCAGGTGTCAATATCTCTAGGGAGGCCATGCAGGGACAGCAAAGTGAAACATGTTGGGGCCTTGTATCTCTCTTTGAGGCCTTGGGTCTCCAAGCCCTTGTCTGGTTCCAGCACTCCTTGGACAAGGCTGTCTTCCCTAGTAACAGCACCTCTCATTGCTTGGGAAGTTAGGAGAACTGGTACCCCATATCTGCTTTTGAAATCTGGTTTGAGTCTAGAGGACACATCCAATGCATGGATCACACCCGGAATTATTGCAGAGGGAAGCAATGAAATGGAAGCAAGAAAAATAGCTTCTTTCAAACTCACCCAAAACATTACTCACGCTTTCTTTTTTCTTGATCTTCTTCAAGTGCATTAATAATTTTTCTCCAACTTCTTTCAGAGAGTAGTTTCCAGGAGATTTTTTTGGGGTAGTTGAAGACAATAGAAGGCAGAAGAGGAAGAATAAGTAACTTCCACAATCTCCACCCCAAGAGGTATAAAATAACACCACCACCAAGAAATTTCTAAACAAAACCACATCCTCAACATAACTTGAAAACAAAGAATGCCAAAAATACAAAATACCTGTCAGTGAAAAGGGAGCAAACAACAAATCCCAGGGCTGGAACTCACACTCTCCTGCTATTTCCAGCCCCACTGTAAAACTTAAAGCTTTGCAAAATCGACCAAAAAAACTGCTGAGGAAGGAATGACATAACCAAGATGGTGAAATAGAAGGCACCTGCTCATGTCCCACCAGAATGACAAGAATTCTACACTCATCCACAGTCCAAAGTCTCTCTGTGGGAGCCTCTGGATCTGGATTCAGGGGGAAGTTTGTGAAACTCTGGTGGAGCCCAAGACCTTGGAGGGTCATATTGAGAGTGCAGACCAACACCCACGTGGCTGATCCACTGAGCTGGCTCCAGAGTTCAATCCCAGAAATGGCCCATTCAGGGGTTTGGTTACATTTGGCCTTGAGCCTGCAATCAAACCCATCTGCTGTGGGGTCCAGAATGAATCACATACACTAGGGCTTTGGCAGAAAGGCCCTTCTGCTCACTGACTGGGCAGTGAATCTGAAAGTTGCCTTGTGATTCAGCTCCAGCCCCCATCAGCTGAGGTCCCAGCTCAGAGCTGCTCACACAACAACCCAGAGGGAGACTCACACATATCTCATAGCCTAAGATCCTAAGCCTCCCTGACAGGCTTGCCAACCTCTGTTGCACAGCAGGTCGAGATGGGATCCAGTCTCAGCTCTGACACTTCCTGCTGTAATTGAACTATCCTTTCGGTGCTGAGACTTGCAGGGAGATATGTACTTGTCTTGGCCAACAAGATGGACTCTCCAGCCTCCATCCCACAGCAGATCCCAAGGTGGGGCCATTCCCAGCTTCAGCTCCTTCTGCTGGAATCAGGAAACTATTACGTCTCCGCAGGAACTTGCTGGAAGATGTGCACTCCTTCTAAGCCAATGAGATCGGGATCTCCAGCCACTGTGCCACAGCAGATCCTGAGGGGCCCAGTATCAGCTCCACCCTCTCCTACTGCAGTCAGAGGACTATTCCAAATGGCAGGGTCTTCTTGGGAGATGTGTCCCTGCCTGACTGAACATGAAAGGAATTACAGTCTCTGTTCCACAGCAAATCCTGGATGGAAGAAACCACTGGTCTCTGTGAGATCTTGAGTTGCTCAGCTACCTTGCTAGGCATGGACTGTCATCCTGGCCTGCTTCCTGAGCGAAAAGAAAGTGTCTTTTTGGAACCTTTCAATTTTTCTCTCTCAGTGGCTTAATCTTTGCCTGAATTCAGACCAGAGTTAGTTCTTTTGTTTTTGCAAATAGTGAACCTACCGTCTGAATCTTGTTTCTTAAAAAATTCAAGTTTTCTTCATTGTTTTGGAACTTGACATTGATCTTTACCTGAATTAGATATAATGAGGCCTGATTCTGGGTTTTCTTTTGTTTTCTATTGATTTCTCAACCTGACTATTCTTCTAATAAAAACAACATATTGATTATTGTTACTTTGCAAAACTTTTTTTTAAGTCTAGGAGGTTCCAGAGCCCTAGGGTTAATCTTCATTTGTAAACATCTACGCCTATTCACAAGAATTTATGCTTCCCCATAAACTTAAGTATGGTTTCAAGTTCCCTTAACCTCCATAACCACACCATATTAAAAATGGATTTTGGGTATAATACACCTTAGGGATAAATTAAATAAATATTAAATATTGAGTAAATAGTGACATCTTCACCACATAGTCTTCATGTATTGTGATATGTGCATATTCATGTATTGTGAGTATGTGTATATTCAAGCATTTTTATATGCCTCTGAAAAGTTACATAGATTTCTCTTCTAAAGCTCTGCCTCTCTCTTGTTTATTTATAGCAATGGTGTGATTTTGTTGATATTAATAATAGAAAATGCAGCATGTCTAACTGATTGTTGCTAGCATATAATAAAAATATCATTTACTATCACTTACTAACCTTGTGGCTTTTAATGGTTACTTAATCTCTCTTAGCTTCAATCTTTTTACAAAATTAGAAAATAAAATATGTATAATGGCCATCTGAAAGGGACTTATGAAAAATAAGTGACAATACATGTAATCTACTAGGTATAGGAAATAGAGTAAATATTAAAAAACAGAAACCATTATTTCCTCCAATGATGTATTTTGTATTTGTCAAGCCAGAAGTTTGGGTACTGCTGTCACCTGTACTCCAAGACACCCTAGTGTCAAAGCCCTACAGTTGTTCGGACTAGCCTCTGAACAATAGGGAAAAATCATGGCTCAGATGCTCGTGGATGGGGCAAAGTGGTGCAGGGATCCACATTGTCTCACCCCAAGCCTCTGCTCCCCATGTCATCTCAGAGCAAGAACCCAATACACAAAGAAGAGCTGTTTCATATCCCAGAGTGGCAGGATTAGACCTTCCTTTGCAGAATAATTATACCTTACCCCCTCAACTGAAATAGACCTCTGAGGCCTGGAAGGGGGACATACATTTGCCAGAGGTCACCCAATACGTGGGGAGGCAAAGCCAGTGCTGAGATCACCTGACTGTCAAGCCTGTGCTTATTCCCCTTCACCCAGGCTGCTCCCCTCCTGGGGGCTGTGGCCTTCTCTGAGAGTTTCCTTGTGCAATCGCAGTGGGACGAGTGGGTCAACAGGAGAGCCATGAGGTTGCTCATATTCCTGCCCCTTTCTCCACTACTCAAGTCTGCCCTGCCCCCAACATGTATGTCTCCAGAGAATGCTATTCACCCAAACCTCTGACACCATAGTATGAAGGACTTAGTGTATCTTGCCTCCTCATTCACATCTTAAAACAGAAATCTGGAAGAGAATATTGCTTAACCTAAAGGAATGCTACTTCATGGAGGAATCTCAGGCATAAACCAGTGAAATTCTAAAGAGCAGGAGTTTCGCAGCATCTGTAACATCATCCTTTCTATGTGGTGTTGAAAAGATATAGATTCCTGGGAAACATTAATGAGAAGGAAGTGGGGAGCTGTAGTTGCAGCCATAAGGGTTGGCTGGTCACACTGGTAAGGCCGACAGTAGCCAGGTCAGGACTGATGGTGGATTGGAAAAAAAAGACCTGCTTATGGTTTATGTAATGTTTATTTATTTTTTGTGTTTTGTGTTTTTCCTGGTCCTTGGCCAAAGGCAAGATTTCCATATTTCCATTTCCTGGTGAAAAGGAGCTGGCAGCACTGGGGCTGATTATTGGATTTGTAATATGAAGCCCTAGCAATGTGCCTCCTGTTTCCTCCCCCCGCCCTGCTCTCTTTCACCATGGGACCGTTTCCCCTCTTCACTGGAGAGAAGAAGTCCCAATTCTACATCCATTTCCCCAAAGCATCCAGGAGCCCAGAAGTCATAGGAACCAGAAACAAGTGGAGCAGAAGGAACTCTTTATTGGAAAGTGGATGAGAGAGGCAGCTCCAGCCGTGGGCATCCTGAATGGGAGGAAGAATGGACAGTGTGGGAAGGGGAAGGGCAGCAGGGACTTAGGACCAGATGGGGCCTGTAGCTCTGGGGACGGCACAGGTGCAGCAAGGACCGGCTCCCTCTGTGGAAGAGAAGAGTATCAGAGGTGAGAGTCAGCACATCAAAGCACTCAGAGGCAGTGAGGAAGACAGATCATCCTTCTAGGCACTCTGGTTATAGCCTCTCAGACCCCTCAGTCTCCCAGTCTTTCTGTCACCTCCCACAACCTCCCTCCCACCAACCTGGGATGCTTCCCCACCGCTCAGCCTTCTTTTGTGTCTTCAGGGGTCTCCTCGTTCTCCAGCTAGTGCTCACCTCACTGGGGAACGAAACAGGCCATCCCGCAAGAGCCTTCACAGCACTTCTTGATTCCTGGGCAGTCAGTATCTTTCAAGCAGCGGTTAGGGGGATTCAACATGGCGCACCGGATCAAGATAATGGGGCAGGAGCCAGGCTTAGTGGAGACTGGACCTTTGACTGGCTCTTGCGCTTTGACTTTATCTTGACCTTTAACTGAAACTTGTCCTTTAACGGGATCTTGTCCATTGAATGGAACACGGCCTTTGACAGTGTCTTGACCTTTAACAGGAACTGTTAAAAGAAGAAACGAGCCCACATTTATACCCAGTAAGCCTCTGCTTCAGCTGCCATGTCTTTCCTCTGGGTCTGGGTCCATCCACTGCTTACTGCAGCATCCTCAAACCATGGCCTGAGTAGGGAAGGTACACCTCTGGGAGCTACACTCTTGGAAGGCTCTTCCTTTTTTGGGGTGGTCTACTGGACCAGAGTTCCCTTGAGTATTTGTTTCTTCCCCCTTCCTCCACTCCAAGTCTCTCAGGAGCAGTGGTCAGACTGGGGTGACACCCAGCAGTGAAGAGGACACATTGTCATTTGTTAGGAAGTGCATTGGAGTAGGAAAGAACCCTGAGCCACATACTAGGAGACTTGAGCCCCATCCTGGCTCTGGGAATTACCTTGGCAATTGCTCACTCATTTCTACATTTTTGGTTCCCTCCTTATAAAATGGGGGTCCTCAAACAACATGATTCCTGAAGGCTTGTTGTTTCTTAACCTCCTTTTAGAGTACTGATTACTCCAGTGCTTTTATGGGGCAGAGAAACGGGGGACTGTGTCCACACCCAAGGTTTAAAATCCTGGAGTTCATTATTTTATTGCACATTCTGCACAGGTATTGACATCTGAGGCCAAGGCCACATACCAACATTACTTCCACAAACAGTCCTGATATCTCAGTCACTGAGGTGGAAAGCACGTGGAGTCCACCAGCCAAAGTCCTATTTTTTCTGAATATGATGGCAAAGAACAGAAAGCTGAAATCTGGGCTCCAGTGCTGCCTACTGCTTCAGAAGTGCTCCCTGTCCTGGCCCAGGGTGTCCCAGAGGGTCTCCCCTTAGTCCAACCCAGCCCAGCAGGTCACCTGTTCACTCACCTCCCGTGACAGCTGCCTCTAGAACCAGCGTCCCAGCGATGAGGAACACCACCACGATCAAGAAGCTGCTGGCCCTCATGGTGTCAGGAAGGTGTTTGGCTAAGAGCTAAGGCCATACCAATCTTTATGCAGTCCAGCTTGGCCTGGCTCCAGGGGCGGGTCTGTGGTATTTACAAGGGATAATTCCTTAGCTGTATTGGGAAATATCCACCCCATTCTGGGAGGGACCTGGGGGCTTTCCCTCAGGATTATTCACAGGAAGAACTAATGGACATTACATCACATCATCTCTGATTGTCCCAAGAGTTTTCCTACTTTCTCACAGAGTAGAAGTGCTGGCTCACTTATTAGGTAACATTACAATGAAATTCTTCATGTTTTGAAATACAGTGAGACCCAAGAAGAGAAAGGAATCACCGAAGGTTATTCAGCAAGTCACTGGTAGATCCAGTCTTGATTACAAAACCAAGGTGTTTCTCCATTATGCTCTGGTGCTACAAACCCCACCCAGATCTACTTTATCATTTTACCACTCCCAGCATCAAACTGGGCATTTCCTTCCTTCTTCCCTGGTCCTGCAAAAAACTCTGTAAGACAAATTTGCCTTGAATACATAATGACTAATTATTGCACTTTGCTGTTTCAGAGACGGCCTTTCAGATGCATCAAGAAAGTAATTGGAAGGTGGAATTCTAGGTCTGAAGAGGGATGATGCCCTTGAAATCACAGTGGTAGGGAGAAAATAATCAGAAAGTAGTAGAAAACATGTATCATGTATACATTGGACATCTACAGTGTGTGTGTCCAGCATGCCTCCCCACTTCTTTGAACAGCACCCTGTTTCTTGTGAAGAATTGTTGTCTCTTTGAACCATCAACTTGTGAGTCTAATGGGGACTGCTAATCATGAAAGCCTGACCCCTGACCACAGGTAGGGGTGTGTGTGTGTGTGTGTGTGTGTGAGTGTGTGTGTGTGTGTTGTGTGTGAGACTTGGTCTGGTCTATTAACATATTTTATTTGAATGAGTAATGAAAGGGGAAAACGGGGGTTCCTTCTTCTGGAAAAGGTGATATATATGAACCAGGGAATTCCAGAAGTGGTTATCTAAGTCTGGGGGTGGAGATCAATTGTCTGAGAAAAACGACTCTAATACACTGAGACAAGGAGAGAAGTGATGGTGAGAGAAGATTCAGATGACACAGCCAGGTTTCCCTCCTTTACCTTGAGAGCAGTTCTTCACACACCCTTCTCATGGTTGGGTTATGAGGCAATAAATTAGCCCTCTGCTTCAGCTAGTCTGACTTACTATTCTGTCATTGTTACCAAAAGTTCTGAGTAATAGAAATGAATATCCTGAAGTTGGGTATTGTCAGGGACAGAATCTGAGTTAAGAAAGTCACTGAGTTGAGGTGGAGTTAAGGCAGGGAAGGTAACAAACTAATTATTGGACACTAATTCAGCTGGTGAAATCCCCACCCCTTGTCGATTTAGACTCTGACCACATGCCCACCAAGCCTGAAACTGAGGGAGACATAAACGAATGTCAGACTGTGGAAGCCTTTGGCTACCTTACACAAAAGCTCATTGTACAATAAGCCATACAAACAAATAAAAAGCTCACAGAAAATACCTATATTCTTTAAAGAATAGCATTAAAATGAGCTGCCAGGTAAAGGAGGAGAATATTTGCTATATCTATGCTCCATGCCTCTCCTCAGTTGCTTCATTCTCCTTCCTCCCCAGAGATAACTGCTTCCTAAGATTTTATGGTAATTAGCCCTTGCTTTCCTTTATAGTTATGCCACTTCTGTCTGTATTCTGAAATATATATTCAGTTTAGTATACTTTTTCAATTTGTATGTAAATGAAATCTAAGGTATAGTGTTCATATGTCCTGCTTATGTTGCTCAACATTATATTTTTGAGAGTCATCCATTTTGAAGTCTACACCTGTAGTTCATCATTTTCACTGCTGTACAGTATTCTATGAAAAATACCAAAAATGTTATATATTCATTCTACTGTCAATATACATTGGATATTTCTAGGTTTTAGCTATTATAGTGTTGCTATGAATATTCTTGTACATATCTCTTGCAGAACATAGGTATGCATTTATTTTGGATATATGGTTAGGAATGGAATTGCTGGATCACAGAGTACAGATCACAGAGTATAGATACATCCAGCTGTCATAAATACTGCAATCAATTTTCCAACATCATTGTACCAATTCACACTGCTATCAGCAATGTGTGAGCATTCCATTTGCTCCATAATCTCACCAATGCCTCATATGATTTGCCTTTTCATTAGCCATTCAGGTGGACATCTTGTGGGATTTCCTGTGATTTGAATTTACACTTTCCTAATAACTGGTGAAGCTGACCCATTTTTAATACTCCTTTTTTTTTTTTTTTTTTTTTTGAGATGGAATTTCGCTCTTGTCACCCAGGCTGGAGTTCAATGGCACAATCTCAGCTCACTGCAACCTCCACCTCCCAGGTTCAAGTGATTCTCTTGCCTCAGCCTCCCAAGTAGCTGGGATTACAGGCACATGCCACCATGCCCAGCTAATTTTTATATTTTGCAGTTTCACCATGTTGGTCAGGCTTGTCTCGAACCGCTGACCTCAGATGATGCACCTGCCTTGGCCTCCCAAAGTGCTAGGATTACAGACATGAGCCACTGCACCCGGCCCATTTTTAATATTTCTATTATCCATTTGGCTATCCTCTTTTGTGAAGTGCCAATTCAAGTATCTTACCTTTTATTTACTTATTTATTTAATTTCAACTTTTATTTTAGATTTGAATGGGTTGTTTATCTTTTCTTATTGATTTGTAGTAGAAAAGAAACTTTTATGCATTACTAATGAGAGTCTATATTGGTGAAACATTTAAAAACAGTTTGACATCAGCTAGTAAAATTGAATGTGTACACAATCTATAATTCAGCAATTGCACTCCTAAAGATTTAATTAAGGAAAATATTTCCACATGTTTACCAAGAAACATGCACAATAATGTTCATAAAAGTACTGTTTTTAACAATAACATACTGGAAACAGTCCATGTTACCAATACTAAAATACTGGATAAATATGTCATGACATATTAATGCATAAATATGTCATGACATATTAATGCAAGGAAGTATTATACAATTATGAAAATAACTGAATTACAGCCATGCACAATATGACCATAATTAAAATAATGTTGAATAAACAACACAAGTCCACAGTGACAATATTTAGAATTACCCACTTGTCATAAAACTCAAATGAAGGAGAACTGGGAAATATATTGCCTAGGCATATTTACATATGAAGCAAAGCTCAAAAAGGGATACATAAAAAATGAAAAAACTATAAAAATGACATACAAGATAGTGGCTAACTCTGGAAACGAGAGAAGAAAACATTCTGGATGGGTGAGAAGGACACGGGTTGATTTAAGTTGTTGGTTATTAGTAATGTTCTAGTTCTTTGATTGCTTGGAGAGAGAGAGAGAGAGAGAAAGCTGCAGAGCGAATCATTTATAGACTACCTTAGCTTTCAATAAACCCACATTGCTACCCTCGCAAGTTGTTTCCAATATTTTGCCATTACAAACTATACCACATGTGGCCTTTCTTAGCTTGCTTTCTTGTGAACCAGATTCCCAGAAGTATATTTGCTTATACAAAGGTGAAATGCATTTGAAATTTTGATAATATTGCCATATTTCCCTTGATAGGGGTTGTACCATATTGTAATCCCACCAGTAGTGGATAAACTTGCCTGCTGTTTCCATCAAGCCTCATGAACAGACTGTGTGTCTAATTTTGGGGTTTTATTTTTAACTTTTATTTTAGTTTCAGGGGTACATGTGCAGGTTTGTTGTATAGGTAAATTTCATGTCATGGGGGGGTTCGTGTGCAGAAGTATTTCATCACCAGGTAATCAGCATAGTACTCGATTCGTGTTTTGATCCTCACGCTCCTCCCATTCTCTACCCTCAAGTAGGCCCTAGTGTCCATTGTTCCCTTCTTTGTGTCCATATGTACTCAATGTTCAGTTTTCATTTATACGTGAGAAAATGTGGTATTTTCTTTTCTGTTCTTGTGAAAGTTTGCTTAGGATAATGGCCTCCAGCTCCATCCATGTTGCTGCAAAGGACATGATCTTGTTCTTTTTTATGACTCGTAGTATTCTATGGTGTTTACATACCACATTTTCTTTATCCAGTCTATCATTGATGAGCAATTAGGTTGATTCTATGTCTTTGATACTGTGAATAGTTCTGTGATTCACATACTACATGGATGTGTCTTTATGATAGAATGATTTATATTCCTTTGGGTATATAACCATTAATGGAATATCTTGGGTTGAATGGTAATTCTGTTTTAAGTTCTTTGAGAAATTGCCATACTGCTTTCCATGCTGGCTGAACTAATTTACATTCCTACCAGCAGTGTATAAATGTTCCCTTTTCTCTACAACCTTGACAGCATATGTTATGTTATAACGACTGGTGTGAGATGCTATCTCAATTACTGTTTGGATTTTCATTTCTCTAATGATCTGTGATGTTGAGCATTTTTTCATTTGTTTGTTGGCAACATGTATGTTTTCTTTTGAGAAGTTTCTGTTCATGTCCTTTGCCCACTTTCTAATGGGGTTGTCTGTTTTTTGCTTGTTAACTGGTTTAAGTTCCTTATAGATTCTGGATATTAGACCTTTGTTGGACACATAGCTCACAAATATTTTCTTCTATTCTGTAGGTTGTTGGTTTACTGTGCTGATAGTTTCTTTTGCTGTGCGGAAGCTTTTTAGTTTAACTAGGTCCTATTTGTCAAGTTTTGTTTTTGTTGCTATTGCTTTTGGCATCTTCATCATGAAATATTTACCAAGTTCTACGTCCAGAATCATATTTCCTAGGTTACCTTGCAGGGTTTTATAGTTTTATGTTTTACATTTAAGTCTTTAATACATCTTGAGTAGATTTTTGTATATGGTTTAAGGAAGGGGTACAATTTCAGTCTTCTGCATATGGCTAGCCAGTTATTCCAGAATCATTTATTTAATAGGAAGTCCCTTCCCCCATTGTTTCTTTTTTTGTTGATTTTGTTGAAGATTAGATAGTTGTAGGTTTGCAGCATTAATTATTTCTGGGCTCTGTAATGTTCCATTGTTCTAGGTATCTGTTTTTGTACCAGTACCATGCAGTTTTGGTTACTGCAGCCTTGAAGTATAGTTTGCAGTCAAGCAATGTGTCACCTCCCGCTTTGTTCTTTTTGCTTAGGATTGACTCAGCTATTCAGGCTCTTTTTTGGTTCCATATAAATTTTAAAATAGTTTTTTCTACTTTTGTGAAGAATGTCATTGGTAGTTTCATAGGAATAGAATTGAATCTGTAAATTGTTTTGGGTAGTATGGCCATTTTAACAATATTGATTCTTCCTAACCATGAGCATAGGAATGTTTTTCCATTTATTTGTGTCATCTCTTATTTCTTTGAGTAGTGGTTTGTAATTCTTGTTGTAAAGATGTTTCACTTCCTGGGTTAACTATATTCCTAGGAATTTTTTTCTTATTTGGCTATTGTTAATGAGATTGCATTTCTGATTTATCTCAGCTTAGATTTGTTGGTATATAGGAATGCTGCTGACTTTTGTGCATTAATTTTGTATCCTGAAACTTTTCTGAAGTGGTTTATCAGATCAAGAAGCTTTTAGACAGAAACTATGGGGTTTTCTAGGTATAGAATCATATTGCCTGCAAACAGGGATAGTTTAACTTCCTCTCTTCCTATTTGGAAACTTCTTATTTCTTTCTCTTTCCTGATTCCTCTAGCTAGGACTTCCAGTGCTATGTTGAATAGGAGAGGTGAGAGAGGGAATCCTTGTCTTGTTCTGTTATTCAAGGGAAATGCTTCCAGCTTTTGCCCATTTACTATTATCCTGGCTGTAGGATTTTCAGAAATGACTCATTACTTTCAAGTATGTTCCTTCAATGCCTAGTTTGTGGAGGGTTTTTAACATGAAGGAACACTGAACATTATCAAAACCTTTTTCTGCATCTGTTGTGATAATCACATTTTTGTTTTTAGTTCTGTGTATGTAGTGAATCACAATTATTAATTCACAAGTGTTGAACCAACCTTGCATCCCAAAGTTAAAGCCTACTTGATCATGGTGGATTCACTTCTTGATGTGTTGTTGGATTTGATTTGCTAGTAATTTTTTAAGGAGTTTTGCATCAGTGTTTGCCAAGGACAATGGCCTGAAGTTTTTTTTGTTGTTGTGTCTCTGCCAGGTTTTGGTATCAGGATGATGCCTAATAGAATGAGTTGGGGAGGAGTCCCTCCTCTCCAGTTTTTTGGAATAGTTTCAGTAGGAGCAATATGAGCTTTTCTTTATACATGTTATAAATTTGACTGTGAATTGTTTGGTCCTGAGCTTTTTCTTGTTGGTAGGCTTTTTTTTTTTTTGAAGTTAATAGCCTTTTAATTTTTTTATGTATACATTTTTATTATACTTTAAGTTCTAGGGTACATGTACACAACATGCAGGTTTGTTACATATGTATACATGTGCCATGCTGGTGTGCTGCACCCATTAACTCGTCATTTACATTAGGTATATCTCCTAATGCTATCCCTCCCCGCTCCCCATGACAGGCCCTGGTGTGTGATGTTCCCCTTCCTGTGTCCAAGTGTTCTCATTGTTCAATTCCCACCTATGAGTGAGAATATGCGGTGTTTGGTTTTTTGTCCTTGTGATAGTTTGCTGAGAATTATGGTTTCCAGCTTCATCCATGTCCCTACAAAGGACACGAACTCATCCTTTTTTATGGCTGCATAGTATTCCATGATGTATATGGGCCACATTTTCTTAATCCAGTCTATCATTGATGGAATTTTGGGTTGGTTCCAAGTCTTTGCTATTGTGAATAGTGCTGCAATAAACATACGTGTCCATGTGTCTTTATAGCCGCATGATTTATAATCCTTTGGGTATATACCCAGTAATGGGATGGCTGGGTCAAATAGTATTTCTAGTTCTAGATCCTTGAGGAATCCCCACACTGTCTTCCACAATGGTTGAACTAGTTTACAGTCCCACCAACAGTGTAGAAGTGTTCCTGTTTCTCCACATCATCTCCAGTACCTGTTGTTTCCTGACTTTTTAATGATCACCATTCTAACCAGTGTGAGATGGTATCTCATTGAGGTTTTGATTTGCATTTCTCTGATGGCCAGTGATGATCAGCATTTTTTCATGTGTCTATTGGCTGCATAAATGTCTTCTTTTTAGAAATGTCTGTTCATATCCTTTGCCCACTTTTTGATGGGGTTGTTTGTTTTTTTCTTGTAAATTTGTTTGAGTTCTTTGTAGATTCTGGATATTAGCCCTTTGTCAGATGAGTAAATTGCAAAAATTTTCTCCCATTCCGTAGGTTGCCTGTTCACTCTGTTCACTCTGTTGGTAGTTTCTCTTGCGGTGCAGCAGCTCTTTAGTTTAATTAGATCCCATTTGTCAATTTTGGCTTTTGTTGCCATTGCTTTTGGGATTCAATTTCTTTCTGATTGAATCTTAAGGTTGTACAATTCTAGAATATTATCCATTTGCTTTAGGTTTTCTAATTTGTCTGCAGAGTGTTCCAAGTAGTCTCCGAGAGTTGTTTGTATTTCTGTGGGGTTAGTGATAACATCCCCTTTGTGATTTCTGGTTGTGTTTACTTGGATCTTCTCTCTTTTTTTCTTTATCCCCCTAGCTAATAATATATCAATCTTCTTTATTCTTTTAAGGAAACAGCTTCTGGATTCATTGAATTTTGCGTGTTTTTTTGTGTCTCAATTTCCTTCAGTTCAGCTCTTACTTTTGTTACTTCTTGTCTTCTGCTAGATTTGGTGTTGGTTTACTCTGGTTTCTCTAGTTCCTCTAGTTGTAATCTTAAGTTGTTAATTTGAGATCTTTCTAACTTTTTAATGTGGGCATTTAGTGTTATAAACTTTTCCCTTAACACTGCTTTGGCTATGTCCCACAGATTCTGGTATGCTGTATTTTTTTTTCACTAGTTTTGAAGAATTTCTTGATGTCTGCCTTAATTTCATTATTTACTGAGACATCATTAAGAAGCTGGTTGTTTAATTTCCATGTAATTGCATGGCTTTGAGCAATTTTCTTTGCATTGATTTCTATTTTTATTGTGCTGTGGTCCAAGAGTGTGGTTGGTATGAATGTGGTGTTTTTGAATTTGCTGAGGATTGTTTTATGTCAAATTGTGAGGTCAATTTTAGAGTATGTGGCAAGTGCAAATGAGAAGAGTGAGTATTATGTTGGTTTTGGGTGGGGAGTCCTGTAGATATCTGTTAGGTCCATTTGGTTCAGTGTTGAGTTCAGGTCCCAAATATCTTTGTTATTTTCTGCCTCAAAGATCTGTCTAATTCTGTCAGTGGGGTGTTAAAGTCTCCCACTATTATTGTGTGGTTATCTAAGTTTCTTCATAGGTCTTTAGGAGCTTGACTTAGGAATCTGGGTGCTCCTGTGCTAGATGCATATATATTTAGCAGAGCTAGGTCTTCATGCTGAACTAAGCCTTTCACCATTCTCTAATGCCCTTCTTTGTGTGTGTGTGTGTGTTTTTAATCTCTATTGGTTTAAAGTCTGTTTTGCCTGAAATTAGAATAGGAACACCTGGCTTTTTCTGTGTTGTGTCTGTTTGGTAGATTTTTCTGCATCCCTTTACTTTGAGCCTATAGGTGTCATTGCATGTGAGATGGACTCTTGAAGACAGCATACAGTTGTGTCTTGGTTCTCTATCCAACTTACCACTCTGTGCCTTTTAATTGGGACATTTAGCCTTTTTACATTCAAGGTTAATATAGATAGGTGTGGTTTTGATCCTGTCATTGTATTGTTACCTGGTTAATACAAAATTTGGTTGTGTGGTTGCTTTATAGTGTCAATGGTTTATGTACTTAAGTGTGTTTTTTAGTGGCTGGTAATGGTCTTTTCTTTCCATATTTATCACTCCCTTTAGGGCCTTTTGTAAGGCAGGTCTGGTGGTAATGAATTCTCTTTGCATTTCCTTCCTTGAAAAAGATTGTATTTCTCCTTGACTTATGAAGCTTAGTTTGGCTGGATATTAAATTCTCGGTTGGAATTTCTTTTCTTTAAAAATGCTGAATATAGGCCCCCAATTTCTCCTGGCTTGTATAGTTTCTGCTGACAGGTTTGTCATTAGCCTGATGGGCTTCCCTTTGTAGGTGACCTGCCTCTTCTTTCTAGCTGCCCTTAACATTTTTTTTTTATTTTGATCTTGGAGAATCTGATGATTATGCATCTTGGGATTGGTCATCTAGTATGATATTTTGCAGGGGTTCTCTACATGTCCTGAATTTGAATCTTGGCCTCTCTAGTGAGGTTGGGCAAATTTTCGTGGGTAATATTCTCAAATATGTTTTCCAAGTTCCTCACTTTCTCTCCCTCCTTTCGGGAACACCAGTGAGTCACAGATTTGGTCTCTTTACATATTCCCATATTTCTTGGAGGTTTTCCTCATTCTTCATAATCGTTTTCATTTTATTTTTGTCTGACTGAGTTATTTTGAAGAACCAAAATAGCTTTGAGGTCTTAAGCTCTGAGATTCTTTCCTCATCTTGGTTGATTCTACTTGCAATTGTATTCTGAAAACCTTGAAGTCAGATTTTCAGTTCTATCAGATCAGTTTTGTTCTTTCTTGAAATGGCCACTATATCTTTATTCCTGGTATCATTTTATTGTATTCCTAAGATTTCATGGAATGGGTTTTTACTTTCTCCTGAATCTCAATCATCTTCATTCCTATCCATATTCTGAATTCTATTTCTGCCATTTCAGCCATTTAAGCCTGGTTAAGAACCATTTCTGGAAAACTAATATGGTCATTTGGAGGTAAAAACACACTGCCACCTTTTGAGTTGCCAGAGTTCTTGCGTTGGTTCTTTCTCATCTTTGCAGGCAATGTTCCTTCAACATTTGAAGTTGCTGTCCTTTGGATGAGTTGTTTTTTGTTTTGTTTGCTTTTATCTTCTTTGATGCCCTTGGGTGGTTGATTTTGCTATAAGTTGAGTTCAGTCAACTGGGTTCATTTCTGGCATGATTTTAAGGCCCAAGGCTCAGTTCAGGACCCCTGGACTGCATGCTCTAACTCTGGAGTGGGGGTGGTAACAGGCCCCTAGCTTTATTCTTGGGCCCCTCAAAGTTAGAAACCTGCTGCTCTGGATTGCTGAGGTGTTCTCAGTCCTCTGGCCATAATATTCCAATGTGTGGTACTGGCCAAAGCACTTCATTGAGCAGTGGCAGTGGGATTCATGCTCACTCACACATTAGTATAACCTTCTATATGTTTTTATTGTCACATCATGTACCCATTAATGAGCTTTATAATAATATTCTCATGCATTTGCCTTTAAATCTTATAGAAAAGTGGGAAGTTACAAGTAATTCATAATGTTGGCTTCTATATTTACCTATGTAGTTACTTTTACCAGTGTTCTTTCTTTCTTTGTATGACTTTGAATAGTGTCTAGTTTCTTTTCATTTCAGCCTGAAGAACTCCCTTTAGCATTTCTTATAGAGTAAGTCTCCTAACTACAAACTCTCACTTTTTTATACTAGGAATGTCTTCATTTCTCCTTCATTTTTGAAGGATAATTATGCTACATACAGAATTCTTGGCTGATAGGTTTTTTTTTCAGCACTTTGAAAATGTTTTCTCATTGCCTTCTGACAAACATGGTTTCTGGCAAGAAATCTGAAGCTAATATCTTAAGAATCTATTGTATGTAGTGAGTTACTTCTCTCTTGCTGCTTTATGGCTTCTCCCTTTGTCTTTGAGCTTCAACAATTGGATATAATATGCATAAATGTAGGTTTCTTTAAGTTTATACTGCTTGGAGTTCTTTGAGATTCACGGAAATATAGAGTCACATATATCATCAAGAATGTGACTATTGCCATTATTACTTCAAATATTTTTTCTTCCCCTTTGTGTTTTTCTTGTTCTGGGACTTCCATTATGCCTATGTAGGTAAGCTTGATGATGTCCCACAGTATTCTCAGGCATGTTCTTTTTTCTTCCTTTTTCCTTTGTTCTACAGATGGGATCATTTCAAAAGACATATCTTGAAGTTTACTGATACTTTCTCTTGCCTTCCCAAATATTTTGAATCTCATTAGTACATTTTTTCTTTCTCTTGTGCTTAGAGTTTCACAATGATTAGCCATTAAGCTTTTAAAACAAACTTCCTTACAAAGTTTTTCTCAAGACCAGAGAAGAAGGAAAGAAAAGCCCAGTGTGATACTGGGAGGAGTAAAATGATAGGGTAGATCTGGGTGGGGTTTGTAGGATGAGGACATAATAGGGAAACACCCTGGCTTTATAATCAAGACTGGATTTCCCAGTGAGTAGCTGAATGACCTTGGGTAACTCTCTTCTATTCTTGGGTCTCAGAGTGTTTGAAAATATTAAGAATTTGATTGCAATGTTGCCTGAGAAGTGAGCCAGCACTTCTTCTCTGCAAGAAAGTAGAAAAGCTCTTGGGAGAATCAGTGGTGATGTGATGTAATGTAATGTCTGTCGCTTATCCCAGTGAATAATTTTTGGGTAAAGATTCCAGGGCCCTCCATAAAGGGGTGGATATTTCCTGATAGAGCTAAGGCTATGTCTTGTTCCTTGTAAATACCAGACCCACCCCTGGAGCCAGGCCAAGCTGGGACTGCATAAAGACAGATTTGGTCTCAGCTCTTTGTCAAGCACCTTACTGACAATATGAAAGCCAGCAGCTTCTTGGTCCCAATGGTGGTCCTCATCCTTAGGACACTGGCAGTAGAGGCAGCTGTAATGGGAGATGAGTGAACAGATGTCCTGATGGGACTGGGTTGGACAAACAATAGTCTCTCTGGAGTCTCCTGGGTCAAGACAGGTGGCACTTCTGGAGCAATAGGCAGCACTGGAGCCCACACCTTAGCTTTCTGGCCTTTGCCATCATATCCAGAAAAACATGAGGTCTACTGGCCAATGTTCTGTTTTCAGAGGTACATTAAAAATGCTTGAATAAACATGTATGATGATCCTAAATAGTAAGACTTTACACAGTCAAGATGTCAATAATTACACAGAAATTAAACAACTTGCTCCTGAATGAAGAAAGCTATAGTTTTATAGTTTCAGGTCTTACATTTAGGTTTGTAATACATTTAAAATTGATGCTTGTATAAGGGGTGAGATAAGAGTCTGTTTTCACTCTTCTCTATGTAGATATTCCATTTTCCCAACATTAAGTGAGAAATTTAAAAATTCTTTGAAATTGATGAAAATAGACAAAAACAACATTATTAAAATAATTTGGGATGCAGCTAAAGCAGTGTTAAGAGGAAAGTTTATAGCACTGAAGACCTAAACCAAAAGGATAGAAAGATCTCAAATTAACAATATAACATCACACTGAGAGAAACTTGGAAAACAAGAGCAAACCAAACCCAAAGCTAGTAGAAGAAAAGAAATAACTAAAATAAGTAGATCTGAATAAAATTAGGATGTAAAAAGTCATACAAAAGCCAACGAAACCAAAAGTTGGTTCTTTGAAAGAATAAACTAGATTGATAGACCATTAGCTAGATTACAAAGACAAAAAGAGAATATCCAAATAAACACAATCAGAAATAACAAAGATGATATTAAAACTGATCCCACGAGAATAGAAAATATCCTCAAAGACGGTTATAAACATATGCAAATAAATTAGAGAATCTAGAGAAAATGGATACATTTCTGGAAACAAATGACCTCCCAAGATTGAATAAGGAAGAAAGTGAAAACTTAAATAGACCAAAGACTAGTTCTGAAATTGAATCAGTAATTTTTTAAAAAACCCTACCTACCAATGAAAGCCCTAGACCAGGTGGATTCACAGCCAAATTCTAACAAAAATACAAAGAAGAGGTCCTACCAATCCTAGTGAAACTATTCCAAAAAAATCTAGGACAACTCTTCCCTAACTCTTTCTATGAAGCCAGCATCATTCTGATCCCAAAATCTGGCAGAGACATGTAGAAAAAGAAAACTTCCAGCCAGTATTCCTGATGAACATATACCCAAAAATCCTCAATATAATTACTAGCAAACTGAATCCACCAGCCCATCAAAAAGTTAAGTCTTGACTTAGAGCAGTAGCTCATACCTGTAATTTCAGCCCTTTGGTAGGCCAAGGCAGTGGTCATTGGCCAGGTTGGGGGATGGGGTCTCACAGTTAGAGAGCAGCCTGGGCAACATATCAAGACCCTCTGTCTACTAAATTTTTTTTTTTTTTACTTAGCTAGACATTATCCCAGCTACTAGGGAGGCTGAGGCAGGAGAATCCCTCAGGCCCAGGGGTCAAGACTGCAGTGAGCTGTGAGCATGCCACTTCACTCCAGCATAGGCAATGGAGTGACAGAGTGAGAGCTTTTCTCTAAAAACAAACCCTTTGTGTATCTTTGTCTTCATTGTCTGTGTTTTTGGCATCATATTCAATACATCTCCATTCAGATCAATGTCATGGAGTTTTTCTTTTGCAGTATTTGTCCCTTCTCATAGTTTTATAGTTTCAGGTCTTACATTTAGGTTTGTAATACATTTAAAATTGATGCTTGTGTAAGGGGTGAGATAAGAGTCCATTTTCACTCTTCTGTATGTAGATATTGCATTTTCCCAACACCACTTATTGAAGAGACTCCCATTTCTTCATTGTGTCTTATTGGTACCTTTGTCAGAAATCAATTTACTGTAGATATGTGGGGTTATTCCTCATGCTATTTCATTAGCCAAAATGTCTGTTTTTAATGCCAATACTATGATGTTTTGATTACTATAGCTGTGCAATATATTTTGAAATCTGGCAGTGTGATGCCTCCTGCTTTGTTCTTCTTGTTCAGGATTCTTTTGGTTATTGGGGGGCTCCTTTAGTTCCATTCACACTTTAAGATCGTATTTTCTATTTTGGTAAAGAATGACATGAATTTTGATAGGGATAGCAGTGAATCTGTAGATCACTTTAAGTATGAACAATTTAACACTATTAATTATTTTGATTAATGAATATGGTATATGTTTCCATATACTTGTGTCATCTTCAGTTTTTTTAATCAATGTTTTCTAGTTTTCAATATACAGATATTTTATTTTTTGTTAAATTTGCTCCTAAGTATTTATGCTATTATAAATGGGATTGTTTTTTAAATTTCTTTTTCAGACAGTTTTAAACATTGAACTGTGTTTAGACACACTACTGAATTTTGCAAGTTGATTTTGTATCCTGCAACATTACTGGATTTATTTATCAGTTCCAACTGATTTTTGTAGTATTTTTGGATTTTTTATATATAAGATAATGACATCAGCAAACAGAGACTATTTCACTTCATCCTTTCCTATTTGGATGCCTTTTATTTTTTCTGGTCCCTAATTTCTCTGACTAGGACTTCCAATACTATGTTGACAAGTGGTGGGAGAGTGCATTCTTGTCTTGTTCCTGATCTTAGTGGAAAAGCCTTTCACCATCTTGATTTTAGTTCTGGCTTGTCATGTATGGCCTTTATTGCATTGAGGAACATTTCTTCTATACCTCATTTCTTGCAAGTTTTTATAATAAAAAGATGTTACCTTCAGTCTATAAGTCTTCCTTAAGGTAAAATAAGTCTTTTGTAGGCAGCATCGAATTGAGTCTTTGTTTCATCTATTCATACACTCTATGACTTTTAATTGGATAATTTTATTCATTTACACTTAAAGTAATTATTGATAGGTAAAGGGTTACTATTGCCGTTTTGTTAATTGTCTTCTGGTTCAATTGTAGATCCTTCGTTCCTTTCTTCCTCTTTTGTTTTCTTCCTTTGTGGTTTGATGACTTTCTCTAGTGGTATTCTTTGGATCTTTTCTTTTTTATTTATTTTACAGCTATTATAAGGTGTGGCTTGGGGTTGCCCTGATGTTTGCATAAGACATACTTATTACAGCCTATTTTAAATTGATAACAACTTTATTTTGATAACACATACAACCTCTAGTTTTTGCTCCCTCTCTTCCCATGTTTATATTTTTGAAGTCACAATATATATCTTTTTATAATTTTGTATCCCTCAACAAATTATAGTACCTCTATTTGTTTTTAATATATTTTCTTTTTAATCTTTGTACTGGAGGTATAAATGATTTGCCCACCACCATTACAGTATTAAAGTGTTTACAATTTGACAGTGTGCTTACTTTTACCAATGAGTTTTATATTTTCATTTTATTTCATGAATCTTATCAGCATCCTTTTTGTTCAGCTTGAAAACTCTCTTCAGCATGTTTTGTAAGACAGGTCTTCTGGGTACTGTATTCTTGGTTGACAATTTTGTCTTTCAGGACCTTGAATAAGTTATTCTACTTCTTTTTGGCCTGCAAGTTTTCTGCTGAGAAATCTGCTGTTAGTCTATGAGGGTTCCCTTATACATGATGATTTGTATCTCTTTTGCTGCTTTAAACGTTCCATTTCTATCTTAAACTTTTAACAATATGATTATAATGCTTCCTGGTTTGAGTCTCCTTGGATTCATCTTAGTTGGTGTCATTTAGGCTTACTACTAGGATCAGGATTTTTTTTTTCCTTTGGCTTATGAAGTTTTGCCATCATTTCTTCAGATATGTTTTCTGTTCCCTTTTCTCCTTCCTCTACTTCTGACATGCCAATAATGCATAGGCTTTTCCCTCTTGGTAGTGTCCTGGAAGTCACTTAGGCTACCTTCACCCTTTTTCACTCTTGCTTTTGTTTTCTTGTTTTTTGTTTTTTTTTCTCCTTAGATTGGATGATTTCCAGTGGCCTGTATTCTAATTCACCAGTTTTTCTTTCTCCTTGATTTAGTCTGCTATTGAACCTCTCTATTGAATATTTCAGTTCAGTTATAGTATTCTTCAGATCCATGATTTCTGTTTGCTACTTTTTTATACTATCTCTTTGTTGAAATTCTGAGTTTCTTCTTGCATTCCCCTTCTGACCTCGCTGAGCATCTTTATAATCATTATTTTTAATTCTCTTTTGGGTAAATAACATATCCCCATTTCATTTGGGCTGGCTTCCTGATTTTGTTTGGTTTATTTATTTGTTTTGTTTTGTTCTTATATATTCCCATGTTTCTTTGTCTTTCTTGACTCTTTGTGTTGATTTCTGCATATTAGATAAGACAACTACAACTTCCAGTCCTGTCAAACTGTGATTTTGTAGGAAAAAAAAATTCCACCAATCCACCTGGTCAGAGATTTTAAGATGCTTCTCAAATATTTGTGTTTTTTCAGACTGCTGGCTCTGTTTTTGATGTCTCCATAGAGCTTAGGATGTGCCTCCTCCTATCTGTACCCAGAGACTGCTAAGGTAGAAGCCTGACTCTCTAAATGTAACTGAAAGGATTGGGATGATGAATGTGTGTTCCAGTTTCATCTATCTTCGCTGAAGCTGAGCATGGGCATTATGGTCCAAAACTCTTTGCAGTAAGCCAGGGAGATAATCTGTGGCAAATGCTGTGCTCCTGTTCAGGCTGCACCCTCTGATCGTGGGAAATGCTGTGCTCACACTGATGCTGCACCCTCTGATCATAACACCCTCTGCTATAGACAGATAGCTTCTGGAACGAAATTGTTGTAAAACCACTTCTTTGTTTTCTGTAGTTTAGGGCAGCTCAGGAATACAAAGCCCCATTGACTCTCACAGCTAAGTTGTTAAAGAGATAGTCCATTTGGTGAGAGCTATAAAACTTGCAGTACTTGGTCCATAGCCAAACTCCTTCCAGGAAGAATGAGTAAGCCTAGATTTATCATTGGGCAAGCTGGATGGAAGTCTCAAGAAGTGCCAAACCCTTGCTCTGGCTGTCAGAGGGCTCTTGTTTGTTTACCCCATTAACTCCCAAATGCAAGTTCATTAATAGCTAGGCCATCACTTAGCCACAGGAAGAGTGTGCTGTAAGCCCTTTCTGGAGAGAAAATAAGAGCTGCACATTCTTGCTCCTTTTCTGTACTTCTTCAAGGGGGAGTAGCCCCTGGAATTTGTTGCACTCCCATTTAAAACCAACTTTTTTGTTCCATGATCTAGAAAGACTAGAATATGCTTGTCCCCCTGTTCACAGAGCTAAGAAGTTTAAGGAGTCCTTCAGGAGGTAGCTGTCTGACTTGGGGCAACTGATACATGGCATAAACACTTTCTGGGGAAAAATGGGACAGGGTTTTTCTATACCTCTTCTCCTTACTCTTCCTGGGCGATGTAACCCCAGATGTGCTCACATGCCCATATAAAACTGTCACTTTTTTTAACTGTGGTTGGAAGAGACATGCATTCCAGTCTCCTCTACTCCCAGAACTAGGAGGATTAGTTCCCTCAGGTGGAAATTGTAAAAGTTGGGGCACTTGATGTGTGAAATGTGTGAACAAATTCCTTCCAGGTGGAATTAATAGACTTAATTATCACTGCAGTGAGCTGGAGAAGAAAGCTTGAAAAGTGGCTATCTACTTCTCAGGTTAACACTTGTCTGCTTCTTTAACTCCCCAATGCAAGTTAGTTAGAAGCCAGGCCACTAGGTAGCCACTGGAAGAGTGTGTCATAAACCCCTTCCAAGGAAAAAAGAAAAAGAAGCTGCATTTTTATTGTTGTTATTGTTGTTTGCCTTTTTTCTTCCTTTCTTTCTTATTTGTTTTATTTGATCAATTCTGCCTTTGACATTCTTAATTGTATCTTTTTCATTTTATTCATTGCATTTTTCAGGTCTAATATTCTGTTTGATCTTCAAAAATTATATTCAATCTCTCTGTTAACATTTTCTCATACGTTTCTGAATTGATTCTGTATTAGTCTGTTCTCACACTGCTATAAAGGACTGCCAATGACTGGGGAATTTATAAAGAAAGCGATTTAATTGACTCACCATTTTGCATGACTGGGGAGGCCTCAGGAAACTTACAATCATTGTGGAAGGGGAAGTAAACACGTTCTTCCCCTTCCATGGGAAGGGGAAGTGCCAAAAAAAGGATGGCACTTCTGTTGGCAGGAAGGAGAAGTGCCAAACAAAAGGGGGAAAAGTCCCTTATGAAACCATCAGATCTCATGAGAACTCACTCACTATCATGAGACCAGCCTGGAAGTAACCACCCCCATGATCCAATTACCTCCCACTGGGTCCCTCCCTTGACACATGGAGATTATGGGAACTACAATTCAAGATGAGATTTGGGTGGGGACACAGCCAAACCATAGCATTCTGCCCCGGCCCCTCCCAAATCTCATGTCCTCACATTTCAAAACACAATTATGCCATTCCAGTAGTCCCCCAACATCTTGATTTATTCTAGCATTAACCCAAAAGTCCAAGTCCGAAGTTTCATCTGAGACAAATTAAGTCCCTTCCACCTATCAGCCTGTAAAATCAAAAGCAACTTAGTTACTTCCTAGATACAATGGGGGTACAGGTATTGGGTAAATACACCCATTGGAAATGGGATGAGTTGGCCAAAACAAAGGGGCTACAGGCTCCATGCAAGTCCAAGATCCAATGAGGCAGTAATTAAATCTTCAAATTCCAAAATAATCTCTTTTGACTCCATGTCTCACATCCAGGTCACGCTGATGCAAAAGGTGAGCTCCACAGCCTTGGGCAGCTCTGTCCCTGTGGCTTTGCAGGGTACAGCCCCCCTCCAGGCTTCTTTCATGGGCTGGCATTGTCTGTGGCTTCTCAAGGTGCACATTGCAAGCTGTCAGTGGATCTACCATTCTGGGGTCTGCAGGATGGTGGCCCTCTTCTCACAGCTCCATTAGGCAGTGACCCAGTGGGGACTCTGTGTGGGGACTCTGATCTCATATTTCCCTTCCACACTGCCCTAGCAGAGGTTCTCCATGATGGCCCTGCTCCTGAAGCAAACTTCTGCCTGGACATCCAGACATTTCCATACATCCTCTGAAATCTAGGCAAAGGTTCCCAAATCTCAATTCTTGAGTTCTGTGCACCCACAGGCTCAACACCACAAGGAAGCTCCCCAGGCTTGGAGCTTGCACCCTCTGAAGCCATGGCCTGAGCTGTATCTTGGCCCCTTTTAGCCATGGCCAGGATGCAGGGCACCAAGTCCCAAGACTGCACAAAGAAGCAAGCCCTGGACCCAGCCTATAAAACCACTTTTTCCTCCTAGGCTTCCAGGCCTGTGATGGGAGGGGCTGCTGTGAAATCCTCTGACACGCCCTGGAGACATTTTCCCCAGTGTCTGGGCAATTAACATTTGGCTTCTCATTACTTACACAAATTTCTGCAGTAGCTTCAATTTCTCCACCAAAAATGGGTTTTTCTTTCCTAGCACATCGTCAGGGTGAAAATTTTCTGAACTTTTATTCTCTGCTTCCCTTTTAAATATAAGTTCCAATTCCAAGCCATATCTTTGTTAATACATAAAACTGAATGCTTTTAACAACACCAAGTCACATCTTGAAAGCTTTGTGGTTAGAAATTTCTTCTGCCAGATACCCTAAATCATCCCTCTCAAGTTCAAAGTTCACACAGATCTCTAGGTCAGGGGCAAAATGTCAACAGTCTCTTTGCTAAAACATAGCAAGAGTCACCTTTCTTCCAGTTTCCAACAAGTTCTTCATCTCCATCTGAGACCACCTCAGCCTGGACTTCATTGTCCATATCACTGTCAGCATTTTGGTCAAAGCCATTCAACAAGTCTCTAGGAAGTTCCAAACTTTCCCACATCTTCCTGTCTTCTTCTGAGCCCTCCAAACTGTTCCAATCTCTGCCTGTTACCCCATTCCAAAGTCACTTCCATATTTTGGGGTATCTTTACAGCAGCATCTGACTACTTGGTAACAATGTACTGTATTAGGCCATTCTCATGCTGCTATAAGAGACTGCCTGAGACTGGGTAACTTATAAAGGAAAGAGATTTAAATGACTCACAGTTCCACATGGCTGGGGAGGCCTCAGGAAACTTACAATCATGGTGGAAGGGGAAGCAAACATGTCCTAATTCACATGATGGCAGGAAGGAGAAGTGCTGAGCAAAAGCAGGGAAAGCCCCTTATAAAACAATCAGATCTCATGAGAACTCACTCACTATCATGAGAACAGCATGGAGGTAACTGTCCCCATGATTCAATTACCTCCCGGTGGATCACTTCCACTACACATGGGGATTATGGGAACAACCATTCAAGATGAGATTTCAGTGGGGACACAGCCAAAGTATATCAGATACTCTGTAGGGGTTTTTTTTGAAATTTGTGGAGCTTCCTTAAAACAGCTATTTTGAATTCTTCGTTTGAGAAATCACACATCTCCATCACTTAAGGGTCAGTCTTTGGCATCTTATTTTGTCATATTCGGTCAGGTTATATTTCTCTGAACGCTCTTGATGCTTGTGGATGTGCAACAATGTCTACACATTTAAAGATTAGATATTCATTTTAATCTTCACAGTCTGGCTTTGTTTGCTCTTATTCTTATTCAGAGGGCCTTCCAGAGATTCCAAACAGACCGCTTAATGAGTTTCCTGTATCTGAGACCATTGCAATTGTCTCAACACTAGAGGACACTCTGAGCCCAGGCTTGCTGTAAGTCTTGCAAGGCTCTGAAGTTAACGCAGATTTCTAGTTTAAATGGACATGCAGAAGACCCAAGGAGGGTACTGGGGACATGTGGGAATGCTGGTGAGAAATCATAGTCCAAAAATGTTGCTATGTCTCAGATGGATGAAATTTTTTGCAGGTCTCTACATAGGCAGATGGGTTCCCAACTGCAGTGAGAGTGGCTAGAGTTGAGACTGGGCTCACTTGGGATCTACTGTGGCAAGAAGTCCATTCATGGGACAGAGACTGGCATGCCTGTCATGTTGGCTCAGGCAGAAGCACATTTTCAGGGAGGACTCTGAACAAGTGGCATAGTTCCCCAATTGCAGCAGGGTTGGCTGGAACTGAAACTGGGCCCTCTCATGATCTGCTGTGGGGGAGAGAATGGAGTGTCCATCTCATTGGCTCAGATAGGCACACATCTTTCAGAAGATTTTAGCACATGTGGTAGTTCCTCAATTGCAGTCAGAAGGGGAGCTGAGACTGGGCCCCCTCACAATATGCTGTGGGGCAGAGGCTGAAAACCTGGTCTCATTGGTTTACAGGTAAGCACGTCTCCCAGCAAGTTCCTGCACAGACAAGAGAGTTTTCCAATTTCAGCAGGAAGGACAAAAGCTGCAACTGGAATCCCCTCAGGATCTGCTGTGGGATGGAAGCTGAAGAGCCAATCTTTTGGGTCCAGGCCAGTACATGTCTTCCAGCAGATCTCAGCACTGACAGGATAGTTCCCCAACTATGGCAAGATGGGCTGGAGCTTAGAGCAGATCCCATCTAGACCTGCTGTGGGACAAAGGATGGCATGCCTATCCGGGAGGCTCAGACTGCTGGCCTGTGAGATATGTA
The DNA here is from genome assembly GCF_000001405.40 of Homo sapiens. Classification (NCBI taxonomy): domain Eukaryota; kingdom Metazoa; phylum Chordata; class Mammalia; order Primates; family Hominidae; genus Homo; species Homo sapiens. Next base: position 45,153,504 of record NC_000020.11, on the reverse strand, counting down.
TGGGTCTCCCTGTGAGTTGTGTAAGCAGCTCTAAGCTGGGACTTTAGTTGATGGGGGCTGGACAAAGCCACAGGGCAACTTTCAGGTTCACTATCCAGACAATGTCAGTGTGCAGAGCAGCCTTTCTGCCAAGTGTGTGTAATTCCTTCTGGACCCCTTGGCAGATGGTTTTGGTTGCAGGCTAAAGTCAACATGGTACAGTAGCCAAACCCTGGGAGGACTGGGCCACTTCCAGGATTGAACTCGCGAGCAGCAGGTTCAGCAGATCAGCCACCTGGGTGTCTGTCTGCACTCTCAAAATAATCCTCTAAGGGCTTGAGCTCCACTGGCATTTCACAAATTTCTCCCTGGATCCAGAGGCTCCCTCAGAGAGACTTTAACCTGTGAATGGTGTAGAATTCTTATGGTTGTGGTGGGACACGACTGGGTGACCTTCTATTTCACCATCTTGGTGATGTCACTCCTTCCTCAGCAGTGGGGTGTGTGTGTGTGTGTGTGTGTGTGTGTTTTGGTCAATTTTGCAAAGCTTTAAGCTTTATAGTGGGGCTGGAAAGGGCAGGTAAGTGTGAGTCCCCAGCACTGGGATTTGTTGTTTGTTCCCTTTTCACTGACAGGTATTTTGTATTTTTGGCATTCTTTGTTTTCAAGTTATGTTGAGGGTGAAGTTTGCTTAGGAATTTCTTAATGATAGAGTAATTTTATACCACTTGAGGAGGAGATTGTGGAAGTTACTCATTCCTCCTCTTCTGCCTTCTATTGTCTTCAACTATGCCAAAGATCCCCTAGAAACTGCTCACTGAAAGAACTTGGAGAAAAATTATTAATGCACTTGATGGAGATCAACTCAGAAAAAAGAAACTGTGAGTCATGTCTTGGGCGAGTTGAAAAGATGTTAATTTTCTTGCTGCCATTTCATTGCTTCCCTCTGCAATAATTCTGAATGTGATCCATGCATTGGATGTGTCCTCCAGACACAAATCAAGTTTCAAAGGCACGTATGGGGTACCAGTTCTCCCAACTTCCCAAGCAATGAGAGGTGCTGTTACTAGGGAAGACAGCCTTGTCCAAGGAGTGCTGGAACCAGACAAGGGCTTGGAGACCCAGGACTTCAAAGAGAGGTATGAGGCCCCAACATGTTTCACTTTGCTGCCCCTGCATGGCCTCCCTAGAGATATTGACACTTGATTAACAAAACAATTCTTGAAGGGCATAAGGAAGAAATAAAATCACTGTAGAGAGATGTATTTTCCCTCTTTGCTTTATCTTGATTGCACGGACCCCTGAAGAAAGGAATGCCTTTCCTAATTTCACTCAGTAAGTCAAGCCCAGAATACAACTGGCTCCCTGATTCCCAGACATGGGTTCATTGTACCATTGTATGAAAAGAGCTGACTTGATCCAATTGTTTCAAATGTAATTTCTATGATTCCAACTGATGTCTGAAGATGTCTCCTGATATTTGGAGCTTGTCATTATTTCCAATTAATTTGAATTTCAAAGGAAATTATTAATTGAAAGGAAAAAAGAATTCACAGCATGATCAGGGTCTATTTTGGAGAGAGAAAATTTTGGAACACGTGTCCTTTGGTTTTAGGCCTATCAAGACGTGGTCCTGCCCACCTAGAAGACTGTGTAACTGGGTAGAGAAGAGAGTCTGTTTACCCACATTCGCTTATCCAGCTTCATCCTCCTTCTAGGCACCATTTGTTCTCTGATTCCTTTCTGGAATTCAGGAACTGACAGTACTGTGCCATCTTCCAGACCTAAGTCCTACTCCTAACGGACATCAACAAATCCCTTGTTCTCACTAATCTCAGTAGCACCATCTGGAAAAGTGAAGGCCTGAGCATGTGGAGGTTTCTGAGCCCCTCTAACAGAGCCTCCAAACTACCTAGAGGTTTCTGAGGGCACATCTGAATATGTGGGTAGGAAGTTAGAAGAAGGGGGAAAATGACTGGATTTGGGGTCTGCCTTGCACATTTAGATTACCTAAAACACCATTCAAACCACTCACAGTGGCTTCATGAGTACAGCAAATGTGAAGTTTTCAGTTATAGGAGGAGACACATATTCTCTATCCTACTCCTCTTGCTCCCACCACCTAGATCCAACAATGCAACATCCACCAGGACCCTGATTTCCTTCTGAGCCCAAGAGCCCGTGCTAATCCCTGAGGTTCCATAATCATCCTTGAGGAGTAATAATAGAGCAGCTACTGGACTCCTTAAGGAAAACTCAAGCCACTTCTTATGCCCTGTCTGGAACTGGGACAGAGAGACTCTCTTTCATCCAGTCATATGAGCCAACCTTCTCAGGGTAAGCAGGTGCCAGCACTAGGAGGTAAAAACAGGAACCCACTGTTTATCACTTCTTAGTATGTCCCTTAATCACACAGCCTTCCATCCAATTTAGAACAGAAAGTAACCCTCAGTGTTTGAGCTCAGATCACGTAGAACCAGGGGCCCCAGCTAAAGGAAGAATAAGGCTGTGGTATAAGGGTCTACCTTTTCTGCTCAATGTTGGACTCCTCTAATGGAAAATTCTTGCTCCAGAGCTCCCTGATGGGTTGCCAGAGATGTTGTCAGGTCAGGTTGGCAATGGCATCCTCTGCCAGTCCTTCTTCCTTTCCTTTACTGTAACAGGTGTGACCCCACAAGGCAACTTGCCCTCTTAGCTGTGTCTCAGCTCTTGCTTTCTGGATAACCCAATCTGTAAATGCGGCTTACAGAATTTTGAGAAGACGGAAGATTCAGACTCAGAGGCAATGTAAGAAGTAAGAGTATCCAGGCAGCATGATCACAGCCAGAACCACCCCTCAACAATTGTGTGACATGGGTCCTACTGCTGCAATCCTGGACACTCATCACTGTCACCCATGACCCTGAAATCAGGTGTCACTGTGAACAACAAAACTACCTTGTGCTAAGAAAGAATGCCCCTTTATCGTTGCTGCTTTTAGTCTTTTAGTTCTCAATGCTCCAGGTAGAAGCATCATTTGCTGAGTATATTATCAGCACAGCCCTAGGTCTAATGGGTAAAGAAAAGTGACTCTCTGGTTTGTTTCATTCCTGCAACAAGAGGCCAATTCTGTCACTCACCAAGTCTCAAATATGGTGTGAATAGGGAGGTGCCACAATGTAACAAAGGACTGCCACATTGTGAGCAGTCAAAAGCATACAAATCTCTCTTACACTGGATTTTCACAGGGTTCCAAACTCCCCATCAAACTCCAGGCACTCCTTACATTAGCAGGTGCAACAGAAACAGCAAAAATGTTGCCACCTCTGGAAGTAGAAGTCTACACTCTACAATCACCTTGAAAACATCCCTAAAATGTGTTTTCTCTTATTGAGCTAGACAGCGAGATACCCCTTTATGAGTTTCTCCGCCAGCAATAATTTATTTCACAAGATCACCTTTAATTGGCCTGACCTGTTTTTCTATCCATATTTTAATCGCAGGCTGCATCCTCAGCTTCTCCACACTAGATAATACTTTGTCCTCCCAGCCTAGTGCTTAGTGATTTTATGGGCACACATACCTCAACAATACCAGTCCCACAGCCTTTTTCTCTCCAATCACAACAGAGCACACCACTGCTGCCTCCAGGCATGGTGACACCACATCTGCCCACCAACATTGCCAAATTGGACACCTCTTCCACTTGTCTTCCTGGAAGTAGATACCCAGCCACTGATGCCACTGCTACCAGAGTAAACACTTCCTGCCATCTCCATATCTGCTTCTTTCTCTATCCCAGTCCTCAGTCCATCACAGAGTGTGTTCCTCTGACTGTATGAACCAGTGCACATGTGGAGGCTTCCAAGAAGGCAGGGAAGTAGGCATGTGGACTTTGCAACTTCTGGGAATGGTGCTCGTATGCTTAGAAACCAAGACATGAAGTTGTCCACACGACTGTTCTCATCTCATTGTGAGCACCAGAGCAGCTACTGTTCCCTGCTCTCCTCCACTCTGTGTTCTAGCCCCAGCTTGTGGCCTACATTTTACCCAACTGTATAAGCAAAGTGGAGATTGGAGACAGTAGACTCTCTAGGGCTTTTTGGCTGGATTCTCTAAACTACCTACTGCCTTGTAGTATCTCTGAGTGTAATGGTGAGGCGAGATCAAAAATGATGGGAAAGATGAGAAGTTTGGGGCTGCATGATGATACTGAAGTTACCCAGAGGTGCTAGTATGGTAATTCACTACTTGGAATTTGCATTGCAGACAGAAAACACATGGTTATTCAGGGACAGCCTCCTGCAACCATGCTCCTCCTAGAAACAGTTTCGCTAGCAGAGGAGTTTTTGCTGAGACTAAAAACTCTGCTATCATATTTGCAGGCTCTGTGTGCTCCACAGGGGTTGAGTAGAGAGAATCACTGATGACAATTTTGGGACAGTCTTCTTAGGATCTCCTTGTCCGGTACATGCTGGGATGGAGAGACTCGGTTCTAGCCAGCCATGTGTGTGTCTCCTGGAGTCCAGAATCACAAGGATCACGCACAAGCATCATGTGCTTCTTGGCTTATAATAGATCCCTGAGCCACAACCTTCTGTTGAATTTGAAGTTGGAAGTCCTCTTTGAAATAATCTCGATAAACACCCTCATCATGAAGATGGGAAAACTGGAGTCCAGGGGAGCCATCAAGCTTACTCTAGAAGTCAGGAGCAGACTTGGGGCTGGGAACTACCTGTCTTCATATGTCATTTCTCTTTGCTAGGATGTTGACCAAGGAAGGAAGATTTGGTAGCCTTTCAGGAAAGACTTGTGATGAACTCGTTTTGCCAAGACAGAAAGCAAAGTAATAGCAGGAATCAGAGTAATGGGATGACTGAGACAAGGTGTGCAATCAAAGAAAAACATAGATTTGGGGACACCATGAAGATGAAAGGAACGTGATTATAAAGTGACATACTGGCCAGGCGCAGTGGCTCATGCCTGTAATCCCAGCACTTTGGGGGACCAAGGCAGGTGGATCACCTGAGGTCAGGAGTTTGAGACCAGCCTAACCAATATGGCGAAACCCCATCTCTACTAAAAATACAAAAATTAGCCGGACATGGTGGCATGCGCCTGTAGTCCAAGCTACTTGGGATGCTGAGACAGGAGAATTGCTTGAACCCGGGAGGTGGAGGTTGCAGTGAGCTGAGATCGCGCCACTGCACTCCAGCCTGAGCAACAGAGTGAGACCTTGTCTCAAAAAAAGTAAAAATAAAAATAAAAAATAAAGTGACATGCCACAAAATGTCAAGTCTGCCAGCATCAACCTCTTCTGCATCACCTTGGCATCCTCACTTACAGTGATTCCACTGCACACATTTTCTGCTCCTCTATTGCAAATTCACGCTTCCCCTGGCAGAGACCTTAGCTTAGATCCCTGAAGTCTTTCTCATAGTAAGAAAGGTCTTAAGCGATCAAGGTATTCATTTCACAATAACTGAGACGCAGACTACTGGCAAATGAAATTTGCCCAAAATCAGTAGTAAAAAGACCATCCCATAGGAACAAAAAAATAACTTGTGTGTTTGTTTTAAATAACATTTATTTAATTTTGGTTGAAGTTGTATTTATTTTCATACATCTGTTATCTACTTACATTACTTTTCCCATAAATCATATATATGTGGTTCATGCTCATTTTTCTATTGGATCATCTGTTTTCTTTTATGTTATAAACGTTCTTTCAATGTAATATAGATTATATTTATTCCCACCACGAATGTACTCATATTTTTGAATTTCTAATTGCTTATATTACAATATGTTAGATTTTTCCCAACAAAATTTTTTTATTTGCATATGGTTAACAATACCAATTTGCTCCAGAAAGTCATTCCCATATCAACATTTTACAAAACTCCACTCGTGTTCTTTGAATACTTTTATAGTTCAATCTTTATATTTAAATTCTTGACCATCTGAAACATACTTTGAGATAACGTGTAAGATACAAATCCAGTATTTCCCCTGAATTGCTGGTAATCTGTCTTAATATCATTTACTGACTTATCTAACATTTCTTGGATAATGCAGGATTCTGCCTTTATTGTCTGCTAGATTTTCGAAGGCACCAAGTTTCTTTTTTTTCCACTGATATGTGTGTGTACTTCCTTCATTAATACCATATGTTCTAATTACGTTGACATGTTATTATGACAAAATTGGTAGCATTAAAATGTGTCATGGGTAACTCCCTTTTTCATGACAATTTACCCTCAATATATTTCTGGAAATTCTCAAATGCTACTTTATCAGGTGGTATGTTCAGTTTCCTTAATCATTAGATTTTCTGCCATGGAGCTGCCAACCTCCTCTTCATGGTTTACCACTAAAATTCCCATTGTTTTCAAGAACACTATTAGTCTAGACATTCCTCACACTCTGTTCCAAGATAATAGTCAGTTTCTTTGGGAGGACTTTGGAGCCCTCTGTTCTTATAGCTTAGGTTTCACCATTGGAAAATCAGTGAGCTTTTTCTATGGAGCTTTTTTTGGAAATAGTGGCCCACTTCTCTCAGGGTGGCAGCCTTGTTTTACCAACATGGTTCTGGGCATAAGCAGTAGCCTCTGATGTTGTTGGCATGCATTCCCTAACTTGAAAACTCTACCCTACTAATTAGCTGTGCCAGGGGGTATGGGGTCACAATATTCTTTACCTCCAATGCCTGGGGTACACCCTCTACAATACAAGTGGTGTTGGGTGGAAGAATGGAGCCTCATACCTCTTGGTCACACACACCTGCAATACAACCTCTACAACATCACCTGGGAGGGAGGTTAGGTGATGCCTGCAGCCTTTTCTTCTTAGAGAGACATCATAATCTTTGACAGGGAGGTGGGAGAAAAGGGATTTTCCCTGTTCTTGGCTATACATGCCCCAAGTGCAGCTTCCCTCATGCTGAGCTGGGAGGTAGAAAGTACATAGTGGGTTATGGCTCAAATGGCACGGGCACTCTGTGTTCTTTCAAGGTTTAGTAGAGTTTTAAAAATAAATGTATGCATGTAGAACAATTCCCAGATGGTTGTTTGGTTAAAGAGTATCTCCACAGAGCTCCTCACACTGCTATTGCAGAGCAGAAGTCACTGGGTTACTTGATTATTAGTATTGTCTACTGGAAATTCGGTAAGAGAGTAGATTTTATGTGGTCTTCCCAAAACAAGAAAACTATGTGGGATGATGAATATGTTAATTGGCTTGACTATAGTAATTAACTATGTATATGTATATCAAAACATCATGTTGTATACCTTAAATGTGTACAATAAAAATAAAATCTTAAAAAATTTTTTAAATAACTTTCACCAGCTGTGATTGTTGGTTTAGAGTAATTCATGGAGCTCTCCACACATCTATTCCCTAACAAGAGTCACCCAGTCATTCACTTCTTAATTACAAAGAAGTCAGTCTTGGCTCAGTTAAAATTAAATGGATCACAAAACCATTAGGGAACCTATAAACCCAAGTTATAAGAAAAGGCAAAAGCAAGCAAGGCTATGAATGCAGAATCACAGTCAAAATCAGCCAGATACTGGCCTTAGTGGAGCTCACTGGTGATACCTGAAAGCAGGTGGAGGTTACATGTCTCACAGCCAATGTCTCTACCATCATTTCCATTTCTCTTCTGAAAAGTCAAATACAGCTGCCATTGCTATAAATGTCCCAGGAATAAATGTTCACATCCTATTATCATTAGCTCCCAAGTCCAGTTTAGAGTTTGTGCATCATATGACATTAACCCAGCATGTGCTCATATGAGGTTGTCTCTCAGTGGAGGCAGAGAAAACAAGCATCCAGATTTTCCCGCTCTGTTATAAAAAGTGGCACAGCCTCTGGCTTCCAGGGCTTATATGGTAGTTAATTTCCCCAAAATAGGAATGAAATTATTACACTTAGAAGCCAAGAATGAAACTTGTTTACAATAGCCACCTTCATTACATCTTGGGTCCCAGGGAAAGAAAAACTTTGTGTTTTCCTTCCACAGATTTTGTTGTAGCCCCATCTGTGCTACCAACCTGATATAGGATTTTGGACAGTCTCTGTCCATTTCTAAAGCTGAAATTACCTTCTGGGGGAAAAAAAAACAACAGAAAAATAAGGGATTTGAGATTCGTGGGGCCCTCTGAGCAATCCTGACTGTGTTACTTCTTGATTGTACGGAGACTGATGGCCCCATTCGGGCAACCTTGGCTTCTTTGTTGGGGAGAAATGAAAAAAAGGAAACAAAGATAAAGGTTTCCATTTTTAAAAAAAATGTTAGAGATTACCCAGAAAAGGCAGCTGCGATGTTCAGTGTGACTTGTAAGTAGAGAAGTCAGAAAGTGTGGTTTTAGGCACAACTCAACTGACACCACCCTCCTCCACTGAAGACCTAGAGACCTCAGCACTACAAAGTTTTTCTGTGATAAGGAGCCCAGATAGCGTCTCTCCAGGCTCTGGGTACATTTCAGGGGTAGAGCAGTGAGCATCACTGATGACCTCAGGCACACTGGAGCCACTTGCAGACTCTGTTCTAGCCAGCCATGTGTATCTGACCCCAGGATTGCAGAGTGCCTAGGGGCCAGATAGGCTCCAGGTTCTTTCCAGCTTGTAACAGATGCCCTGAGCCACAACCTCCCATTGAATTTAGAATGAAATCCCTGCTGACATATCCTAGAAAACTGCCCTCCTCATACAGATGGGAAAATTATTTTGGAGTCCAGAACAGAGCTTGGAATTGAAAAGATCTGTGATGATTTCAAATCATTTTTCTTTCCACAGGTTGTCAACCAAGACAGGAGGATACAGAGGTCTTTCACAAAAGATATTCACCGATCAGCTTAGGTTGTCCCTGGTTGAAAGAGTTACAGTAAGAATGCCAGACCAATAAGACAATCCAAGCCCCAATGGGGAAAATTAAAGTAAATGTATTAATTGCAGCATTGTTTGTAACTGCAAAGTATTGAAAACAGCCCACACGCCTATACAGTGGAGAGTCATTGAGTAAATGGTGTTAATAGTACATCTATACAACAAAGTATTATGCAGCTGTTCAGAGGAATGGTGAAGATGGCTATAAACTGAGGTATGATTTCTAGATACATTATAAAGTGAAAGTGTCTTTAATAAATAAAGCAAAAGAAGAAAATATTCATTTTTCTACTCAATGCAGGAAAAAAGAAACACACAAAGGAAAAAACCAAGAGACCATGAGAGTGATCACCTACAGGGTGTTGTCAGGAATGGTGTAGAAAGTAGAGAGAGAATGGAGATGGATACCTGATTCTTCTCTGAATATACCTTTATGCATAGACCTGACTCTGGAACCATGTTGGAAGTTTCACATACCCAAACAAATAATTAAGTGAATACATTCCATGGATCAGGGGAAAATTTATAATTGAGCACAAACTGTTTATATGTTTTTAAAAACGAAAACAAACAGAAGGTTGGAGACAGAGAAAGGCAGCCAAATAGAAGCCTCCATGGATCATCCCCCCTATAGGAACACCAAATATAACAACTACTTACACAAAAAGAATACCTTCATAAAAAACAGAAAATCAGGTGAGTAATCTCAATACCTGGATCTAACTTCATATCGCTGAAAGAGACACTGTAGAGGATATGAAAGAGTCTTGAATTGCTGACGCCAACCCCCTCCTCATCCCCCGGCAGAGGCTGCATGGCACAGAGAGAAAATACGTGCACTGGGAGAGGGAGAGCTCAGTGCTTGTGGGACTCTGCATTGGAACTCAGTGCTGTCAACACCAGAAATAACTCAGCCGATGCCCACGGAGGGCGCATTTAGATGACCCTTAGCCAGAGGACAATCACCCATTCCAGCAGTTGGAACTTGAGTTTTGGCAAGCCTCGCCACTGCAGGCTAAAGTGCTATGGGCTACTAAATAAACTTGAAAGGCCGTCTAGGCCACAAGGACTACAACTCCTGGACAAATCCTAGTGCTGTGCTGGGCTCAGAGGCCAGTGGACATGGGGTGCATGCGACCTAGTGAGGCACCAGCCTGGGCAGCTGAAGGAGTGCTTGCATCACCCTCCCTCAACCCCAGGCAGTGCAGCACACAGCTCTGAAAGAGATCCCTTTCTTCTGCTTGACAAGAGGAGAGGGACGAGTTAAGAGGACTTTGTCTTGCAACTTGGGTGCCAGCTCAGCCACAGTAGTATAGGGCACCAGGCAGAACTGTGAGGCCCCTGTGGCAGGCCCTAGCTCCTGTATGATATACAAAATCAATGTACAAAAGTAAGTAGCATTTCTGTACGCCAACAATGTCCAACCTGAGTGCCAAACTAAGAATGCAATCCCATTCACAATTGCCACAAAAATAAAATAAAATACCTAGGAATACAACTAACCAGAAAGGTAAAACATCTCTACTACAATTATGACAAAACACTGCTGAACGAAATCAGAGTTTACACAAACAGATGGAAAAACATTTCATACTCATGGAAAGAAAGAATCAATATTGTTAAAATGGCCATAATGCCCAAAGCAATTTACAGATTCAATGCTATTTCTATGAAACTACTGTGATGGTTAATACATAGTGTCAACTTGATTGGATTGAAGGATGCAAAGTATTGATCCTGGGTGTGTCTTTGAGGGTGTTGCCAAAGGAGATTAACATTTGATTAACATTTGAGTCAGTGGGCTAGGAAAGGCAGACCCACCCTTAATCTGGGTGGGCACCAACTAATCAGCTGCCTGTGTGGCTGTAATATAAAGCAGGCAGAAAAATGTGAAAAGACTAGACTGGCCTAGTCTCCCAGCCTACATCTTTCTCCCATGCTGGATGCTTCCTGCCTTTGAACATCAGACTCCAAGTTCTTTAGTTTTGGGACTTGGACTGGCTCTCCTTGCTCCTTAGCTCGCAGATGGCCTATTGTGGGACCTTGCAATCATGTGAGTTACTCCATATATATATATATATACATACCTCCTATTAGGTATGTCCCTCTAGAGAACCCTGACTAATACAGATTTTGGTACCAAGAGTGGTTCTAGAGGAACAGAATATTAAAAATGGAGTTCTTTCATTGGTTTGGGGTTTCTGGAGTTTGCTGCTTAATATGATTAGAACAAAAAATTCTAAGGACTCTAGTTCTAATAGTAGTATGGAGAACACTGATAGTCCTTGGCATTAACTGTTTAGAGAGTTATGCAAAATAAGCACATTTGACACTCCTGATTCACTGCTTGTGAGAGGCAAGGAGTTTAGTGACTCTATACATAATACCTTTGACCATATGTGGAGAACCAAGGAACATAATGAAGCTGGTTGGTTGCTCCTAAGTTCAGTGGACGAAGTGATGAAAGAAAATGATGAACTCAGGGATTCTATCTCCCAGCTTCAGAAGCAGATACTGAGTCTCAAATCTGCTAAGATTGCCCTGACTGAGAGTCTTATCTCCTTTAGAGAAAGAGCTGAAATTGTGGAAAAACAGACACAAGCTCTTATCATGTGAGTGGCTGACCTGCAACAAAAGGTGCATGCACAGCCTCGCCAGGTGTCATTGATTGGAAAAGAATGGGACCCTGCAACTTGGAATGGGGACATGTGGGAGGACCCTGATGAAGCTGAGGACACTGAGTTTGTAAACTCTGATGAACCTTTTTTTGCCAGAAGAAACAGCTTCCTCATCCCCAGTAGTGGCAACATCACCTCGCTGACCTGTGCTGCCATCAGCCTTTCCACCTTTGTCTGGGGAGATAAACCCTGTGCTGCCTGAGACAACAGTGATGGCCTCCCCTGAGGCAGTTGCCAGGCAAGATAATGTTGATTCTCCTCAGGAGCCACCCCCAACACCCCTGTTTGCTTCTAGAACTATAAGTAGACTAAAGTCCCAGCAGGCCCCTAGAGGTGAGGTTGAGAGTGTGACCCATGAGGAGATGCACTACACTCAAAAAGAATTGCTTGAGTTTTCTCATTTATATAAGCAGAAATCTGGAGAACAGGCATGGACATGGATATTAGGGGTGTGGGATAATGGTGGAAGGAACATAGAGTTGGATCAGGCTGAATTTCTTTATTTAGGCCCACTAAGTAGGGACTCTGCATTTAATGTTGCAGCTCAGGGAGTTTTAAAAGGTTCTAATAGTTTATTTGCTTGTTTAGCTGAAATATGGATTAAAAGATGGCCCACTGTGAATGAGCTGGAAATGCCTGATCTCCCTTGGCTTAATGTAGAGGAAGGGATCCAAAGGCTTAGGGAGATTGGGATGCTGGAGCGAATTAGTCACTTTAGACCTACTCATCCCAGCTGGGAGGGTCCAGAAGATACACCCTTGACCAATGCCTTGTGAAATCGATTTGTGAGGTCAGCACCCTCATCTTTGAAGAGCCCTGTATTTGCTCTTTTCTGTATGTCAGATCTAACAGTGGGAACCGCAGTCACTTAACTACAAAACTTAAATACAATGGGAATAACTGAAGCCCGAGGTGGCAGGAGCCAAGTGGCAGCACTCAACTGTCAAAGGCAAGGTGGGTGTAGCTACCATAATGGAAAGCAGAGGCAAAGCAGCAATCAGTCTGACTCATGTAGAGCTCTGGCACTGGCTAATTAATCCTAGTGTTCCTAAAAAGTGAAATTGATAGGAGGCCTACTGCATTCCTATTTAATTTATACAAGCATAAAACTTCTAGGTCGAATGGACAAAAGACTAATTTGAATTATAAAAGCAGAGAATCATGGCCCCTCAATCAATTTCCAGACTTGAACCAGTTTACAGACCCAGAACCCCTTGAATGAAGGGGAGGCCAGGGCCCCTTGAGGAAAGACCCCACTACCCTATGACCAATTTATGCAGTGAATCTTTTTCCCATCCTTTCCCAAGGAGACCTCTGGCTTTTTACCAGGGGAACTGTGTACTGGGGAAAGGGAAATGATCAGACATTTCAGGGACTACTGGACACTGGCTCTGAGCTGACGTTGATTCCAGGGGACCCAAAACATCATTGTGGTCCTCCAGGACCAAAAGTAAGGGCTTATGGAGATCAGGTAATTAACGGAGTTTTGGCTCAGGTCCAACTTATAGTGGGTCCAGTGGGCCCCTGGACTCATCCTGTGGTCATTTCCCCAGTGCCAGAATGCGTAATTGGCATAGCCATACTTAACAGCTGGCAGAACCCCCACATTGGCTCCCTGACTGGTAGGGTGAGGGCTATTATGGTGGGAAAGGCCAGTGGAAGCCATTAGAGCTACCTCTACCTAGGAAAATGGTAAATCAAAAACAATACCACATCCCTGGAGGGATTACCGAGATTAGCGCCACTTTCAAGGACTTGAAAGACCCAAGAGTGGTGATTCCCTCTACGTCCCCGATCAACTCTCCCACTTGGCCTGGGCAGAACACAGATGGATCTTAAAGACTGACAGTGGATTATCATAAGCTTAACCAAGTGGTGACGCCAATTGCAGCTGCTGTACCAGATATGGTTTCATTGCTTGAGCAAATTAACACATTTCCTGGTACCTGGTGTACAGCCATTGACTTGGCAAATGCCTTTTCCTCCATTCCTGTCCATAAGGCCCACCAGAAGCAATTTGCCTTCAGCTGGCAAGGCCAGCAATATACCTTTACTGTCCTACCTCAAAGATATATCAACTTTCCAGCTTTGTGTCATAAAACAGCAAAAAGACACACAGCTAGGAGGTAACCACAGATTGCACTAGAAAGAGAGGAAAGGATGATGATGATGATGTTGATGATAGACAGATGATAGATAGATAGATAGATAGATAGATAGATAGATAGATAGACAGATAGATAGATAGATAGAACACCTGCTTCAGAGAGCTTTTTCCTCAGTATTTCTCTACCTTCCACATCAGGTACCAATTTTCCTGTGTGCACTCATAACCCATTTCTCACCATTACTGATAGCTATGTTCTCAGCCACCAAGTGAGTAGGTACATCACACACTTTTACAGGAGTGCAGAGAGGCAGAACGGTTATTTAGCCTAGGGGTCACATTACAAAATAACCTAGTTAGACTTTTAATTTTATCAACAAATAAAGTTTTTGCAGAGTCATGGCAACATAAAGACAGGAGTTAAAGGAGCAAACACTAATAACGCAACTGAAACTTATTTCTCTGTAGTTCATAATGCATTTATATTTTCTATGAATCTAGAAATTATCTTACTGATAGCACAATATCTAGCTTTGTGTGTGTTTCAACTTCGATGTGGTACCCCAAACGCACCCATATGTGAACACCGCTGGGAGGGGTGGGTTTCAATTGTTCTGGATACACACTGGGACGAGGGGAGTTGGTCAGACCTGATACAAGCCTGGGGAAAGACAATGCCCTCCTATTGCCTCAAAAGCCGCTGGATAAAGTCAGAATAAGGAAGAGCCAGGGCAGCCCTGCAACACCCTGAAGAAAGGCAGTCCACGAGGGCTCTCATAAATTATACCGCACAAATGGTTTCACGTTATCTCTTCCTGGAGGTGAAAGGAAACAGCTGATGGTTCCGGGTCAAGTTGAGGCACCTCTGACCTCCAGCCCCCAGAGCCACAGCGCCGCCTGCTGGTGGAGCCCCGCCAGAACTGACATAGACTCGTCCAGCCTCCAGGTGCACCCACGCCCTTTTCTTGCACCAAGAAGCTGAGCAGCCTCTCTCTACTCTCTGTGACCGTCCTCTTTGGCCTCCGCATGGTTCAGCCTGGAATCCTGAAGAGTGTGAGTGAGTAAGGCGTGACAATCCTGGGTGTGGGTGGGGTTAGGGAACATTTCCTCTGAGGAATCCGTGGAACGAGCTGGCCCTGATACCTGGAAGTGACTTATGGTTGCCCTCGACTCACCCTGTGGCATCTTTCTCCAGCTGCACCGAAACCTGGATATTGCCCAGAGTTTACTCTATCCTGCCCTTTCACCCTCTTACCTGTGTGCTGCACTATAAAGCCTGCCTGGGGATCGAGAAGTATTGCTTCTTCAACTGTCAACATCAGTGTACAGAGCTTTGGTGGACTTTGGATTGAGGTAAGGAGCCCCAGATCTGCCCTTCTCGGCTGCGCCTGAAACCTTCCTGCAGAAGCATTCATCTTAGAAGGAGTTGATAACTGCCCATGCCCCTGGAAATCATTGAGATCAGATCTTTCAAGTTGGGTTGGCCCACAGATCTGCCTCGGAACAGTGAAGCGGGTGGCTCAATAGACCTCCTTGCTCAGGATATGCACTGTCCATTTCACATAAGGGGCATCACCCTTCTCTTCTGTATGAAGGGGACATTTGGACAAGATAATCTCTAAGTTGCTCAAGGGTTATTGAATTTTTATTGTTATTATTTTAGTTTTTCACGATACCTTTCACAGCACCTTTCTCTTCATATTTAAATTGTAAGGTCAGGGATTATAAATTCATTATTCCTTAGGATGGCTTGCCTAGAGTCCCTGATCCCCAGTCCCTGATTCTGGGGCAGCATATCTCAGTTTTCTGTGAAGGAGAGTACTTAGCAGGATTTCTGCCACAGTGCCCCAGGACACAAATTCATGTCTCCTGCAATGCCATGTCACCTGGCATTGACAAAGTACCAGCCAGGCTGAACCTTCCCTGAACCTTTTCACCTTCCTACATCCCTGATTCTCTCTTCTCTCTCGAGGTGGAAACTCCTTAGCCAAGCCTGAGGAGACGCTGGTGCTACAGGCTCTGATTTGGATAACTGGTCTCCAATTTGTCCATGATCTTCCCAGGCCCAAGATGTCATTTCAGAGTTAAATGCTTGTTAATATGACAAGAAGACAAAGAGATAAAGCATTGTATATTTAAAACCACAGAAAAATCTGTAAGACTGCTGGATCTCCTCTCTCTCTCCCTGTCTCTCTCTCCATCCTTTATGGCTTTTCCCTTAGGATCTGAAAAAAGGATATGATTAATATTTCACATTTAGTTAAGGACCACAAAGGTAGTAGAAGTCTGGACAAGTCTTCCAAAATTTTATTTGTAACTATTATAAACAAATTTTGAAAAGCCAATTATTCCCTAGCATGCTTTAAGTTGACATCTAACATTTTTATCATAATTGCATAATAGTTACAAAGAATAAACTTTTAAGAATATGATGAATATTGTCCTTTCATTTAAAAAGCAACCTTAATCTTTTTAATGTTTCTAACGGAATTTAATCATCTTGACTTGATAGTAATAACTATTAAGGAAAAAAAAAGCATGTTCTTTTCTCCCATCTTCTTCCTCTTCTTCTCCCTTTTTTCAACATTTCCTGAACTATTCAAACCAAAACTATAGGTGAGTAGGTTTGTTTAGGACTCACTCTGAAAAGCAGATACCTAGACAGGATTAGGTAATCAAGAGTGTGTGTCAGGGAAAATGCCTGTGAGGGACAAAGGGAGGTAGCCAAAGTGGCAAGGAGAGCATGAGACCATGATGCAGGGCTGCCTGCTCTGAGGGAGGAGAGAAGGAAGGAGGAAGAGTCTCAGAATGAATTACAACATTGGTAAAGTGCCAGTCAGGCTGAAAGACAACGCTTGAACTGAAGTCACCTATCAGAAGAGGCCCAGGTCTCAGAATGAGCCTGCCTTAGTGTTCGGGCCTCACTCAGTCATTGGCTGGGAGTAACCTGATGGAAGCATCCATGACTTCTGCACAGACATAGTGGCAGATGCAGAGGACAGTAGCTGGGGGCATCCATCAGTTGCACACCCTGAAGCAGCAGGAGATCTAAGCAGTGCATTTCCATGCTCACCACTGTCCTCTACCTTGTGTTGCAGTTACTTCTCCAGGTATGGTGATGAAGGCTAGTTATCCCAGCTACTTGGGAGGCTGACGTGGGAGGATGGCTTGAGCCTGGAAGTCAGAGGTTGCAGTAAGGGGAGACCGCACCTCTGCATTCCAACCTGGGCGACAGAGCTAGACCCTGTCGCAAAAAAAAAAAAAAAAGAAAGAAAGAAAGAAAAAAAGAAAAAAGAAAGCTGGTTAATGTCAACTTGTTGAGTTTTTCATCTTGGCTGTCAGGGTCTAATCTATCATAGATGCTTCCCAGCAGGTGTTAATATGTAATACACAAGTCTTCACAGTAAATGTCTCCTCACATTTTGGTCCTCTTTCCCTACCACAGACATCCTTGCTACTGATTTTCTAGTCCTTTGCCTTCCAAGCTCCTTTTTAAAAAATTGGGTTTTAATATTATTTAGGTATTTAATATTATTTAGGTATGACAAAGCGAACATATCAGGAGATTACTGCCTTTTAAAAGAGAGTTTGTTATACTCACATATCTCAAAGGAGAGCCACACCTTGCCATGGGAAGGGTAGGGCAGGGGGGCACATAGAAAGCACCTTTTTCAGTCAAGAGATAGAGGGAGTGAGGGAGAAATGTGGGCAAACCTTTTCTGTGGTTCCTGCAAGAAGGAGCAGGTGAGGCAGGGTAAGTGTCTCAAGATTGGCCAGTTTGAATAATTTCAGTGATCTCTGAGGCAAAAGTACTGTCCCTAGCTGTCTCTGAGCCAGTACCATGATGTTCCCTATGGCCCCAAACCCTAGTAGACCCAGGGTCCAGCCTATCTCAGTAGACCGCAGCACTAGACTGGCCCCCAGAGACTCAGGCTCCAGGCTAGCCCCTATGGCCAGGACCCAGGACAACCCTTGTGAACCTAGCCTCCAGGCCAGCACCCACACACCCAGCCCCCAAGGTCAGCCCCAGTAAACTCAGGCTCCAGGCAGGTCCCCACAGACCCGGGCTCTAAGCCAGCACACACGTCTCCAGGAAACTGGCCAGCATCTGCAATGCCAGGATCCAGACAAGCCCCTGCAGACCCAGGAACTACAACTGCCACAACATGAGGCCAAACCCAGACTCTAGACCAGACTCTGTGTTCTCAGAGTCCAGAAGACAAAGGGTCCAGGATTGCCCTAACAGACCCAGGATCCAGGCCCATCCCAGTAGACCCAAATACCAGGCCAGTTCCCCATGCACTGAGGATCCAGTACCATCCCTGAAGACCCATGCTCAAGGTCAGACACCATGGACCCAGGACCCAGGCCCGGCCCCTTGGACTAAGGCTACAGGCCTGCTCCAGTAGACCCACGTTTCAGGCTCATCTCAGTACTTGGCCAGCCCTTTCAGACTCAGGCTCAAGGGCCACCCCAAGAGCAAGCCAGCCCCCATGGACCCAGGCTTCAGGCTAGCTCCTGTGAATACAGATTCCAGGCCCAACCCCACCCAGGTAACACGTCCACCCACCTGCTGACCCAGGCACCAGGCTAGGCTGCCCAAGCACTCAAACCTGCCCAAAGACCACACTCAATGGTCTCCCCAGAATCTCTGGACAGATTGACTGGGGAAGGGCTCTCCCAGACAAAGTCAGTCTGAAAAGCCTGGAATAAGTCCCTACTTCTTCAAATGCACAGATAGTAACATAAGGGAACAAGAAATATGAAAAATTAAAGAGATATAATGCCACCAAAAGAACACAATAATCTCCTAATAACTGACCTCAAAGAAGTGGAGAAATATAATACTGTCTGACAAGGGATTCAAACTAATTATTCTTAGGAAGCTTGATGAACTTCAAAAAATAATACTAATACAGAGAAATAATTCATGAAATCAGAAAAAGTAAATAAGAAATTTAATAGAGAGAGTAAAGCCATTTTTTAAAAGATCAAACAGACATTCTGCAGCTGAAAAATGCAATGAATGAAATTAAAAATTCAATAAAGAGCATCAGCAGCAGAATTGATCAAGCAGAAGAAAAAACCTGTAAACTCAAAGAAAAGTTATTTTAGAATATACACTCAAATGAGAAAAAAGAAAAAAAATGAAGAGTAGTGAAGAAAGATTATGAAATATCTAGGACAGCATCAAAAGAGCAAATATTCGAGTTATGGGATTTTAAGAAGAAGAGACAAAAAGGGGTAGAAAGCTTATTTAAATAAATAATAGCAGAAAACTTTCCAAATCTGGGAAAGGACATAAATATATAGGTATAGGAAGGTCAAAAGCTTTCAATAAAATTTAAACCAAACAACACTACAACAAGATAGATTACAATCAGTCTGTCAAAAATCAAAAGCAGAGAGAGGATCCTAAAAGCAGCAAGCAAAAGCACTTCACATAAGGGAATTCCAATAAGGCTAACAGTGAACTTTGCAGCAGAAACTTTAAAGACCAGGAAAGTGGAATGATATATTCACAGTGCTGAAGGAAAAAAAGTAACTGTCCTTCAGGAATGAAAGAGAAACTAAAATTGTCCAGACAAACAAAAGCTGGAGGACTTTATTGTCAAGAGACTAGTATTACAAAAAATGCTAAAGGAAGTTCATCAAGCAGAAAGAAAAAGATTTTAATAAGTAAGATGAAAACATACGAAAGTATAAAACTCACTAATAAAAGTAAGTACATAGTCAAATTCAGAATACTCTAATACTATAATGGTGGCGTGTAAATCAAATATTTTTAGTATTAAGGGTAAAACACAAAACTATTAAAAATAATAAAAGCTACAATAACTTGTCAAAGAGCACACAATATAAAAAGATGTAAGTTGTAACATTAAAAATTTTTAATGTGGGAGCCAGGGACAGTAGCTCATGCCTATAATCCCAGCTACTCAGGAGACTGAAGCAGGAAAATCACTTGAGCCCAGGACTTTGAGACAAGCCTGGGCAATGTAGCAAGACCCCATCTTTTAAAAAGCTGGGACAGGGTGGAATCAAAGTGTAGAGTTTTCATATGATCAAAGTTAAGTTATCGGTTTGAAGAAGACACAGTAAATACAAATATTATTTTATGTTTATGGATTAAAGAATTTATATTGTTAAAATGTCCATACTACTCAAAGCAATCTACAGATTCAATGAAATGCCTATCAAAATTCCAAGGATATTTTCATAGAACTAGAAATAAAAGGCCCTAAAATTTACAGGGAACCACAAAAGACCTTTCGTTAAAGACTGCTTTAACAAAGCAATCTTGAGCAAAAGTGACAATTTTTTTTGTCAGGAGGCATCACACTACCTGATTTCAAAATACACTACAAAGCCATAGTAATCAAAATAAGATGGTACTGGCATAAAAATAGACACATAGGCCAATAGAACAAACAAAATAGACATCCCAGAAATAAATCCATGCATTTACAGTCAACTGAGTTTTGACAAAGATGCCAAAAATACACAATGGGGAAGAGACAGTCTCTTCAGTAATAATGTTGGCAAAGCTGGATATCCATATGCAGAAGACTAAAATTGGACCCTTATCACACACCACATGTAAAAATCAACAAAGTGGGTTAAAGACTTAAAGACTTGAAACTGTAAAGCTACTAGAAAAAAATATAGTGGGAAAGGTCCACAGCATTGGTCTGGGCAATTATATTTTGGATATGGCCCCAAAAATATAGGCAATAAGAGCAAAAATAGACAAATGAAATTACATCAAACTAACAAGCTTCTGCACAAAAAAGGAAACAACAGATTGAAGAGACAACTTATGAAGTGGGAGAAATTATTTGCAAACCATGCATCTGATAGGGGATTAATATCTAAAATATATAAGAAACTCAGACAACTCAATAGAAAAAATATAACCCAATTAAGGAGTGAATAAAGAATCTGAATAGATATTTTCAATAGAATACATACAAATAACCCATAAGTATATTTGAAAACGATCAACATCACTGATCATCAGAAAATGCAAACAAACCACAATGATATTGTTTGATACCTGTTAGAATGGCTACTATATAAAAGACAAAAGATAAATGCTGGCAAGGATGTGGAGAAAAGGGGAGCCTTTGCACACTACTGGTGGGAATGTAAATTTTTACAGTCATTATGGAAAATACTATGGAAGTTCTTCAAATAATTAAAAATAGAACTAAAATATAATCCAGCAATCCCACTACTAGTTACATATCCAAAGGAATTAAAATCAGTATTTTGAAGAGATATCTGCACTTCCATGTTCATTGCAGTATTTTTCACAATAGCTAAAATATGGAATCAACATAAGCATGCAAAAATGGATGAATAGATCAAGAGAATGTATATATACACAATGAAATACTCTTTAGCCTTAAAAAAAGAACAAAACTTTGTCATATGTTACAAATGGATGAACCTGGATGGCATTATGTTAAATGAAATAAGCTAGGCACAGAAAGACACATTCTGCATGATCTCACTTATATGTGGAATCTAAAAAGTTGAACTCATAAAAGAAGAGAATAGATTGTGATTAGCAGGGGCTGGGGGGAAGGGGAGTGTGGGGAGATGTTGGTCAAAGAATACAAAATTTCAGTTAGATAGGAAGAATAAATTCAAGATATCAATTGTACAGCATGATGAATATGGTTAATAACAATATTGTGTACTTTTGAAAACTGCTAAGATAGTAGATTTTAAGTATTCTCATTATGATGGTAAAACTTGAGTTGGGGCTATTAGAGGACAAGAATGTATCAGTGTTAATTTCCTGATGTTCATGGTTGTATTGTGGTCACAACAGAGGATATCTTTGAGGGAAATACACATTAAGGTATCAGGAGTGATGGAAAATAATTTTGACAATTTTCTCTCGACTAAAGAAAATCACAGATACATACGTCATTACAAACTGTGGCAAATTTGAGTACAAATATAAATAAACTATGCATAAAACTATCTGCTCTGAGAAAAATTAAAAGGGAGGGTGAAAAAGACTTCTTTGATGTAGCATCATGGAAGCTGAGACTTGAAGAATATGAAAAACTTAGCCAAGTTGTGGTCAAAGAGCAAGAGGTGAAGAAGAAGACATGTTCCAGCAAAGGGACCTGTATTTACAGAAGCCTTGAGATGGAATAGAATATGATAAAGTCAAACAGCAAACACTCAAGAACTAATATGTGTTTTATGTGATCATTCTGGAGAATGTGTGGTTTGTCAGTGGGAAGACGAGTTATCAAGTTATTTCTGTGACCCAGATAAGAAATACTGCAATAGCTTGGATTAGGACAGAGAGTCCCAACCTTGGCACTATTGACATTGGGGATGGACAATTTTTTTGTTGTGGGAGGCTGTCTGGTACGTTCTGGGATGTTTACCAACATCCTTGATCACTCCCATGTTTACTGCAGTATTATTCACAATGGCCAGGAGGTGGAAACAAACTAAAAGTTTATTGACAGGTGAATGCGGTAAAGAAAATGTGGTATTTACATATCATGGAATTTGAATAGCCAAAAAAGAGGGAAATCTTTTCATTATGCTACAACGTGGATGAACCTTGAAGACACTATGCTAAGCAAAATAAGCCAGTCACAGAAGGACAACTATTTCACAGTTCCACTTTTATAATCTTACGTGAGTTGTCTAAAGTAGTCAAACTTATTTAAGCAAAAAGTATGATGGTGGTTTCCAAGGGTTTCAGGAAGGGGGAAATGGGGGATTGTTGTTCAGTGGGTAAAGTTTCAGTTATGCAAGATGAAAAAGTTCTAGAGATCTGCTGTACAACATAGTGCCTAGAGTTAATATGGTACTACACACTTAAAAAGGTGTTACGAGGGTAGATCTCATGCTAAGTGTTCTTACCACAAGAAAATAATTTTTTTAAATCCAAATTTAAATTTTTCAGAAATTTAAGAAAATTATATAATACACAATTTAGAATACAAATGTAAGAACATTAATAATACATCAGAATGTTATTTAGAAACATGGAGATAAATATTAGAAACAGCTAGAAGAGCTAAAAGTGTTTACCTCTGGTATCAGGACCTCTGGGTATCAGGAATCAAGGTAAATAGGAGCAATGTAGGAGATTCCCATTGTAAACCTGGTTTTACACTTTACATTTTATACTGTGTACATATATTATTGTGATAATACTTTAAATAGAATTTCATATCTTTAAAACTAGGGAAAAAGTAGCTAAAGAATAGGCATAACTTCTTCCTGGTTGATCTTCCTTTAAGGAAGCATTTGCACCTTTGTCTGGCTCAGTGGAAGGTGGAGAAGGGGTTCAGATGATCATTTCCTGATTTTTAGGCATTAAATATTTTGGGATCCCACAATTTCTAACAAGGGCATTAATTCAGCTTATACTATTCAGTCAGGCACACTGTCAAGGCAAAGATTACTGTGATGTCACCTCTCATTAATATAAAGATATACACACACACAGACACACACACACACACACACACCCACGAGTCTCTCCTGCTGAAGCAAGTGCTTTAACAAGCAGAATATGTTCATACATGGTAGATAAATAAGGAATTAAATCACTAACATGTAAAATTGGGTTAATACAGTTTTTCATAAGGTGACTATGCCTTGTCCTGTCATATAAAACAAATCGAATGCAAAAATATTGAACATGGTATCTCTTGAGTGACACACAAAATAACAAACACTTCATCTCCTCCCTCTTATCTCAGTTTACCTATAGTCATTGCCCTACCAAGTGCGTGATGTGCTGTTATCCTGAGTTCTATCCTCTTCTTGATAGAAGTATTTAATACTGTGTTCAATGTCCTGGAAACAAGAATCTGAAACATGATTTTAAAAGAAATGCCTGAAGGCCAGGCATTGTGGCTCATGCCTGTATTCCCAGCACTTTGGGAGGCTGACGGGGGTGGATCACCTGAGATCAGGAGTTTGAGAGCAGACTAGCCAAGATGGTGAAACCCCATCTCTACTAAAAATACAAAAGTTAGCCAGCTTGTAGCCCCAGCTACTTGGGAGCTTGAGGCAGGAGAATCTCTTGAACCCAGGAAGCAGAGGTTGCAGTGAGCAGAGATTGCACCACTGCACTCCAGCCTGGGTGACAAAGGGAGACTCCATCTAAAAAAATAAATTAATAAAAATGTAAAAATAAATAAATAAAAGAAATGTCTTAAATACTGAGAAGTTTGAAATAATAAAATATTTTTGAATAAATGAGAGCATATGCTATTCACCACAGCAATAAGCTAAATGTTGCACTCCGTCAGAGATGAGACCGCTAGTGAGCCTAACACATCAGTTACTATCAGCTTCAAGTGATATTGATAAACAATTGTAGTGGATTAAAGGTCAAGTTTTTTTGTTTTGTTTTGTTTTTTGTTTTTTTGAGACAAAGTCTCGCTCTGTTGTCCAGGCTGGAGTGCAGTGGTGTGATCTCAGCTCGCTGCAACCTCTGCCTCCTGGATTCAAATGATTCTCATGCCTCAGCCTCCCAAGTAGCTGGGATTACAGGCATGTACTACCACACCCAGCTAATTTTTGTATTTTCAGTGGAGACAGTGTTTCACCATGTTGGCTGGCTTGTCTTGAACTCCTGACCTCAAGTGATCCGCCCGGCTTGGCCTCCCAAAGTTCTGGGAGTACAGGCGTGAGCCACCACGCCCAGCCAAAGATCAAGATTTTAATGTCAAGAGCATCAGCATAGAACTTTGCAGTTATCCAGTTTCATTTAGAGTTATACAGCTTCCTTACAAAAGGGAGGAACTGGCAAATCAACGAAGCGGATTGCTGTTTTAAGCCAGTACAGAAGTAAAAGATTGACGACAATGACCCTCCAGTATAACAACATTTAGTCCCAAGAATGATGATGTCCTTCATTCCACCTTTTGTACATACCTCAAAAGCCACAGTATTTCACCATACCCACTTACCAAGCAAACTCCCCATCTTTTGTCAAAGTAAAGTGCTACATTTACTACATAATTTCTTTATTAGGAACTGAAGATGTTTAACACTGTGGTCATGTTTTTATTGGGTGTGGGTTCTGTTTGTTTGATGTATTACTTATGAGACTGCACAAATATTGAATGTTCTACTTCAACTCTATTTTTTCCAGAAGCCCTATTATTTGTAGTGAGCAAAACTCTGTAACCTAATGATTTTCAGGAATATATATTCCACGTTTATGAGAAATATATCTTCCCTTTCATTCCCTGTCTTAGACTCCGCCATTTTGGTTCAAGGCTTTCCACTTTCTTGAAGCACATAAATAAATGATGCCCAAAAAAGACAATGAATGTGAAATCTGGTTAATGTAATTCACAAAATAACAGATTGAAGAGACAATCCATATATTTATTTCAATTGATGAAGAAAAGGCATTTGATAAAAATTCAACATCCTTTCATGAGAAAAACTCTTAGCTAACTAGAATTAAAAGGGAACTTTATTAACCTGATTCAGCAGAACATGGGATGAATTCCACAAGGTCACATGGCATGGGCTAAGGAATGCCTTTACTGGGTGAAACCAGTGAGCCAAGGATCAGCACTCCTAAGCATGGGATACTCCCAGCAGACACTCCCATCATTACTCGCTTCAGCCTACATTGAGGTGTTCTGAGGCCATGCACAGCTATTAGTCAGTGAGGCAGGACAGCAGCGTTTCTCAACATCAATACTATTGGCACTTGGAGACAGATCATTGTTTGTTGTGAAAAGCTGTCTTGTGCATTGTTAGATATTTAGCAGCAACCTCAGCCTCTAGACACTGGATGTGAGAAGCACATCTGTCCCAGTTGTGACAATCAAATATGTCTCCAGACATTGCCAAAGTCCCCTGGGGACAAAATAACCACCTTTTGAGAAGGTAGTTTACTACTACAAAACAGGAACATTGTCCCCTGCAATTTTACCTTCTTATAATATGAATATGAGAAGTTCCTTATGGGGCTTGCTTCCTAGACAGTCTAGGTTTCTAGGAAACCTAAATGTAAGCCTAAATGTATTTATATATATACATATATAAACATATTTTTGCTATGTATATATGTATATATATATGTAAACATATTTTTGCTATTGAGTTGCAGTTCTTTATATATTTTGAAAATTAACCCCTTATCTGGTAGGTAGTTTGCAAATATTTTTCCCATCTCACAGGTTGCCTTTATTACTAAATATTTTACATGTTATTGCTTTTAACGTATTACATTTTTCTAACCAATATTTCTAGTGTATAGAAAGCAGCTGACTTTTATATATTGATTTTTGTGTCAGCTAATCTTGAAAAATTGTCTAACTCATGATGTATCTGTAGTTTCTTTTGTGTTTTTATTATTGCATCATTTGCAAACAATGGCTTTTCTCGTCTCCCATTCTAATACTTATTTCTTTTCTTTTTCATTATATATATGTGTGTGTACATATGCATATATATATATATATACACACACATATAAATATAAAGACCCAATTAAAAGTGAATAAGACTTAAACAGACATTTCTCCAAAGAAGATATACAAATGGCCAACAGGTATGTGAAAAGATACTCAACATGTCTAATCATCAGGAAAATGAAAATCAAACCATAAGATCACCTCATACCTGTTAGGATGGCTTTTATTTTAAAAAGAAAAGAAAAAGAAAACAAGTACCGGTGAGAATGTGGAGAATTTGGAACCCTTGTGCACTGTCAGTGAGAATTTAAAGGAGTATAGCCACTACGGAAAACAGTATGGAAGTTCTTCAAAAAATTAAAAATAGAGCTATCACATGATCCAGCAATCCCCCTTCTGGGTATTTATCCAAAAGAATTTAAATCAGGATCCCAAAGAGATATTTGCACCTGCAAGTTCATTGCTGCAATATTCACAATAGCCAAGAAATGGAAACCTAAATGTGCATTGACCCATTGACAGATAAATGAGGGAAGGAAAAAGATTATATACATGTACATATATATGCATACCATGGAATATTATTCAGCCATAAAAAAGAAGAAAAGTCTATCTCATGCTACAACATGGGTGAACCTCAAGGACATTATGCTAAGCAAAATAAGCCAGTCACAAAAGGACAAATATGGCATAATTCCACTTTTATGAAGTGTCTAAAGTAGTCACTTATAGAAGCAGAAAACAGAATGGTGGTTCCAAGGGTCTGGGGGTGGGGGGAATAGGGAGTTGCTATTCAGTGGGTTTCAGTCATGCAAGATGAAAAAGTTCTAGAGACCTACTGTATGACACTGTGCCCACAATTAACAATACTGTTAGTATGCACTTAAAAATATGTTAAGAGGTCATGTCTTATAGTATATATTTCTTACCACAATTTTTTAAAAAAACACGGTGTTGAGCAAAGCATGCAAAATACAAAAGAATACTTAGGCCATAATTACGCTTACACGAAATTAAACAACACGTATCACTAAGCAAGCCATAGCAAGAGAGCAAAACTTTAAAGGAAAACATGAGGATGATTAACAGAAAGTTCAAGATAGTGGTTACCTCTGAAGTAGGGATGGTAATGTCCTATTCTAAATTGATAGGTTCATAGGTGTTTATTATTCTTTTTCAAAAGGTATAGAATGTTGATTACATTCTTTCATATGTAGGATTTATTTTACAATACTTTTTTTAAAGAAGTATCATCAACAGTCAATTACAAATGACATTTTGGGGAGAACCGGAGAAACAAATATGAACTGGCTATGAGATGACATGCAGAAACTATTAATTATCTTAGATATGATAATGGCTTTGTGATTATATTGAAGAATATCCTTATTCTTAGAATTTGCATGCTGATGTATTTAGGAAATAGGAACATAATGTATTCAATTTCATTTCAAATATTTCAACAAATGTAGCTATAGGTATTCTAAAATATCCCAAACTATTAATAATTGTTAAATCCAGTTGTAGGTATACAAGTATCATTGTTCTGTTATTTCAATTTTTCTGTATGTTTAAAAAGTTCATAATAAAAAGGTGGAGGAGGAAATAGCCAATACATTCCAACATTCTAGTATTTGTTTATGAACTTCCCAGATTCCATCCCTGGTATCCAAATGATCTGAGTCCAGTGATATGACTGGTGAGATTGTAACCAAAGATTCACCACCTAATAAGGAGTAGGCTCACTTCCAGGAATGGAGGTATCCTCCCTGCCTCCACTTAACCCCAACTCAGTCCCTTCCACACTTCAGGATGTGGAACACCCCAAACCCAAATCTTTGCATTACTCAGGGGTCCTGTTAGTAAATGACAGAAATCCAATTCAGACCAGCTTAGGCAGAAAGGTGAATGTATTGGGTGGTAACATAACCCTGGGTATGAGTGGGGCTGATCTCAGGAAAAAGTTTAGTGAAGGACTAGATATCCTCTAAATTACTCCCTGTCCATCTCTCATCTCTTTTTATCAGCATCTTAGATTTATCTTCTCAGAATTTCTCTCTCACCAGGGCCAGGACCAAATTTCTGGAGTTTCTGGGCTTATATCTGCAACTTTTCCAACAGGAAGGATTTTCCTCCCTTTAGTACTCATTCAAAGAAAGGACCCCAAAAGCCTGGTCACACACACACACACACACACACACACACACACACGCACACACGTCCATGTCTTCTTCCAAATCCAGGAATTTGGGGGATGCAGGGGCAGAGGAGGGAAAACAAATCCTATGAAGATGATACAGTATAATTATTATGCTCATTGTATGAATGAGGAAACGGAGGCTTAGAAAGGTGAAGCTGCTTTCAAAGTCACACAGCTGGTGACAGGTCCAAAATCTGCTTTCCTCCAGGCCACATGAGATTGGCGGGGGGCAGGAGCACACGGTGCTGGAGCGCAAGGCTGAGAGTGAATGTTCAGGACAGACATTTTAAGCACTGCCATTCAGATTCTTCCTTGGGGTGAGGTGAGAACTGAGAACAAGTCCGGGGCAGCACAGGAAGGAGGGAAGATTTTGGTCCCAGGTGAATCAGGCATGAAGAGGGACTGATAGAGAACACGGTGGAGTTGAGGAAGTCTGGCCCTGCCACTGCCTCGTGTGTGAACTTGAGTAATTTCATGCCCTTTCTGTGCTTCTTTTCCTCCTTCCATAAGATAGTTTGGCCCTGGTGGCGCCTAATGGTCAATCACGTGTCCATTTCTTCTCCTCGTGTGAAGAACGAGGGTCGCTCTTGGATTTCTTCATCTATTCCAGTGCAGAGCCTTAGGGAAAGCCCCAAGTCCCTCCTCAGAAGGGGCCATTTCCAAATAGAGCTGGGAAGTGCAGCCTCCCTTGCCATTTTGAGCCTTCAGCTCCACCCACTGGCATGCCCAGCAGGAACACTATAAAGCCAGGCTCAGCCCAGCTCCCAGCCAAGCACCTGCCTGGCAACATGGGGTCCAGCAGCTTCTTGGTCCTCATGGTGTCTCTCGTTCTTGTGACCCTGGTGGCTGTGGAAGGAGTTAAAGAGGGTGAGCAGACATGGTGGAGCTGGGTGGGGCTGGGCTGGGGAGAGGTCCTGAGGGGCCCTCTGGGGCTGGAGTTCTCATATCACCTTGTGGCTTCCTCCACTAGGTATAGAGAAAGCAGGGGTTTGCCCAGCTGACAACGTACGCTGCTTCAAGTCCGATCCTCCCCAGTGTCACACAGACCAGGACTGTCTGGGGGAAAGGAAGTGTTGTTACCTGCACTGTGGCTTCAAGTGTGTGATTCCTGTGAAGGAACTGGAAGAAGGTAAGGAGACCTGCCTCCCAGGGCTGGGGCTGTCCCTTCCCTGCCTCTATCTGACCCATGAAAGTTCGGAGGAATTAGTCCCTTTAGCTGGTGTGGGGAGGGATGGCTAAAGCTGGCAGGGCCCTCAGAGACCACCTAGTCTGAACATCTCCATTGTCCAAAGGAGGAAACAAGGATGAAGATGTGTCAAGGCCATACCCTGAGCCAGGATGGGAGGCCAAGTGTCCAGGCTCCTCCTCTACCAGGTGTCCTCAGAAATGATGCTGGGTCCTTTCTACCTCTGGGGGTCACTCTCACTTGGCACCTGCCCCTGAGGGTCCTGAGACTTGGAATATGGAAGAAGCAATACCCAACCCCACCAAAGAAAACCTGAGCTTGAAGTCCTTTTCCCCAAAAAGAGGGAAGAGTCACAAAAAGTCCAGACCCCAGGGACGGTACTTTCCCTCTCTACCTGGTGCTCCTCCCTAATGCTCATGAATGGACCCCTCATGAATGAAACCAGTGCCCTTATAAGAGACCCCAAAGAGCTGCCTTGCCCTTCTGCAATGTGTGATCACAGCTAGAAGGCACTGTCAGAGAAGAGAAACTGGTCCTCACCAGATGCTGAATCTGCTGGTGCCTTGATCTTGGACTTCCCAGCCTCTAGAACTGTAAGAAATAAATATTTGCTGTTTATAATCCACCCAGTCTATGGTAATTTGTTATAGCAGCCCAAACCTGCTAAGACAACCTAATAGTAAAAAAAAAAAATCCTATTCAACATTATCAAAGTGAATAAAATATAAAATACCTACAAATAAATCTAGAGATGTACAGAAATTTTCTGAAAGGAAACCCTAAAACTTTATTAAATGACATTTTAAAAGATCTGGATAAATAGACTAAACTTTTCTACAGAATAAATAAATAAATGTTTTTTAAAAGATATGCTCTTCCCCAAGCAGGAAGCCTCCTCAAAGTGTTCACCTTGGTCAGCATAATTTATACCTGAAATATAATTAAAATTAAAACCCACTGGGTTTTGCAAACCCTAATGAAATAATTGATTCTGGCAATGATTATCCATGGCTTCTGAATATTTACAGGGTGCCATTTCATCACCCTGTGGTATATTTACAGTTTGTAAGAGGGAAAACACAAGTTTACAACTTGAGGATTCAGGTACACACCGAAAACACATTAATCTGTCTCCACAATGCTAAAAATGGGTAAAGCGGACCTCCGTTCCTCCTGAGGTGATGCAACACAAAACACACAGCATCATTCAAGAAGGGCTCCTGCCAAGACAGTTGAGCATGAACCTCACCAAGCCTCTACAGCTAGCATTCATCTATGGGAAATGTGAAGGACAAAGAAGATGAAAGACATCACAGGGAAGCAACATGGGACATTCTAAAGAACAATTTGTCTGTTTTGTTCAACAAGTCAATAGCATGAAGAAGAAGAAGGAGGGAGGAAA
Organism: Homo sapiens; assembly: GCF_000001405.40. NCBI lineage: Eukaryota > Metazoa > Chordata > Mammalia > Primates > Hominidae > Homo > Homo sapiens. The sequence goes on along the minus strand of NC_000020.11, from coordinate 45,122,647 downwards.
GGAGAATAAAAAAGAGTTGGAGAGATTGTTCTAGATTAAAAGAAACTTCAGATACATTACAGCCAATGCAATATGTGCACCAACAACCATAGAGTCACTTTTGAGACAATAAGAAAAACAAGATGCAAATAGAATATTAGATGATGTTAAGAAACTGCAGTTAATTTTCTTAGGTGTAACAGTAGGATTGTCATTATGTGAGAAAGTGTCCTTAGTTTTTAGAGATGCACACTGAAGTATTTAAAGGTAAAGTATAAGATCGGTTGGATTTACTTTAAAATACTTCAGCCAAAAAAGGGGTGGGGATATGCATGAAGGAATTCTTGTAAAATGGTTCATTGTTGAATCTGGATGATGGGTATGTAGGCTCCATAAAAGTATTTGCTGTTCTTTTGTGCATTTTTGAAAACATTTTATGATAAAAACAAGGGTTTGTTTTTGCAACTTAACAAAATGATCATTAGGTTCACATGGAACAATAAAATACTTGTAACCTGGAAAATTGAAAATGTAGACTAATGAAGGGTAATGGATACCACCAGTCACTAAAACATATTATGGAGCTACAACAATTACAGCCACAATACAAGCATACCTTGTTTTATTGTGCTTTGCAGTCATTGCATTTTTTACAAATTGAAGGTTTGTGGCAACCCTGCACCAAGCAAGTACATTGGCTGCATGTTTCCTATAGCATGTGCTCACTATGTGTCTTTGTGTCACATTTTGGTAATATTCACAATATTTCAATTTTTTTCATTATCATTACATCTGTTATGTTGGTCTGTGATCAGTGATCTTTGATGATACTTTCCTAATTGTCTCAGGGTGCCATAAACTGTGCCCACATAAGACAGTGAATTTGATCGATAAATGTCACATATGTTCTGATTTCTCCCCCAACCGGCCATTCTCTGTTTCTCTCCCTTGGAACACAACAATGCTGAAATGAGGCCAATTAATCATCTTACAGTGGCCTTTAAGTGTTTAAGTGAAAAGAAGAGTCATGTCTCTCACTTTAAATCAAAAAAAGCTAGAAATGATTAACCTTAGTGAGGAAGGCATGTTTGAAAACCAAGAAAGGTCCAAAGCTAGGCCTCTTTTACCAGTTAGCCAAGTTATGAATGCAAAGGAAAAGTTATTGAAGGCAATTAAAACAGCTACTCCAGCAAACACACAAATGGTAAGTGAAACAGACTTATTGTTAATATGGAGAAAATGTTAGTGGTTTGGATAAAAAAATCAAAACAGCCACAGCATCCCCTTAGCCAAAGCCTAATCCAGAGCAAGGCCCTAACTTTTTTCAATTCTATGAAAGCTGAGAGGTGAGGAAGCTGCGTAAGAAAAGTTTGAAGATAGCAGAGGTCGGTTCACAAGATTTAAGGAAAGAAGCCATCTCCATAACATAAAAGTGTAAAGTAAAGCAGCAAGTGCTGATGGAGAAGCTGCAGCAAGTTCTCCAGAAGATCTACACAAGATAATTGAGGAAGGTGGCTACGCTACACAACAGATTTTCAATGTAGATGAAACAGTCTTTTATCGAAAGAAGAGGCCATTTAGGAATTTCATAGCTAGAGAGAAGTCAATGCTTGGCTTCAAAGCTTCAAAGGACAGGCTGACTCTCTTATTAGGGACTAGTGTATTTGGTGACTTTAAGTTAAAGCCAATGCTCATTTACTATTCCAAAAATCCTAGAGCCTTTAGGAATTATGCTAAATCTATTCTGCCTGTGCTCTATAAGTGGAACAACACAGCCTGGATGACAGCACATCCATTTACGGCATAGTTTACTGAATATTTTAAGCCCACCGTTAAGACCTACTGCTCACAAAAAAAAACAATTTCTACTTTCCTTTTGTAATATTTCTACTTATTGACAATGCATTTGATAGCCCAAGAGCTCTGACAGAGATGTACAAGACAATTAATATTTTCATGCCTGCTAACACAACATCTATTCTGCAAATCAAGGAGTAGTTTTAACTTTCAAGTTTTATTATTTAAGAAATACATCTCATAAGGCTATACATTATTTAAGAAATACATCTCATAGCTGCCACAGATGGTGATTCTTCTGATGGATCTGGGCAAAGTAAACTGAAAACCTTCTGGAAAGGGCTCACAGTCTAACTGCTATTAAGAACATTCATGATTCATGGGAGTAGGTCAAAATATCAACATGAATAGGAGTATGGAAGAAGTTGATTTCAACCCTCATGAATGACTTTGAGGGGTTCAAGACTTCAGTTGAGGAAGTCGTCACTGCAGATGTGGTGGAAATAGCAAAAGAACTAGAATTAAAGTGGAGCCTGAAGATGTGACTGAATTGCTACAATCTTATGATAAAACTTGAATGGATGAGGTGTTGCCTCTTACGGATGGGCAAAGAAAGTAGTTTTGAGAGATAGAATCTACCCCTAGTAAAGATGCTGTGAACATTGCTGAAATGACAAAACCAAGAATTTAAAGTATTATGTAAACTTAGTCGATAACACAGCAGGGTTTGAGAGAATTGATTCCAACTGTTTGTTGTTGTTGTTGTTTTCAGAGACAGGGTCTTGCTCTGTTGCCCAGACTGGAGTGCAGTGGCATGATCACAGCTTACTGTAACCTTGAACTCTTGAGCTCAAACAATCCTCTTACCTCAGCCTTCCGAGGGGGTAGGATATAGGCATGCACCACCATCCAGCTAATTTTTTAATTTTTTGTAAAGGTAGAGCCTCACTGTATTGCCCAGGCTGGTCTCAAACTCTTGGGCTCAAGTGATACTCCTGCCTTGGCTTCCCAAAGCTCTGGGATTATAGGCATGAGCCACTGCACCATGCCATGACTCTGATTTTGAAAGAGGATGTACAGTGTATAAAATATTATCAAACAGCATTGCATGTTTGATAGTATTTCACAATATGTGACAGAGAAATCTTTCACAATATACCTTTGTATCACACCTGCACATGTACCCCCTAATTCTAAAATGAAAGTTGAAAAAAAGGAAGAGTCCATGGATGCAGCAAACTTCATAGTTGTCTGATTTTTTAAAATTGCCACAGTCAACCTATCCTTCAGAAACCACTACCCTGATCATTCAGCAGCCTCAACATCAAGGTAAGACCCTCCGCCAGCAGAAAGATGATGATGACTCACTGAAGGCTTACATGATTATTAGCATATTTTAGCAATAAAGTATTTTTAAATTAAGGTACATACTTATTTTAGACAAATGCTATTTTGCACTTAATAGACTACACTATAGTGCAAACATAACTTTTAGATACACTGGGAAACCAAAAAATCCACATGGCTCACTTTAATCCCAGCATTTTGGGAGGCCAAGGTGGGAGAATCACTTGAGTCCAGGAGTTAGAGACCAGCCTGGGCAACATAGGAAGGCCCCCGCCCCCCGCATCTCTACAAAAAATAAAAACTAACCAAATATTATTGCAATATTCTCTTTATTTCAGTGGTCAGGAACTGAACCCACAATACATGCTTGTCTGTGCTGGCATAAGAATAAACAGTCAAAAGAAAAGAACGGGCAAGGCACGGTGGCTCACGTCTGTAATCCCAGCACTTTGTGAGGCTGAAGCGGGCAGATCACAAGGTCAGGAGATTGAGAGGAGCTTGACCAACATGGTGAAACCCTGTCTCTACTAAAAATACAAAAATTAGCTGGGTGTAGTGGCATGTGCCTGTAATCCCAGCTACTCAGGAGGCTGAGGCAGGAGAATTGCTTGAACCCGAGAGGTGGAGGTTGCAGTGAGTCAAGATCATGCCACTGCACTCCAACCTGGGTGACAGAGCGAGACTCCATCTCAAAAAAAAAAAAGGAAAAGAAAAAAAATGAAAACCCATAAACAGCCCCTGTTACAATAAGACTTAAGTTATTGATAAAGTTTTAATTCTTAATCAATGGCAAAAGTTTAAATTATTCACTAAATGATCATAGGACAATTGCTTAATTACTTACAAAAAAAAGATATTTCCTATTTCACGCTCTATACCAAGATAAACTTCAGCTAGATTAAAGAATTATCATGTCTTTCAAAAATCACAAAATAATAACAAGTAAATATAGTGAATATTTATCTAACATCAGAGTCAAAAAGCCTTTTTAGCATAAAAATAAAAGGAGAAAATATGAATGAAAAGATTGAATTGATTACCCCAAAATTTAATCCTTTGGTACTAAGCAAAAATGAGGAAAGAAATATTTGCAATATAGCATCAAAGCATTTATCAAGTTTATCTCATTCAGTTCTCAGAACCATCCTATAACACGTATATGATTATCTCTATCTCTACTGGTATACAAAAATAAACAGGGGTTTTACAAAATTAATGTCAAACAGATAGAGCCTATGGCACCAAGATTCAAAACTAGGTCTGCCTAACTCCAATATACATCTGTTCACTACTGCCCCTTGTGTATGACAGGTTAATAGATTCTTAATATATAAACAGCTCTTAAAACTCAAAAATAAAAGGACCCCCAATAAAAATGAGCAAAATACAAAAACAGGCAATTCACAGAGAAAGGATACAGTCAGTATGCGAATATGAAGAAATGCTCACCATCATGGGTATTAAGAGGAAGAGGAAGACAAATTAAAATGAAATATTGTTTTCCGTTAGCAAAGATTTTATTTACTTATTTTTTTAATATCCTGTATGTAGTAAGAATATCCACTAAGGATCTTTGGCTGTGAGCAACAGCATCTGAGCTTTGGACTGTTCTGTTTAGAGAACTGGCTTATCTGTTCAAGACTCTAATGAAGGCGTGGGCAAGTTAGGGGTGGAGAAGAGTGCAGTGGGTGTAACCTGGATCCAGTGCCCTCAGCTTTGATAGGAGAAGTACCTGCTGATTGGCAACCAACCAGAATGACAGCAGTCAGGAGGCAATGGTTCCACCAAAGGAAGAGACGCTGGGCAGACGAAACAATAGAGGTCTATGGCAGGGCAGGTGGAGGCTCTTGTACACTCACTTACTTCCTTTCTGAAATTTAATTTGACCAGATATATCCAACGCCTGGAAACATGACTGTGCCTTTTGACCTAGCATTTCTAACTTTGACAAATTTACTTTAAGAAAACAGTCAGAGATGTGACTCCAAAATGTACACAAAAAGATGGTTATCACAGCTTTATTTATGAAAGTGGAAAATTGGAAACCTCCATGTTTCATAATAGGATACTGATTGTGTATATTTTGGCATATCTTTTTTCCCTAAAAACTTTACTGAAGTGATGTTTTGACATATAGATCTAACAAAACAGCATGTAGCCATCAGAAAACATGATGTTTAGAGAACATTTCACAGCACAGGAAAATGTCTACAAAATAATTTTAATTTAAAAAGCATTGGCATGGTGGCTCATGCCTGTAATCCCAACACTTTGGGAGGCCGAGGCGGGTGGATCACCTGAATTCAGGAGTTTAAGACCAGCCTGACCAACATGGTGAAACCCCGTCTCTACTAAAAATACAAAAAATTAGCCAGGCATGGTGGCGGGCGCCTGTGGTCCCAGCTACTTGGGAGGCTGAGGCAGAGAATTGCTAGAACCCAGGAGACGGAGGTTGCAATGAGCAGAGATTGCCCCATTGCACTCCAGCCTGGATGACAGAGGAAGACTCCGTCTCAAAAAAAAAAAAAAAAAAAAAAAAAAGAGCATTTCATGGCTGAGCACAGTGGCTCACCCCTGGAATCCCAGCACTTTGGGAGGCCAAGGTGGGAGAATCACTTGAGTCCTAGAGTTAGAGACCAGCCTAGGCAACATAGGAAGACCCCCCATCTCTACAAAAAATAAAAACTAGCCAAATATTGGGGCGCATGCCTATAGTCCCAGGTACTCAGGAGGCTGAGGCAGGAGGACTACTTGGGTCCATGAGGTCAAGGGTTCAGTGAGCCATGATGGCACTGTGCACTCCAGCCTGGGTGACATAGCGACATTCTGTCAAAGACAGAGAGAGAAAGAGAAAGAGAGAGAGGAAAGAAGAAGGAGAAGGAGAGAAAGAAAGAAAGAAAGAAAGAAAGAAGGAGAAAGGAAAGAAAGAGAGGAAAGAAGGAAAGAAAGAAGAAAGAAATAAAAAAGGAAAGAAAGAAGAAAGAAAAAGAAAGAAGAAAGAAAGAAAAGAAAGAAAGAGAAAGGAAAGAAAGAGAGGAAAGAAGGAAAGAAAGAAGAAAGAAATGAAAAAAGGAAAGAAAGAAAAAGAAAAAGAAAGAAAGAAAAGAAAAAAGAAAGAAAGAGGGAGGGAGGGGTGGAGGGAGGGAGGGGTGGAGGGAGGGAGGAAGGAAGGGCTCATATATTTGTCCTCCAAAATAAAGCTTCCAAGGAGGTGCCAGCATTCCAAAAGCAACATCAGATCATAGAAGACAGAGCCTCTCCTATCTTAATAGCTTAGAAGACAGCACGAGAGATTCACATTAAACCCAAGGAAGAACTTCCTGCTGCCAGGGCTGTCCTGGATTGGAATGGGTAAGTGAGACAAGCCCTGTAATATCACCCTCCTTTCTCAGGATCAGATGAGGTATTGACCTGCTTTTAAAACCCAGGAACTGAATGAGGGTGATGGGGAGGCCACAGTGGGAAGTCCCAGCTTAGTCAGGAATTAGCTGCGTGTCCTTGGGCCAGTCCCCTCTCATCTCTATCTCACAGTTTCCTCGTCTTTCAAATGAGAAGGCTGAGAGAATGTACTTCGATGGAGTTTCTGTTTAGGATGTCCCTTAGGATGCCAAGTCTCAGCTCCCTCTCTTCTACCAAATGCAGGAGGCAACATCAGAGATACGAAATCTAAGGTGGGGGTCCCTGGATGAGATGACATTTTTTTGCTCAGGATCCCTTAGGGCCAGAGAAGAGGTTCCAGTGGCCACACATCTGCTGTGACCAGCAAACTTAGCCAAGCCAAAAGCCATGCTCCCCCACCCTCAACAGCCAAGCCAGCCCCAGGAAGAGGGCAGTTCTATCAGAAGCCACTGGTGATCTCACCAAAGGCGGGGTGGTCTTTCTCCCATCCACAGGACCCAAGAGGAGAGGCCAGGGCTGGCCTCACTCATTATGCCAGCCTGGGCCAGCCTTCTTTGGCTGCAAGCTCTGGCCTAACCCTAATGCCTTCTCCCTTCCTAGGCATCCAGAACTCTGCAAACCCCCACTCCTTTGCTATTCAAAGCTGACCTCTACCCGCTGCCTAGACATCGCTGGGGCTTCAACATCTTTGAGAGCCAGGATAGCAAGCATCTGCCTCAACAACCTTCACCCTGTGTACAGATGAAAAAACTGAAGCCCAGAGAGACAAGACTTGCCCAAGATCACAGCCCAAGTCACCGATACAGGCAAGACTGGATCTGAGTCCCCCACATGCAGGATGTGCCGCCACCCTATCTTCAGCTATTGTGACAGCATCCCTTGCACTGAGTCCTCGGGCCCTCAGGGGGTGGGGCCAAGATGAAGCAGGCACGGTGTCACTCCACACCCCCTCTCTTTCCTCTCCTGACTAAGTTTCTCTGGCTTCCCTGAGGCTGCAGGTGTTAATCTGGGGGGCCCTGGGCCCTGAGCCGGCAGCAGAAATATGAGGACCCAGAGCCTTCTCCTCCTGGGGGCCCTCCTGGCTGTGGGGAGTCAGCTGCCTGCTGTCTTTGGCAGGAAGAAGGGAGGTGAGTGCGGGAAATCCCTCTGCTGGGGGGACCAGATTGTCTCTACTTCTCTAGGGAGAGTAAGGGTTTGGGGGAAGGCAGGTAATGCCCTGTGGGGTGTGTGTGCGCGTGTGTGTGTGCGTGCGTGCGTGTGTGTATGTGTGGATGCCTGATTCTTAGTGCTTTCAGAAGCCTGTGTTTTTATGTGTGTACATTTGTGCCTGTCCACCTGCCTGTGTTGGTATCTGTAAGTGTCTTTTCTGCCAGTTTCTCGGTGCTTGTCTGTGCCTGTCTATATGTCAGGGGGTGGCAGGGCGGGGAATGCATGTGCCTGTGTCTGTGTAGACATGTGTCTTTGCGTCTGCTTGTCTGTGCAAAGCTCTGTCTGCACACGTACACTTAGGAATGGCTGCACGCATGTGTCTGAGCTTGGTGCCTGTCCATGTGTGTCTCTGTGCCTTCAGGTGTGGGGAGGGACCCTGTCTGTGCCTGCTGGGCTGTGGTGTGACTGGGTCAGTGGGTCCACCACCCCATCTGTGGAAGGGACTTGGGAATTGAGGAGAGGGTGTGGCTTCTGGGATCTGGGCTTTGTGGGGAGGAAGCTCTGTCTCTAACTCTCATCGCCCCCAACCTCCTGTCCCCATTCCCACCCCTGACAAGGCTGGGGCTGGCCTGCTGACAGGTGAGGGAGGGCTGCTGAGTGGCTAGACAGGTGACTCCTGATCTGGGTGAGGCCTCCACCTGCGTCCTTTTCTGGGGCTGGAACACTCCAACCTACATTCACCTGTGCAACCCTTGCCCTGCCTTAAAGAAAGGGGACAGTAATGGGGACAGGCTGAGGAAGGAAGTACACTGGTGAGCTCCAAGGCTGGACCCTGTGTTGGCTGTGATTCATGCACCATCATCACGTAACTCCTCGACAAGGTGCTGTGAGGACAGGACTATTTTCATCCCCATTTTGCAGATGAGGAAAATTGAGGCATAGCGGGGAACCACTTAACAAGGTCAAAGACTGACTCTGAGTTAGTGCCAAATGTGGCATTTGAATGCAAGTATTTGAAATCAGAAAGATTCACCTTACCAACTATTACAGCAAAAACCCAGGACTGTACAGGACAATGCACCCCCAACATAGGAAGGAGCTGAGAGACCAGAGAATGACTTAGACAAGGCCAGATTAGCAAGTGCATGAGTGCAAGTATTTGAAATCAGAAAGATTCACTTTACCAACTATTACAGCAAAAACCCAGGACTGTACAGGACAATGCACCCCCAACATAGGAAGGAGCTGAGAGAACAAAGAATGACTTAGACAAGGCCAGATTGGCAAGTGCATGAGTTTATTAGGACTTCCAGGCAGGACACTCCTGGAAGGCAACAGGACAGGTCTGGAGACTTACTCCTTGTAAAATGGGGTCCCATGCCTCTCTCTCAGGAGTAAATGGTGTCTCGAGGAATAAGGGCCTGGCACACAGTAAGCACAGCATAAGTGGGTGATTTGGGGGAGTCATTGTGTTCCCAGGGAGCACACCCCAATATTCAGCCCAGCTGCTCAGAGGCAAAGAGCTGGCACAGCAGAAACCGAGCCTGCGCAGGGCCACTCTGCATGGGCAGGTGTGACAAGCTTGTCTCTCCCCCAGTTCACCACACCTTGTCCCCCACTGGTTTCTCTCCTGTAAGACATTGCCGAGCTGTTGGTAGAATTTCAGACAATGGAGGAAGGTGACGAAGCCAAGGGAAGGGAAGTCTCAGTTTGTTGCCTGTGGAAGCCCAGCCGCCTCTGTTTATAAGAGCTCCCCATTCTGCCCCCTTCTCACTCAAACGTCTGGGTGTCTCTGATACAAAGAGCCTGGCATAGTCCCTGATAAACAGCAAGTGCCTAATTAAATGCTGTCAGTGGTTATGTGGTATTGGGAAGATATATGTGTCTGTGTAGCTCTGTGCATATGATTCTGTATATATGACTGTGTATGCTTATGTATGTCTCTCTGTTCACATACATATGCTATATATTTATATATTTATATACATAACTGTGTGTGTCTGAGTGTCTATCTGTGTGTATGTATCTATGTGGGTAGGCATGTGTAAATGACAGTGATTATGTTCCAGCTCATATGTACATACATGACTGCCTGTTTATATATGTTTATAAATATATTGCATATATATAACTCTCTGATATATGTCCATATGTATATATGTGTGTATTAAGTTGAACCATGTAAAATTGCTACTTTTGTAGATAAAACAGTTGACTATCTGCAGTTTCCTACTGTTAAGCCTGTAGCTAATTGTGTGTCTAGATCTAAATGTGCTTGTGTATTTGACTATGTGTGTATCGTCTGTGTGTACAAGTGTATATATTTAACCATGTTTGGATACGATTCTTTTGCTCTCTAAGTCTACACACCCATGGCGCATGCATCTGGATGACCATCTGTGTGTGTGACTGTCTCGATGTACACATCTGTGAGTGGAGAACCTGGTTTGGAGGGACTGTTAGGAAAGGCAGGCAAACAGAGTGAGTGTGACCACCCAGAGCCTCTCACGCCGGCTCTGCACACGCCAGGCTTTTATCCCCACCTCCACATTGCAGCTATCGCAGTTCTTCCACTGGAAATGCCAGCTGTCATGCCCCATCCCTATCTGTCCATTCCCCAAGGCCAGCCCCAGGCCCCTCGCCACAGAAGCTCTCCCTGCCTGACCCACCCGGCTCCACCGGCTTTGAGTGCACGCAGCTCCGTTTGGCCCACCCTTTGAGGCCTGCGCACCTTTGACTTGGACTTGTGAATTCAGGGCTAAACCTTGGACCTCAGACAGTTTCCCAGGAACCCTCCCATCACCCCCACCACCCCAAACCCACACTTTTTCCCCCTCCCCACGCCAAGCCTCTCTTTCTCCAGCAGGGGGCAGCAATTTAATTTAAACCAACCCGATGTGACAGCTGAAGTTGACTTAGCGCACGTAGGATGTGAGCAAGGTGCCTACTTATGTGTGCAGCCAGCACCCAGGCAGGGGGCTGAGGGGGAGGGGCGGACACAGAGGTAAAGTCACAGAACCAGATCCAGCTGCCCCTCGGAACTCTTGAACATTTTCTCTGATGCTGGATTGAATTGAAGACCTGGGACCTGCTCCATCCCTACAGCTCAAAGACAGCTCAGGGTGGACACTCACAGAGGTCAGAGGGAGCCGGGCCCTGGGAGTCCTAAGCCCAGCCCATGTGGGTCTGGACAAGTCACTGCCCTTTTCAGGCCTTGATTTCCTCCTCTACATGGAGGAGGATACTGATTTCCAGCTTTGTGCATGAAATATGAACATGGCCCAAAATCCCAGCAAGAAGAATGTTAGGTAAGCTCTGGGACAGGACACTCTATACCATTCAGAGGAACGCCTCAGAGACAGAGTTAACGCCTGATCCTCGAAACCATGCCATTTGCAACAGTGATGAACGCAACGGTGCAGAAGACGTGGCCAGCTGTGGCTGTGACAGTGCACCAGGCTGGCCACTGCTGACGCACGTGCAATGCTGGGCCTCACTTCAAAACCCTTTCTTTCCAAGTCACTGAGCCCTACTGCTGTGCGCCAAGGGCTGTGATATGGACCAACGGTGAGCAAAGCTGGCAGGGTGTCTACTCTCCTCACCTCCAGCCAAGTGAGAGACACAGACAAACAGATGCAGCATCACAAACTCTGGAGGAAAGAAATGAGTGTGTGTGTGGGGGCCGGGGTGGGGGGGCGCTGACCTAGTTAATGTGGGGTCAGAGAAGTAGGGTCTTCTGAGGATGCGATGTTTCTGCTGAGTCCTAATGAGCTGACCAGGCGCATGGAGTACAGGAGAAGTGCACTAGGCAAAGGATGCGGCCCGAGCAAGAGCCCTGCAGAGAGAGCTGGCTTGGAGCAGATCAGGAGGCACTGAGTGGGAGGGCAGTAGAGGATGGGGCTAGAGAGATGGGCAGGGCCCAGACCAGGCATGGCCTTATTGGCCACAGTGGAGATGTTGGGCTTCATTTTCCCCTGTCATTTGTGCCATCTGAGTCTCAAACTAGCCCAGCTTCCCATTTCACAGCCAGAAAACTGAGGCTTGGAGTCATTATAAACAAACAAACAAACAAAAATAACAACTAGCCAAAAGACAGGCAAAAAGCAAGGGATGGAGAATTCAGTCTTGTCATTCCCAGGTCAGCGCTTATTACATAACCGTGAGCTTCCTCCAGCTGCAATATTAGGAGATTCTCTTACAGAGAAATCGGGGGGCTGCCCGCCAGATGATGGGCCCTGCCTCCTATCGGTGCCTGACCAGTGCGTGGAAGACAGCCAGTGTCCCTTGACCAGGAAGTGCTGCTACAGAGCTTGCTTCCGCCAGTGTGTCCCCAGGGTCTCTGGTAAATGCCTCCCCTCCACCTTGCTGACCATCCAAGCCCCAAGCTTCAGGGCCAGTGGGCAAGGACGGAGCTCACCCAGTTCCCTGTGTTGCAGTGAAGCTGGGCAGCTGCCCAGAGGACCAACTGCGCTGCCTCAGCCCCATGAACCACCTGTGTCACAAGGACTCAGACTGCTCGGGCAAAAAGCGATGCTGCCACAGCGCCTGCGGGCGGGATTGCCGGGATCCTGCCAGAGGTACGGCTCCTGGGTGCCCAGGGCAGGTGCCTCCCCTCTCCGAGCCCAGCTCTAATACTTTCTTCATTGCTACAAGCTTAACAGGATGCCTCCCCAGAAGTCAGGACCTCCCATGGCCAGGATTAGGAAACTGGATAGGGGTTGGAGGAGTCCTGCTAGGATGACAGAGGACCCGGGAGTCCTTGGTTCTCTTCTTGAGCTTGCTGTGGCACCTGGATGACAGCCCTAAACTGCTCTGGGCTTCTGTTTGCCCTTTTGAAGGGGGCAGAGGAATCCTGCCTTGGTGGCAACCAGAGCTGAGCTGGTGGGGCATGGATGGGAGACCAAGGCCAGAAACCAGAGCCCTATTATGGGAAGGAATTAACCCTTTCTTTCTCCCTCCTCAGGCTAATTCTGATTTAGGATCTGTGGCTCTGCACCTAAGCTGGGGACCAACGGAAAGAGTTCACGATGGGAGGCCTGGGGCCCTGCCCGCTGGACAGCACTATCTCTACCAGCGGTGGTTCCAGCCTTCTGATAATCACTGGCCTGCTGACACTTCCCTGCAACCCATCCACCCCTGGTTTCTCCTCCTGGGAGTCAAAGTCCATAGCCTGAGCTCGGAGGAAGGCCTCTGTATCACCCCAGTACTCTGCACCACTGCCATACGAGCTTCCCACCCTTCCTAACGCTTTCACACCAATCCGTACATGCTGCTTCCTCCACCAAAAATGCCCAATTCAGGCAGACCCTGACCTCTCCCTCAGGCAGCCCAACCATCCAGAATGAATATTCTTGCAGAGTTTTCCAAACATCAGTCATTCACCTCTTTCATGATTTTCACCATACCTACAAAATAGCACCATGATAGGTTGCACGCTGCCTGTACCACCATTTACTTAATGTTTTCTTTAAATGGCTCACTTTTGTATATAAATAAATTCATTTCAAAAGAAAATTGATATCACTACTATAAATGAGATCAATTACCACAAATGGAATTATGAAAACAAATGCAATGGAAACAGCTCAGTTCCATTAAAGTAAATCATGTCAGATTAAATGATATTAAATAGTGTTATTAAACTCTAGCTAGCTACAGCCACCTGCCAAGACTGAGCCTGAAGCCTGTACTCACTCTATGTTTTTGGTTTTTTGTTTTTTGAGACAGAGTCTCATCCTGTTGCCCAGGCTGGAGTGCAGTGGCACGATCTTGGTTCACTGCAACCTCCGTCTCCCGGGTTCAAGCGATTCTTCTGCCTCAGCCTCCCAAGTAGTTGAGACTATAGGTGCCCACCACCATGCCTGGCTAATTTTTGTATTTTTAGTAGAGACAGGTTTTCACCATGTTGGCCAGGCTGGTCTCAAGCTACTGGCCTCAAGTGATCCACCTGCCTCAGCCTCCCAAAGTGCTGGGATTACATATGTGAGCCACCGTGCACGGCCAGTCTATGTTTTAATCAATGAAGATTTTAAAGGGTTACAGATGCAAACATCGGCCGGGCACGGTGGCTCACGCCTGTCATACCAGCACTTTGGGAGGCTGAGGCAGGCGGATCACGAGGTCAGGAGATGGAGACCATCCTGGCTAACACGGTGAAACCCTGTCTCTACTAAAAATACAAAAAATTAACTGGGCGTGATGGCGGGCGCCTGTAGTCCCAGCTACTCGGGAGGCTAAGGCAGGAGAATGTCGTGAACCCAGGAGGTGGAGCTTGCAGTGAGCGGAGATCGCACCATTGCCCCCCAGCCTGGGTGACACAGCGAGACTCCGTCTCAAAAAAAAATAAAAATAAAAAAATAAAATAAATAAATAAATAAATAAAAGATGCAAATGTCTAAGCTGAGACTTTCTCCCTGAGGTAATCAGAAGAATTGAGAAGGGAATGACTTTCTCCCTCCAGGAGTCCATGTTATGTGACACTGCATCCAGGTACATACTAAGATCACTTCAAATTGCCCAAAATTTGGGGAAATGTTGCTCAAGTCGTCGGGATGTCATTATTGTGATGGCTCTCTCTCCACCTCACTCACCTCAGTTTCTCCTGGGTCCAGTATGCAGTCAGGGTTTAACAAGTGTTTCTTGCGGGGAGAAGGGGTCAATGAGGGAATGACAGTCATCCCAAGGGATATCCCTGGACCCAGACAGCTGGATTCCTGACTCTCCCACTTTCCTCCCAGGAAGGAGGTGGCAAATTCCCTGCTCTATCTGCTGGGCCTCTTGTGTCCAGCACAAGACTGAGGGACTGGGCGGTCCACTGTGGAGGTACACTTGGGAATCCTTGGTCTTCTTTCCCTGTTCTCTTGACCTTGCAGTATGATGACAGGTCATCCTTCTGCACTCTGGGCTTCTGTTTGCCCCATCGGAAGATGGAAGGGATTCTACTTCCTCACCCTCCTTGTTCTTACCATGGGATTCAAATGCTTGAACGGTTGACTCAAAAGTACCAAATGCTAACTACATGGATATAGACTGAGGTCTTGGAGAGGGGAAGGAGAACTATCTGGGAGTCACTGACTCTGAGCAAACTTGGATATTTCTGTTCCTCTTTCTGGGCCTCAGTTTCCCCATATACATATAGCTTCAGATAGTTAACACAGGTAATATTGTAGATTGGATTATTTGCCTACAATTGTCCCTTTCCCCTCCCCACCCCATGCTTACAGTGGCTTCCCTCAGGGAGAGTGTACAGCCTGCCCCAGTGACTTGGGCTGGGCGAGGAGACCTGTTTTAGCTAATGGGATGTGGGTGGCAGTGACAGTGTAGCCTGTTTAAAGACAAAACACCACCATTCTTTTTTTTTTTTTTTTTTGAGATGGAGTTTCGCTCTTGTTGCCCAGGCTAGAGTGCAGTGGCACGATCTTGGCTCACTGCAACCTCCACCTCCCGAGTTCAAGTGATCCTCCTGCCTCAGCCTCCCAAGTAGCTGGGATTACAGGCACCTGCTACCACACCCTGCTAATTTTTATATTTTTAGTAGAGATGGGGTTTCACCATGTTGGCCAGGCTGGTCTTGAACTCCTGACCTCAGGCAATCTGCCTGCCTCAGCCTCCCAAAGTGCTGGGATTACAGGTGTGAGCCACCTCACCTGACCTCCACCCTTCTTAGAGCTTCTGCCCTCTGCCATGAGAAGAGCTTGCCCGGAGCCACTTGTCTTGCTGGAGAGACACCTGGGGCAAGCCTGAAGCTGAGCCAGACCAGCCAAGCCTCAAACTTGCCAAAGAGAAAAAAATATTTGTGGTAAGAAGTCACAGAGATTCAAGGGTTGTTTGTCACAGATTTATCACAGTAAGAGCTTGACTAATTCAGATTCTGGTTATTAGTCTGTAATGAACGTCTACTGCAGATCTCCCACTTTTAAACATCATTTCATTCATCCAACCCATAACCCTGAGAAAGGCTATTCCCATTTGACAGTGAAGAAATAGTGGTTATGAGATAAGTGACTTGCCCAAGACCCCCAGCTGAGAAATGATGTAGCCAGGATTAAACCATACCATATTCCTCCCTTGAAAGTAATAAAGGCAGCAACAGCTAACAATTACAGATCATGTGCCATGGACCAGGTATCATTTTAATCACTTTACATGTATAATCTTGTATAATCTCATGAAATCCTCATATCCTTATCGGGTAGGCTTCATTACTTTTCCCCATTTCACACATGAGGAAACTGAAGCACAAAGAGGTTAATTTGGCCAAAGTTGTCCAACTTGTAAGTACTAGAGCTGGGATTCAACCCCAAGCAGTCTAACCATAAACTTTACATCCCTATTGACTACTCTAATTAATTACAATCGGTCTTTGAAGATTTCTCCCACTTAAGATTCCTCCCATTTGAAGATTCAGTGTCCATATCTGAAAAATGAAGATCACAAAGACCTAAGAAGGTTAAGTGACCAGACTTAATTCTAGACAACTGGAACCCAAGCCTGTTGATACACAGCTTATTGCCCTAGGTTTCTTTCCTCAAAGGCATCAGGAGGAAAATTAGGGGGTCACAGCAGGAAGCTCCCAGTTAAGCCAGTTAAGACTTGGCTGTCAAGAGCCCTGTGACTATCCTGGAGCTCTGAGTTCTGAGCTAGGTCCTTGGAATGGCAAGAGGTGACAGGTCACAGACCATGGCTTCTCTGGCTATAGGTAGCAGCATCTACACAGTCCATTCTAGATTCCCTGCTCAGCTTCCTGGCTAACTCACTCCCTGTTCCAGCAGTTCTGTGAGCTGGTCTATGCAGTGCCATCTCTGAGTTCAGCTCCAACCCAGTCAGCTCTATCTGTACTGCCTGTCTCCTCTGCCTTTCTGGAAAGTCTCCTAGGAGGCTGGTTCCTTTTGCAGACTCTAACCTTGCTTTCCTCCCTCACTTATTCAATAAATGTTTGCTGAGCACTTAATATAGGCTTTAGGCTGTGCTTCGCAGAACTCATGCACTAGTGGATGAGACAAAGCCCTAGCTAGAGAGTTGCATGACATATACCAGACTAGAGAGGTCTGGGAGGCTATGGGAGGCCAGGAGAGACCTAACTCAGCCTAGAAACCAGGCAAGTCTTCCTGAAGATGATATCTAGGTCAAGACCTTGAGTTTTAGCAGGAGCTAGCCAAGTAGAACACTTGTAATTATCCATTCTCCCCTTCTTCCTTACCAATAGCAGTGTCCCTGGTTAGAAATATTTGCCCCACCCCACCCCCAGGCTCTTGGAGTGCCAGTGACATTCCATATTTTGTCCTGGGTGGTAGTTACAATGGATACATACATTTATTTACAAAAAAATCATTCAGCTGTTGTGCACTTTACCATAGGAACAGTATATTTCAATTTTAAAGGTAAATTAAAATTTTAAAAATATGTTTCCTCTCCAGGCTCCCTTGCACCAAACAATGATCACGTGACCCAAGACTGGCCAATCAGAAGTAAGAAAAATCTACTAGGCGGGGCTACATGGCAAGCTATAGTTTTCCTAACTAAGGAGATAGACTTGGCCTTTTGTCTGTCATCCATTTACCCTGTGTCCTTCCTGGAACATGGCTGCTGCCACTAGAACAGCCATCTGGTGTCCTTGAGGATTGTCTTAGTTGGGTTCCCCCAGAATAAATCTTGAGATGAAGAATCATATGACAGTGATGCTTTGGAAATGTTTCCAGGAAAAATGGCTATAGGAGTACAGAAGTTCACCAGGAAGAGAAGAAGCCAGTGAGGATGTGAAATCCAGTGAAGTCCCACAGGGCAGTTCTAGAAACAAGAAATGTTTCTATAGATGGAGCACATACATTCTCAGGTACTTCAGGTTCTCCCTGTGCGGAGCCATAGCAGGCTCTGGCAGCCTCAGGAAAGCCCCAGATACCAGCTGTCAGGAGGAAAAACATACCAGGAGCCTGTGTGCACAAAAGCGGTAAAGGATCCCAGAGGAGCTGTGGGCACGAATGAGTCACATAAGAATGGTGGAGGAGGAAGTGACAAGGAGCCTGGGTCTTCAGGGCTATTCATGAGCAGCTGTACCTACCCTGGCCTGCCAAAAAAAAAAAAAGTAAACTCTTCTCTAGTGAAGTCACTGTAATTCCGTTTCTGTTCCCGCAGCTAAGTTAAATTCTAACTGATATGCAGGGTAAAGAAAGGGCAGGAGGAGTTGTTCATGGAGAGGGAACAGCATGTGCTGGTCCTCATCTCAATCCTGAAAGGTAGGTGTTGTTCCCATTTTACAGATGAGGAAGATAAAGATCCAAGAGAAGTGCTTGGCCCAAGGTCACACACCAGTTTAGTGGCAAAGGCAGGATTCGAACCCAGTGTATTCATTATCTATTGCTGTGTAACAAGGTTTCACAAATGCAGCAGCTTAAAGCAACACACATGTATTATCTCACAGTTTCTATGGGTCAAGAACACGGGCACAGTTTAACTGGGTCTTCTGCTTCAGTTTCTCTGCTTCACGAGACTGCACTCGAGGGGTCGGCCATGGTGGGAGTCTCATCTGAGCCTCAATTAGAGAAGGATCCACTTTCAAATTCACAGGGTTGTTGGCGGAATGTCAGTTCCTTGAGGACTAATGAAGTGAATACCGCAGCTCCTGGCTGGTTGTTGGCTGGAAGTCCTCCTCATTTTCTTACCTTTCCCGCCTGGCAACTTGTTTCATCAAAGCCAGCTGGAAGTCACAACCTTAAGTAACCTAATCAGAGAAGTGACATCCCATCACTTTTGCCATATTCTGTTCATTAGAAGCAGCTCAGTAAGGCCTGTCCACACACAAGGGGAGGGGATTGCACAAGGGCATGAACACCAGGAGGCCGACATCACTGGGAGACATCTTAGAAGATGCCCGTCACATCCAGGTCTACTTAATTCCAAAATTTTCTGTATTTTCTGCAAAATCAAGCTTACTCTGAAGGTAAAACCCCATGGATTCCAATGACTAAACCTGGTCAGGGACTGAGGGAGAATTTGGGGGACAGACCATCCATGGTACATGAAGGACAGGGATGCCCCGTCCTTCCCACCCATAAGGCCCACCTTCCCACTCTTGTGGCTCACAGATTCCACCAAAACTTCATTTACCTCTCACTGTGTAATCTGGGGATGAAACCAGATCCTGGTTTCATTCTCTTCTGCCTTTGGGAAATAGGTCTGTCTTTTCTCTCAATTTTGGAAACCGTCTCTGCAGCTCCAGGGAAAACTCCTGAGTCCTGAGGGGTAGCAAAGGCTGCAGACAAACTCTTAGGCCAGGAAACAGAAGACCTGCTTCTCGGCAAATCTGCCTCAGTTTCCCTGTTGGTCAAATGAGGGAATTGGGCAAGATGCTCACTAAGCAGCTTCCTGCTCTAACTTCTTCTTTCGAGGGAAAAACTAAAGTGGCACAGCCTAGGGCTGTGCTGTCTAATATGGCAGCCACGAGCCATGTGTGGCTACCGAGCACATAAAATGTGACTAGTCCAAACTGAGATATGCTATAGATAAATCTCAAAAAATCTCTCTCAAAAAATAAAAAATAAAATAAATTAGTACACTAGATTTATATATGGGAGGCAGAATTCAGATGACCCCTCCTCAATGATCCTCATCCCTGTATAATCTCCTCCTCTTTAAGTGTAGGTGGAACCCGTGAATGTATATTATATGGCAGAAGGGAGAGTGCCCTGGGTGGGCCTGGACTAATCAGGTGAGAGTTTTAAAGCCAGAGATTTTTCTCTGGCTGGTTACAGGAGAGGAATTCAGCACTCTGATGTCCCTGAAAGAAAGCAAGCATTCATGCTATGAACTGCCTATGGGGCAGCTTCTAGAATCTGAGATTGATCCCTCGGAGACAGCTAACAGGAAAAGAGAGACCTCAGTCCTATAACCACAAGGAAATGAATTCTGCCAACAATCTGTGAGCTTGGAAGAAAACTCTGAAGCTCACATGAGAACCTCAACCCTGGCCAACACCTTGGCTTCAACCTGGTGAGACCCTGAGGGTCCAGCCAGGCCATGCCCAGACTTCTGACCTACAGAAACCATGAGATCATAAATTTGTATTGTTTTAAGCTACTAAATTGTGGTAATTTGTTATGTAGCAATAAGAAAAATTAGTACTGGATTTTAGAGACTTAGTACAAAAAAAAGAAAATGTAAAATATCTCAATAATTTCTTTACTGATTCCAATGTTGAAATCATAATATTTTAGATTTAATAAAATATATCACTAAAAATACAGTTGATCCTGAAACAACACGAGTTTGAACTGCTAGTGTCCACTTACATGCAGATTTTTTTCCAATAAATACATTGGAAAATTTTTGGAGATTTGTGACAATTTGAAAAAACTTACAGATGAACCATGTAGACTAGAAATAT